>NC_000016.10:55168560-55471591 GCF_000001405.40 Homo sapiens
AGAGTGGTTCAAAAGGAAAGACCCAGGGATAGTTGGGGCCAGAACACAGAAGACCTGGTGGGCTTAGGGAAGACTTTTAAACTTTATTCTCTAGTTCAAAGGCCAGCAGTCTTTTTCTGTAAGAGGCTATATAGTAACTATTTTAAACGTTCCAGGCCATAAAGTCTTTTTTGCAATGACTGTGCTACCCAACTCTGTTGTTTAGTGCAAAACTAGCTATGGACAGTGTGCAAACAAATGGGTGAGGCTGTGTTCCAATCAGACTATCTATGAGACGAGGAAGCAGGCCAGATTAACCCCCAGGCTGTAATTTGCTAACCTTGTTCTAGGTAATAGGAGGCCACAGAAGGATTTTAAGCAACAGATTAATGGATGACAGTGGGTCGAGAAGGACACCCGTTGGCCGGGCGCGGTGACTCACGCCTGTAATCCTAGCACTTTGGGAGACTGAGGCGGGCAGATTGCCTGAGCTCAGGAGTTGGAGACCAGCCTGGGCAACACGGCGAAACCCCGTCTCTACTAAAATACAAAAAAAAAAAAAATTAGCTGGGCGTGGCAGCATGCGCCTGTAGTCCCAGCTACTTGGGAGGATGAGGCAGGAGAATTGCTTGAACCCAGGAGGCAGAGGTTGCAGTGAGCCGAGATCGCGCCACTGCACTCCAGCCTGGGCGACAGAGCGAGACTCCATCTCTAAAACAAAACAAAACAAAACAAAACAAAAACAAACAAACAAAAAGAAGGATACCTGCTTAAAAAACAGCAATAAAGAAACAACTACTGCAGAAGTCCAGTTAAGTGCTGATGATCCTGGACTTGGGAGGTGGTAGAGGAGACGGATTTGGGAGCTGTTTTAAAGGGAAGCAGCTCAGAAAAATTACTGTTGAGCTTTGTAGCTGTGAAGTGTGGGTCAAACACAGGGTGTAATTATTAGCATTGTCATCTGCACCTTTTTTCTTGTCAAAGGAGCTGGCTAGCCTGGCGGCCACCAGGACCATGCAATAAGCTTTGCAGAAATTGCCTCTCCAGTTCAAATCACCTACAAAAGCCCAGGCTACAATTATAAAGCTTCATAGCTGTGCAGCATCCATAAAAAGAGGTAATTTTAATATTTGGTTCAACTTCAAAGCAGTAACTTAGAATTATATATACCCCATTAAAATATAATGTTTTTCCCCCAAACTAATCAAATGGCTAAATCAATTGTTGGTGGATTGCCAGTGGCCTGAGGATCAATGGGAATAGAAAATGTATTCTATATTTTCCTTGTTACATAGAGTTAGAGCGCATATTTTATTAATGTTCATCCTTTAGAGACCAGATTTGTGCGTTCGCTAAAATAAACACTACAGTCTTTAGGGCGTGGTTGGGTGGAGACTGCAGAAGTATGAGGGCAAAGAACATTTTGCAAGGAAGTAGCCACTCCAGAGCCATCGTCGGGTGATGGGAGGCGCCCAGAGCTGGGATCCAGGGACCCGGAGTCTTGCATCTACTATTCACGAATTGAATGACTTTGGAATATGTTCTCTCTCATCTTAGACTCCCCATTTGTCAAATGAGAAGTTTGGATATGATCAGTGAAGGCAAAGAGGTTTTGTCCTAATTTAGCTCAATTAGTAGGCACTGCATGGAGCCTTGCATGAGGAAGTATTCTGAAACCGTGCCTGGGTTCAGAGGAGAGTGTGATGGTTAATTTCATGGGTCAACTTGACTGGTCTAAAGGATGCCCAGAGAGCTAGTAAAACATCATTTCTGGGTGTGTCTGAAGGTGTTTCCAGAAGAAATTAGCATTTGAATCAGTAGACTGGGTAAAGAAGATCTGCTCTCACCAATGTGGGCAGACATCACCTAATCCATTGAGAGCCTGATTGATTAGAATAAAATGGTGGAAAAGGGGCAAATTCTATTTGAGCTGGGACATGCACGGACATCAGTGCTCCTGGTTCTTGGGCCTTCAGACTTCCACTGAATTACACCACTGGCTTTCCTTGGCCTCCTTAATTGCATGAGCCAATTCCCATAATTTCTGTCTCTGCCTCTCTATCTCTCTCTCTATATATAATTAAATGTATATTATATATTTATATATTATATATAATATATAAATTATATATAATTATGTAAAATATATAATATATAATTTAAATATATAATACATATTTGTATACATTATATATAAATATACATTATATATTTATATTTATATATTTATATAATATGTAAATATTTATTTATATATAATATGTAAATTTATATATATTATATATTTATATATAATGTATATAAATATATTAGTTAACATATATATAGTATATAAATATATACATTAGTTCAGTTTCTCTGGAGAACCCTAATACAGAGGGTGTGCCATGAATCTCTGCCATGGGCATAAGTGAAATGGGCAAAGCATCCTTCATGCCAGGCGTCTGTGATCTCTGGACTGAATGGAGGTCCCTTCTGTTCTAACAGATTGAGAGAGGGTCCATTTGTCTGGCCCAGCAGTCTTCTCTGTGACTTGTAGGTTCTTCTCAGGCCCTTCATGGATGTCCTCTCACTCTCCTCTATGGCCAGCCTTGGTTGGATGGGGCCTTCTTGAGGATAATAGAGGCCATGCTCTGTGCTCAATAGGCCAGTTGCCAAATATCAGTGATACTTACTGCACATCAGCAGCTGCAGATTCAGAGAGTCATCAGCCATAACTGTGGCCTTCTGGGAGCAGAGACTGTGGAGGAGGCATTCAACTTAAAGAAGGACCAACAACTAATATTAAGTACTAAGTCAATCTGTGTCTCCCTGAATTTTCCATCTGCACCAGGGAGAAGCTCCATCCACACGGTGCTTATTCTCCTCTTCCCTTGGTGAATTCTCAACCCCCCTGTTGGCAATTACATGAACTTCACAGGCTGTTGGTCTTCTCTTCCTCTCCTTTTTTTTCACTGGGCCTTTATTGGCTGTCAGGAGGGAAGAATTGGTTCGGCTACTGTGCATGGGGAAGACATACAATATCTTTTATATAACCTGTTTGTTTAATTACAAAAGTAATCCAAGTTCATTGCATAAAATTCAGAGAAGCAAACTTTTAAAAGTAAAAGCTCTCTAATCCTACATGAGACTACCAGTGTTGATATTTTATATTATTAAATATTGCACATTTACCATGTGCAAGTAAAGAAAACTTGACTCAAACCAGCTTAAGACAAAAGAGAATGTGGGCCCGGCGTGGTGGCTCACGCCTGTAATCCCAGCACTTTGGGAGGCTGAGGCGGATGAATCACCTGAGGTCAGGAGTTTGAGACCAGCTTGACTAACATGTTGAAACCCCCGTTTCTACTAAAAATACAACAATTAGCTGGGCATGGTGGCAGGCACCTGTAATCCCAGCTACTCAGGAGGCTCAGCAGGAGAATTGCTTGAACCTGGGAGGTGGAGGTTACAGTGAGCCGAGATCGAGCTATAGCACTCCAGCCTGGTGACAGAACGAGACTCCATCTCCAAAAAAAAAAAAAAAAGAAAAAAAGAGAGACACTGTATGAGGTTTGAGGTCATGGGACTAAAATGTTCAGAAGAAGTCTATGATGTGTCCCTGGCTATTCCTAGGCCCTCTTTTTGCACTATTCTCTCTGTTCAATTTGCTCTAACTACACTGTTAGCCTTCTTGTTCCTCCAACATCTGAAGCTCAAGGCTGCCACAGAGCCTCTGCTCTCCCCTCTACTGGAAAGCTAATTCACCACACTGATGCATGGCTGACTCCTTCCCTTCATTCAGGTCTTAATGAACACATCGTATCCTCTGAGTGGCCTTTCTGACCCATCTAACGATGTCTGATCTGGTCACTCTCTCACTAAATGCTCTTTCATTTTCTTCATAGTGAAAGTGACTATAAAATTTATCTTCTAAGTTAGAAGACTTTTGAGTGTGAAAGGGGTTGCTATTGGTAATTATGCCAGGACAGTGGACATATTCAGGAGACACGTAGGCACTCTACCCACAGAGCCACTTTCTACACGTGTGCATTGCCTCTCTCCCACACAGTGTAGTCCCCTGAGAATAGAGGCTGCACCTGGGTGCCAGGAATGGCACTGGGCACTTTGAGCATGGAAGCTCTCTGAATTTATACAGCAGCTCTGTCAGGAAGGTTCTGTCCCCCATTGCTGACCAGCAACTGAGACAGGTGCTCAGCTAGAAAGTGGTAGTGCTGATTTCAGCATGAAAACTCCTGACCACTCCATGGGCCTCTCACACACACATGAGCTCAACTGACCCTGCAAGTCAGGAGTAGGGATCAGCAGGTGACAGAAACTCCATTTTACAGGTGAGACAACTGAGGCTCTGCATGTTCAAAGACCTTCCTTGAAGGAGTTTGAACTGAGGTCTTCAGCCAATGGCTCTAGCTCCTCTCACTTGCCTCTCCCTGAGTTTTCACGTTCCTTCCTTCTACCCTGAAAGTCCACACATCTTTGTTGGTGTCAGCAATCTTCCAGAGGAAGGATGAAGAGCCTCTGCCATGAACCAGCTGAAGCAAGGCTAGAGCCAGAAGGAGCCAGTTGGCAAGCAGTTTTTCTTGTTATAGCAGCAAACCCAGCCTGAGGCAGATCATCTCCAGCAGAGCCCAGAACCTGAGCCTGCCTCCCAGTTGACTTCAGGGCCAGGAATAGAATGAGCAAGTCTTTCACAGACAGTCCTAGAATAGTATATCCTCGTAGGTCCTGGGGTATTCTGGCTGCATCTCTGTCCACAAGCCCCAACCTGTGAAGGGGGAAGGAGTGGGGGACCGGGATGACGAGGAGGAGGGAGTGAGCCATGACTGCACACCACTACTGAGCCATGGCTGCATGCTGGGTATCACACTTAAGACGCAACAGCCCTAGCACACAGGCGCTATTGTTATTCTCATTTCACAGATATGGAAACTGAGGCTCAGAGACGGTATGTGACTTGCCCAAGGCCACATGATCAGCAACTAGAAGAGTCAGTACAACTTCCCAAGACTTTGCTGTGAAAGATTCCATGATATTTCACAAAAGGAGAAAGAGACAAGATAGGTGGCTGGCCGGGGGAAGGGGCAGAGGGATTAGAAGGGAGTTGATGAGACAGTGTCTAAGGCCATCGTTTGTAATCCATCCTGGTAGGTTATTTGAAGACATGGGGCAGGTGTGGTCTGCCAAAGAAGCTTATATCTGGATGGTTCCGAGGTCCAAGTAGTCTGTGAAGACAGGATATGGCGAACACAGGGCTTATAAGAGAAGAGGAGAGGCCTTCAGTTGCTTTCCTACTCACCACGTGTTGCAGAACCCTGTTAGGGTTTGGTCAGCAGTCATCTCAGTGAGGTTGAGGGCTTGGGGTCAGGCTGCTGAAGGTTCTGGTGGTTCTGTTCACCTTGCCCTGTAGCCTGTATCCCATGGCTGTCTGGACTTGGAACGTTGGTACATTAAATATTCACATCTCTTGATGGGCTCTTCTCCCCACCTAGGCTGTCAGCTCTGTGGGGACAAAGATGGAGAAGGTCCCACCAGTTGGTCTCCTTGAGTGCCTCACACAGCACTGGCATCATAGGTGTTCAGGACAGGCAGCTGCTTTTGATGACAAAAACAATTCTGTCCCACCAGATGTTTATCCCATCATGAAGCACACGTAGGTCCACAGTCCCATTTAATGCACACAAACAAATAACCCTGCAAGGAAGGAATTTATTTTCCTTCTAGATCATCTTCCTTCTGAGATACTGTGAGCTGACCCTGCAACTAAACTCCATTCCCAGCCCTTGGTGCAGGAACTGAGGCCTCTCTCTGGGTCTGGGATAGGAAGGGGCCTCTCCGTAGAGCCTCAGCCCACTCCCTGCCTTGCTGTGCATCTTGCAGAGACTCGCACCGTACCCCCTCCCCAATCTCTGCTCCATCGCAACGCCTCTGCAGCCTGGCCTTAATAGGATGACTTTCATCCTCATTCAGATACATATTGTATTGGCTGGGAAACATCAAAGGGGCCCTGTCGTTACATATTCTATTTCTGAGAGGAGAAAAGCAGCCCCTTGCTTTATTAACGTGGCAAATGTTGACTCTTGTAATGAAAAATGCACAAACGCCAGGCAATTTTTGATGAATAGGTAATACAGAGGAAGACCCCAAATGGGGAGAATTAATTTCTCTTCGGTGCCTCTGCTGCAGAGATGAGGAGTCCCTGTGTGAAGCCACCTATCCTATCCTCAGGCCCATGGGGGCCTTGAGGCCCTGGATCCCCAGCCGTGGGCCCAGTCAGGGGACATTAAACATGACTGTTAAGATAGGGGTTCCAACAAACCTCTTTTGATTCCAGGACAGCATAAAAATCTCAGGAACGAATTGTCAGAGTGCTCAGTGTTTTAAAGCCATCATCCCATAAGCACCCCGTGAACTGAGTACAACTATCCTCATTTTCCATGAGGGGAAACTGAGGTCAGAATTATTTTAATAAGTTACCCCAGCATAAGCCAGCAGATTTTGAACCTGGAACCCCAATCCCACGAGAGCCACCTGAATAGACATTCACATTTGAAAGCTTAAGAATGTGAATATCTTAAGATACCCTTTAACTTAAGTTGCTCTTTAACTTAAGTTGTGCCCTCTGTGTACAACTGCACAGATGTTGTGACACAGGAAAGTCTTTGTGATGGTCTTTCTTTCTTCCTCATCTCTGGGCCAAACAGTAGTCAGCACCCAGTACCCAGAAATACATGTTTATTGACCCAGGAAGACAGATCTTGCCCAACCGACTGAACTCAGGTCTGGAGGTGTTTTCCAACACCAACAACTGATTGTCCATTCCCTGTGGACACCAGCTGGTTGCCCTATAATTCAATTCAATTCTGACACTATCTACCTGGAGTCAGCGCCAGCTCCCAGAAGTGAAGGGACTCAGTCCCTTAAGGCGGCCCCCACTTCAGATGCCAATTGCAAGTGCCAGGTTTCCACCTGCACTTCTGACTCATCAGCTATAAATTGGGATTCCCATGGCCTCCTCCTCTAGGGGCCCCATCCTAAATTACGTCATTAACATAAACTCAGAAGTGATCAAAAGAGTGAATAACAAAAGATGCTCTCATCACTCAAAAAATTCCAAGGGTTTTAGGAGCTCTGTGCCGGAAACTGAGGACAAAGAGCAAATAGATTTTTTCTTATGCCCCATGAGAGATAACGGAGAACCAAGAAATGAGACGGGGAGAGGCAACATGATCAGAACTGCAGATTCAGGAGGGGATGGGGCTGATAATATTAATAACTACTGTTTGCTGGGCATCTACTAACCAGGTTCTCTGCTGGGCACTTTATGGGAGTTTTCTCATTTAATCATTACAATGAACTGTGATATAAATGGTCTTATCCCATTTTATAGATGAGGATCACAAGTCTCAGAGGGCATGAGTTGCCCAAGTTTTCACAGCTGGGGAGAGGCAAAGCCCCTGTTAAGCTCCCGATGAATCAGTTTTGGAAGTCTGGTGGGACTAGAATGGGGACCCGTGGGGCTGGTGATCATGCTTTTCAGTCCCAGGATACGGCCATGGCAGCTGACCCCACAGCCAGGCTTCCCTCTGGAATCCTTTGCACTGCCCCTTCACGGCCTCCAGGACCCGAGCCCCTGTGTCCCCAGCCCTCCCAACCACAGCCACCTCACTTACCCATTTTGTAGGAAAATCATCCTTGATTCTTTTCTTATGGGTCTCAGGTTACCAGACAAAGTGGGCCTGTGTCTCTAGGAAGGTCCTTGGGCCTCACCTGCTGGGCACAGAGCCTCAAGAGAGCTCATCAGCATGCCGCCCCTCCAGCTACTCTGGGAAAATGGGTTCTGTGGCCAGAGTCGTTTGGAGACAGCAAGAGCTGGCACTTTGGGGGTCACTTCGGTGTTTGCCAAGTTGTAAGGCCAGAAAACCCTCCTGACTGGGTTTAGGCCAGTGTTTCCCAAACTCCGTGGGCCCAGAATCGTCTTCTTACCTAGAATGGGAGCCGTGTGTAGAACTGGCATCCCAGAGTACATGCTGGGGACCCACTGGCAAGGACAGATGGTTGAGCCATGTGAGTGGAGACTCGGCTGTGCCCTGCTGTGGCCTTGCCTCTGTTCTAAATGTATGGCCTTGGCCCGCCCCATTGCCTCTCTGCCTCGTTTTCCTCTGAAAACTAAAAGCCTTAGACTACATCAGCATTTCCCATAATAGTAGTTTCTTGGTAGCATGAATGTGATGATTTTAGAAGGTACATGCATGAACAATTTTTGCTTGAATAGTCATATTTGTTTTAAGGTATATTTGGAAAAAATACAACATATTGTATCTGTGATTTCACATATACAATTATATTCAAGTAAAAACGTGGTCTATTCAGAAAAAAAAAATCAAAGTGAGTAAAAATGTAGACATGACAGAAATGTACAAATGCCTCAGTTCTGGGATGGCACTCTCCTCAATGATCTCTGAAACTCTCCTCGCTCTTCACTCCAGTGAATACTCACTAGCAGATGTGCATGGAAGCCTCTGCAGGCTGATTCAACTTTGCTGAGTGTGACAATTTCTCTTCCATCTCACATTGGGAGCTCTCCCAGAAGGCTCTTCTGCAAGAGCCAGTTAATGTGAGAGCCCTGGTGAAGAGCCAAACAAGTGGAACTCTTACACTGGTTCTGCCACTTTCCTGCCCAGTTCGAGCCTTCACTTTCCTGAATGCAAAGTGCAAGCAATCACGGCCTTGTCTTCTGGAGTTGTTGCAAGGTACCAGGATCCCAGCATGGACTGTGAAGGGTGGTGCAAACACAAAGGCTTATGGTGATTTGTTTCTCCATTTAAGACTTCCTGGAACTCCCTGGACCAGCAGAACTGCTCTAAGGCTGGAGGCCTATGTGCACTTCTCTGTCGATGGGCTTGTTCCCGCATCTCACTATGGCAAGGGTCCTGGACCAGTCCTCGGAAAAGCTCACCTTTAGGCCAATCACATCTCCTTTTAAGGCCCAATGCTGCACAGGGGAAATGCTCTATGTGTTCATTCTTACTATTAACAGTGACTACAGCCTGCGTCATTTTTTCTTCCCACATAGCAGTATTTTATAAGATGGCCCAGGACCTGGCAATTCAGCCTCCTAAATGCATTACTGATATATGGTGGTTGTAGTGTCTAGGATAGAGAGAGATATATCTGGGAAGTCAGCAAAGGAAAGGGCAA
The DNA here is from genome assembly GCF_000001405.40 of Homo sapiens. Taxonomy (NCBI): domain Eukaryota; kingdom Metazoa; phylum Chordata; class Mammalia; order Primates; family Hominidae; genus Homo; species Homo sapiens. The sequence goes on from NC_000016.10 coordinate 55,177,738, forward strand.
AGGAATTAGGGATGGCTTATAAAGCATAATAATATTTAATATTTATTAACTATATATTATGCTAAGTACTTCACGCTGCTATTTTGTTTAATTCTTACAATTGCTCTATATTTTGCCATATTATAGATGAAGAAATTAAGTTTTTGGTAGAGAAGATAACTTGTCAAAGATTGCACAGCAAGGACGTAGTTGCCTTAGCTATCACTACATAGCAGAGAATCATAATGATCCGAGGTTTGGCTGCAGCTTGGCTGATCTAGGCTGGGCTCAGCTGGACTTGGATCCAGGCCTTCGGTGTGGTTCAGATCTGATCTACGTGCATCTCCTTCTGGGACCAGTGGGCTCCCCAAGGTATGTACCTATGACAATGACAGGAGAGCAAGAAGGCAAGCCCAACCACACAAGCACATTTCAAGCCTCTGCCGGCATCACAATGGCCAACATCACATTGGCCAAAGCAGGTTACATGACTAAGCTCAAAGTTAAAGGGATGAGATAGTGCATTTTGCCCATTGAGGTTGGGGAGGGAGTGAATACTTGCTGCTAGTCAAAGGCCTCATCTTCCACAGTGACAGAGCTAGGGTTAAGACCATGATTTTTGTCATGACATCATCCTTCCTCCACTGCCATATCCTAGCATGTGGAGAGTTACCTTGGCTCAATACAGTCCACATTTCCAGCCCATCCTGGCATGCCTCCTCTAAGTGTGCTGGACCACTCATAGCATGTGCTGAGTGTCACGCAGCCTCTGCACTCACATCTTCAGCCCCAAACCTTCCCCTGGATCTTGATCTACTCCTCTCACTGCAGCTTGGGTACAGACAACCCTTTGCCCAGCTCTGCCATTCTGCAGTCTCCCCACCTCCTGACTCAGCTCTTGATTTGAGTACATGCTTCCACCTTTCTAGATATGGCCTGAGCTCTTTCAAGATTCTGGTACCCACCTACCTCCTCCTATGCACATGGGAAGCCGATGTTCCTGGCTTATCACAGCAAGCTCTCGTGTATAGTTGTGTAGGATGTGCACTGCACAAAGGACCCCAGTTGGGGGCAAAACTCAGTCCATACACTGCACACCAAACTGTGTACCTTAGCACGGTGCTACATCTGCCCAGAGGAAGGGGGATGTTTTCTTCATACAAGGTGTCATTGGCTAGCCAAGCAATGCAATAGCTACTTGTTTGTGAGGGTGGCTATGTATTCTGTGTTTCTTTCTTTTTTTTTTTTTTTTTCTAAGATGGAGTCTTACTCTGTTGCCCAGGCTGGAGAGCAGCAATCTCAGCTCACTGCAACCGCTGCCTGCCAGGTTCAAGCGATTCTCGTGCCTTAGCCTCCCAAGTAGCTGGGATTATAGGCACCCACCACCATGCCCGGCTAACTTTTGTAATTTTTTTTTTAGTAGAGATGGGGTTTCACCATGTTGGCCAGGCTGGTCTTGAACCCCTGACCTCAAGTGATCCTTCCACCTTGGCCTCCCAAAGTGCTGGGATTAGAGGCATGAGCCACCAGGCTCAGCCTAGACTGTTGACAAAGATGTAATACAGGCCAGCATTCGCCCAACCACACCGGGTTTTAGAAGACTCCACTTCAAGTTCTGGTTTGCATCATCTATTGAGACCTAGAAAAAGAAGGATGACTTTGCTCAACTGCCTCTGTTTCCTTGCAAGTCATCCCAGTTACAACAAGAGGGATGGGCTACACAGTGGGGCCTCTGGCCTTTAATGGGAAAAGCAGAAAGCTGGGGCTAGGCCTCTCTGACTTTGAAGGTAAAAGCCAACACTGCAGCCTAATCATTGTCCTGGCCCAAGAATGATGCTTGAGTTCCCTCCACTCAGAGAACTCAGATTCGAGGGGAGAGAGAGAGAGAGAGAGAGAGGATGGAGAATGAGGTTTCTTTTCAAGGAAGCTTGCCAGTTGTTGTGGCATTCCTGTTGCTTCTGCTGCTGCTGCTAATTGGAATAATTCAAGAGCTTTATTTATTATCTGAGTTTTTTGGACTCTGAATTCAAAGGTTCAATTTCCCTCCTTCTCTCTCTCACATTCTTTCCCCCCTCTCTTATCCTCTCCCTAATATTTGTTACAGTTGCATTTTTCAAACCATTTACTGTCTAGAGGGTAAGTGGAGTGACACAGCTCATAATGTGCAAATAAATGGGAACTAAGCTCATCAGCTCAAGTGGAATGAATTACTGTCGCCGGTGAAATGCAGTGATGGAGAGCAGTGGCCCAGGGAGGCGGGAGGCCTCCAAGCAGGTACCGTGCTGGAGTGGCCGGAATAACACTTACCATGATTTATCAAAGAGCACTTGAAAGCTCCTCAGAGGCTTTCAATAGGCATAAAAAGAGGCTTTGTGGCACTCGGGCATTGGCAGAACGGAGCGATTAGCGGGCTCAAATGCCTGACCCCATGTGCAGCTTCCGGATGAGAGAAGCCGGAAATCTTCAAAGGCACTCAAGAGAGCTGGCCAAGCAGGGGCAGTTCCAGGGGAGGGGACTTGGAGCCAAGAAGCTTCCTAGGATGAGGCAAGTCAGGGGCTTCAGGAACTGATGGGGAAGGGGACATAGAGAGAGGGTGCAGGAGTCTGGGGGTGTTAAGCTGGGCAAACAGGGAACAGCCCATGAGAGGGAGGTGAGTCCATCAAGGAGGCACTGCAGAGAGAGGCCGCATCAAAACACTAGGTCCGTGGTCTGCCCACTGGCACCACCCAGAGCCATCTAGAAAAGTCTCCCTGCCCCAGGTTTTCTCCCCTATTTGCTTGATGCAGTGCCTTAAACGCCTCAGTAGAGATGAAGCCTGTTGGGGAAACAGAGGCTTAACCCAGCATGCTTTTTAAAATAAAAATTCCGGCCAGGCATGGTGGCTCAAGCCTGTAATTCCAGCACTTTGGGAGACCAAGGTGAGAGGAACCCTTGAGGACAGGAGTTCAAAACCATCTTAGTCAACATCGCGAGACCCCATCTCTACAAAAGAAAAATTTTAAAATTAGCTGGGCGTGGTGGTGCACACCTGTAGTCTCAGCTACTGGGGAGGCTGAGACAGGAGAATCACAAGCCCAGGAGTTAGAGGCTGCAGTGAGCCATGATCACGCCACTGCACCCCAGCCTGGGTGACAGAGCAAGACCATGACTCAAAAATAATAATGATAATAAAATAAAAATTCCCATGAGAGACACAGTATAGTCGCTGAAGCCACATGTAGTGAATCCTAGGTAGTGTTAGGGAGAGACTGCAACTTCCCTTCTTTCCACCGCCTGATGCTCATCTCAGTAGTGAAGGAGGTCTTAACCTTGGCTATATGGACGTTTGGGATGGGATCATTGTTGGGGACAGGGTGCACTGTGCACTGTAAGATGTTTACAGCATTCCCTGGCCTCTGTCAACTAGATGCCTGTAACACTGCCTTTTCTCCACTTTGCCCCAAGTCATAACAATGAAAAATGTTTCCAGGCCAGGTGCCATGGGTCATGCCTATATTCCCAACAGTTTGGAAGGCTGAGACAGGAGGATTGCTTGAGGCCAGGAGTTTGAGACCAGCCTGAGCAACATAGCGAGACCCTGCCTCTACAAAAAACTTTAAAAAATTAGCCAGGCATAGTGGTGTGTTCTTGTAGCCTCAGCTACTTGGGAGGCCAAGGTGGAAGGATCGCTTGAGCCCAGGAGTTCAAGGCTACAGTGATCTGTGATCGCATCCCTGCACTCCAGCCTGGGTGACAGAGAGAGACCCTGTCTCAAAAAAAAAAAAAAAAAAAAAGTTTCCAGATATTGTTAAATGTATGTCACCCCCATCCCCAGTGCTCTAGTGTAACACCTTTCAGAGCGGGAAAGTGTGCTGGATGCTGGAATTATCTGTGATGGCCATACTTCTCCACTTTAAATTTTTCAAAAAAAATTTTTTTTTGAGACGAGTCTCGCTCTGTTGCTCAGGCCGGAGTGCAGTGGCGCGATCTCGGCTCACTGCAAGCTCCGCCTCCCGGGTTCACGCCATTCTCGGCCTCAGCCTCCCGAGTAGCTGGGACCACAGGCGCCCGCCACCATGCCCGGCTAATTTTTTTGCATTTTTAGTAGAAACGGGGTTTCACTGTGTTAGCTAGGATAGTCGGGGTCTCCTGACCTCGTGATCCGCCTGCCTCGGCCTCCCAAAGTGCTGGGACTACAGGCGTGTGCCACCGCGCCTGGCCAAAAATTTTTAATTAAAAATTTATTTTTTATTTTAACAGACAAAAGAAGCAAGCAAGCCTGAAGGAGTTACTAAATTTCCAGCTATATGTTCTATTGCTACAAGACGTATTTGTTCTAACAAGAGCGATTTAAACTTAAGGAAAAAATGATTATATGGTATTAAGAGGTTGGAGTCATTTTGTTTTTTGAGCTACAGGTTTCAACTTTTTTTTTTTTTTGAGACGGAGTCTCGCTCTGTCATGAGGCTGGAGTGCAGTGGCGATCTCAGCTCACTGCAACATCAGAGCCCCTGGTTCAAGTGATTCTCCTCCTTCAGCCTCCCGAATAGCTGGTATTACAGGCACGTGCCACCACCCCCAGCTAATTTTTGTGTTTTTAGTAGAGACAGGGTTTCACCATGTTGGCCAGGATGGTCTGATCTCCTGACCTCGTGATCTGCCCACCTCGGCCTCCCAAAGTGCTGGGATTACAGGCGTGAGCCACCACACTCAGCCAGGTTTCAACTTCTTATGGAACACATTAAATGTGTACATGCTTATCCTTCTTCCCAACTCTCCTCCTCTGCAATTGTTAGGAGTTGAGTTATATCCCCTCAAAATTCATATGTTGAGGTTCTAACCCCATGTACCTCCCTGTATTTGGAGACGGGGTCTCTACATAGGTAACCAAGTTAAAATGAGGTCATTATTGTGACTCTGATCCAATATGACTGGGATCCTTACAAAAAGGGGAAAGTTGGATATAGACAGGCATGCACACAGGTAGAATGCCAGGTGAAGATGAAGGCAGAGATCGGGAACACAAAGATGGCCAGCAAACCACCAGAGAAGCCCTCAGAAAGAACCACTGCCAACACCTTGATCTCAGATTAACAGCCTCTAAAACTGTAAGGCAATAAATTCCTGTTGCTTAAGCCACCCAGTCTTCAGAAGATTCTTCCAGCAACCCTAGCAAACTAATACTCTACTGATCATTTTCTCAGTCTTATTATTCTTTTTATAGTCTAAGTTTAATAACATGTGCACTCTCTTCTGTATCCATAATTTCCACAATTCTTTAGTCTTAGTTATATATTGAAATGGGTCAATTACCGGCACCAGGCTTTTGTATGACAACTTCTCACTCTAGAATTCTTTACTTTGATTCATCTCTAGGTTGGCTGAATTCCATTAAGTGTTTCTTTCATTCTGTTTTTTTTTCCCCAAGAAGGATCCGTAGGTCCTACATAACTTAAATTCTTGCACACTTAGGGATGTGTGCTATCTCTATACTTCAAGGGCAATTCGGCTGAGTATAGATTTCAGGGTCTTATTTTTTCTTATCAGAACATCATAAACATTGCTCCCTTGTCTTATGAATTAAAAATCAGTATGGATACATTTGGGGCCAGCCCAATTTTTCCCCTTGTACTCGACTTTCTTCCCTCTACACCCTACATGTCAGATCTCCATATGATTTTTCTTTTCTTGGAAGTTTGAGAGCCTCTGCAAGACAACCCTTAATTCTGTGTAATTTTCCTGTGCCTATTCACCATACAGTTCAAGTCTTTATTTCACAGATGTTTTGCGGGAATGTATGTCCTCCTTGCTCTGATCATTATTTCGAGTCCATCATTTGTGTGTGTGTTTGATATCTTTTGTCTTTTATGTCTGCCATCTTCTCTCATTTTTATATTTATATTTTGTATTCTCTTCCATTTCACTTTTATGATTTTTTCTAATCTCTTTGCCACTTCCCTGGCTGACTTTCCAATCGTGTTTATTCTTGCTGGGTTTTGCTGCTTTCAATACAGCATTCAACTCTGTAAATCTTTTCCTTTCTCATCCATTTCTCTCCTAGGCTTCGTTAGCATGCTTTTCATCAACTCTCTGAGTTTTTTCATAGAAAGATCATATTGTCTACAGTTTCTTCGAGCCCATAGATAACCATTTGTCCACCTCTTATTCTGTTATGTTGGGTAATTTTTCTTGTGATACATGATCGTTAGCTGCTTTTGCTTGAATTTCTTTCCCTGTTTCTTTTTTTTTTTTTTTCTGGTATAAATACATGGGTCCTAGGCTGACTGTTCCCTGCCATTCCTCTCCTTTAGGCAGGATACTTATTTGCTCTTATGTATCTGGACAGTTATAATGTGGGGTGAGAGGGCTGGAGAGGGGTCAGAGAGTGGATGGAGAAGCCCCTACTTTGTTCAGAGTTGTGATCACAGGTACTTTCTCACCAAATCTATTTCCTGTACCAAAGGCATGTGCCCCCTCAGTTTTTCATACTGGAGAAGCTGATGTCACTCTGTCTCAGGCTGCCTGCACTGAGCCCAGAGGTCACTGCACCCTCCCCCACCCTTCACCCCAGACCACCTCCCACAGTCTCATTGAGTGAGGAATTTAGATCCCAGATAAGAGAACTACCTTTCCCCATGATTTCTTCCCTTCTGCTCTGTGGAGTCAAACAGACCTGCATAGCTGTGCCTCTGCTTCTCTCTGAACATCCCATCCTCATTTATGGCCCCTCTAAACTAAGACAGAAGTCTTTCAGGAGGGTAAACCTTATTTCCAGGGAAAGCAGATCTTGCTTCAAGTCTGATGAGGGCCCTGCCAGCTCTGTTCACCTGCCATGCTTTGTTCCAGATACAAGAGAGACTGTCCAGCAATGGAGACATCTCCCAGCTCCATCAAAAATAAAGTTTATTTCAATGTTTACTTATTTGTGGTTGTTGTATGTAGATTTTAAGGGAGAGGAACAGAGAAGAAATGATTTTATCTTTGGCTAGAAGTCTGTGCTCCCTTAAAATGTCGTTACTATTATGATAACATTTAACTCTAATTATTACAAAACCATACTCACTTTTTAAAACAGACAGAAGCATAAAGAGGAAATCTGTACTGCCATCACCCTGATAACATCTGGGGCATTTCTTCCCGGGCTGGATAGGATCCCAGATACAGCAGCAGGGGACGGGGAGAAAACCAGCCCCAGGTGCTCCAGCAGGGTGCTGTCAGTGCCCCCATGGTAAGGGGAAAATGAATCTTTTCATGTCTTTTCTGTGTAGCAAATAAGAATAATTTAGAATAAGAAAAAGAACAAGAACATGGCAGGTACTACATGAATCCTTCTATATACATTAAATAAATCAATTGCCACGATGATCCTATGAAGTACACCCTATTATTGTCATTCCTACATTATAGATGAAGGGACCCAGGCTCAGCGGTGATGTGATGGGCACAGCAAGGAAGTGGCAGGGAGCACAGGGATTTGGATGCTGGCCCAGCCCTTGGCAAAGCACTTTGCCCATCATAGGTGCTAAGCACTATTTGAAAGTTAAATCCCTTCCTCACTAGGAGGAGCTGGAGGTAGGACTTTCAGTTTAAGAATAGCAATTACAGCTCACAACCATTAGGATAGCTACTGTATAAAAACAAAACAGAAAATAGCAAGTGTTCGTGAGGATGTGAAGAAACTGGAACCCTTGTGCATTGTTGGTGAGAATGTAAAATCAGCTGCTGTGGAAAACATAGAATTAGCATATGACCCAGCAATTCCACTTCTGGGAAAATGCAAGAGACTTGAAAGCAGGGTCTCAAAGAGTTAGCTGTCTACCATGTTCCTAGTAGCATTCTTCACAATAGCCAAAGGCGGAAGCAACTCAAGTGTCCATCAATGGCTGAGTGGATCAACAAGATGTGGGATATCCATACAATGAAACATTATTCATCTTTGGAAAGGAGAAATTCTGACACAGCTAAAACATAGATGAACCTTAAGGACATTATGCTAAATGAAATAAGTCATTCACAAAAAGACAAATGCTATATAATTCCACTTGTACAGGGTGCCTAGGGTAGCCAAATTCATAGAGCCAGAAAGTAGAATAGAGGTTACCAAGGGCTGGTTGTGGGGAAGAGAAATGTGGAGTTAATGCTTAATGGGTACAGAGTTTTAGTTTTACAAGATGAAAGATGTTCTGTGGATGGAAGGTGATGATGCTTGCACACAATGAGACTATACTTAATGCCACTGAACTGTACACTTAAATTGGCTATGGTGCATTTCATGTTCTGTAAATCTTACTACATTTTGAAAGCTAAGAAAAGAAGAAAAATGAAATCAATGATTGGAGAGAAACTGAAGAGAAAGGACATGGAGCAGAGTTGGAAGGCTGGTGGACACCTCCAAGGATGTCATAGATACCTGCTAGATTTGGCCCCAGATTGGCTGCAGGTGTCCAAACCCTCCTTGCTCTCTTAGGGGTTCCCAGGACAGCTGCAGAATCCCAGTGAATGACCTAGGAGTCATCAGGAGATAAAACCAGCAGAATATGATAATTGAGCTTCAAGGGAAGGGGCAGGATTGGGTAGGCAGTTTTTCAGAGATAAAATGCCCCGTGGCTGGAATTTAGACAGCCATGCCTGGGAGAATGAGAAAAGATTCAAATCCATTTAGTTTTCCAGAGGACTCACTGGGCACCCTGTGGTGCATTGCAAGTGTCATATGTGAGGTTCATTGCCATCCACGCCCACTGGGAGGGGAACCGCACTCGCAGCAGGACCTGGCTTTGTTTCCTACCATATCCAGAATTGCCTCCTATGTTTATTACCCATGCTCTTATTTATTCATTCATTCATAAGAGATCTATTCATTCATTCATTCATCATCCATGTATACATGAAGACAGAGGGTGAAAGAGAGCACTTAACCCCCTCAACATATGAATTTTGAGGGGATATAACTCAACCCCTAACAATTGCAGAGGAGGAGAGTTGGGAAGAAGGATAAGCATGTACACATTTAATGTGTTCCATAAGAAGTTGAAACCTGGCCGGGCGCAGTGGCTCACACCTTGTCTTAGGTTTGGGAAGCAAAGCAGACACAGCTCCTCCCCTGCAGAAGCTAACACTGTCAGTGGGAGATACAGGCATTTATCAGGTAATCACACAAAGAAATCTAAACTGCAACAGAGACAAGGGTCATGCAGAAGAGTCTCATGGCAGAGAGAGCCCATAAAATTGGAAGGGATGATCTGTCTGCTCAGGCTACTGAAAAACCTTCCCTGAGGAGACGATGTTTGAGCCAAAAACTGAAGAATAAGCAGGGAAAGAAAGAAACATCCTGGTGGAAGGACAAATGTGTGCAAAGGCCCTGTGGTAAGAGGGAACTTACAAGATCAAGAAAATAAAAGACAAGTGCAAGGCAGCTGTGCACTAGAGTGAGACACAGCGGCATGCAAGTTGAAAAGCCTCTCAAGGAAGCCATATTTAATAGACAGCAATGCCTCTAGCCAAGTTAGTCCTTAATAGTGGTATCAGGCACCAATGGCAGTACTTAGAAAAAGGTGACATGCAAAGACATCTAAGAAGGATAAACAACATGGGTTAGGGGCCCAGGAGTGGGAATGAGCATGCTGAGGCCAGGAAATCCACCCATCTGGAGTGGAAACCTCATCCACCAATTTTGATAGAGCCTTCTCTCATTCCCTCTTGGTCTTCTGTAGCATTTGCCATGCTTGTCCTCAACTCTAGGGCCCTGTCAGCATCAGCTTCCTCCTAATTTCCTCCTGGGCTTCCACTGTTGCAGGAATTAGACAGGATGTTCAAAAGCTCTAGTCATCTTCCCCATCTTAGAGTGACTCTAAGCTTCCAGAACTCAGAGCTCAGCCCCGTCCACCCAGCTGCACAGCCAACCTGTTCGTCTACTTCATGGAGAACACGTTAATCCTAGGCCTGAGCTTCCTTCCTCTTTCCTCCTCACACAGCTTGCTTCAAGGTCTCTGTCTTTGTCCCACCTTTCCTGGCTAAAAAACTGTCCTCTTATCCAAGACCAGATACTTATCATAGATCATCAACTTTGAGATGGGCACTTTAAAAAAATATTTTAACAGAGTTGAAATTGGGATTGATGTTGCCCAGGAGCAAGTCTGATATCATTGGTGTTACCAATGATATAGGCAGCAAAGTTTGCCTGAGGGTGTCATTGCTTAGAAGAAAATCCCAGACAATAGTCTTAACAGCTAGGGGCATGGCTTTAGCCAAGAAAACACAGACACCAATGACCCTGAGTTCAGAAAGTTTGTCTCTGAATATAAAGAAGGTTCAGGAATACCTTTGCCAATTTATTTCACTTACATTTTCCTTTTCTTGTGGGCAAAGTGATCTATGATAAAAATCTTTTTACATAAGTATAAAAGAGCATTTTCATTAAGTATGAAATGAAAATTCTAAATGATTAAAGAAGCATTGTACGTACTTTACTTGGCAATGACTTTTTACTTTCTCAATATATAAAATGATGATGCATCTTACCATTGATGGAGTCAAGGAAATCCAATAAAATGCAGTAATAAATGTTAATACTGTTTGTCACCTCCTCTCCACACCCCATCCCCCATGCAACACATACAGAATATCCTCTGCTTAGTCTTAAGAAACTGGCTAAAGCTTAATAAAAACTTCTAGAATTGACTTGGATGAACAACCAGACACTTTTAGCTGACAGTCTCACTATCCAATATCAGGAGGAAAAATATGTTTGGGGTACTCAGAAAATAAATTATCGAGAGAACACACAGGAGGAAGTCTGAGTCAATACCAGAGGATAATTTATTGAAATATTAATTAGAGTTTGTTCTCTCTCTATCTTTCCCTTCAAGCAGGTAGGCGGGCTTTGTAATGCTTGGCCTCGGGAGTTTTAACAGGGCTGCAGACAGAAGTCGCCTAAAGTTAAAAGCTCTTCTGATCATTTGGAAAATGAAAAGTCATTAAAGAGATGGGATCAGGGTCATCGGGGTGGGCTCAGGTGCCTCCGAGGAGCCTTAACTTGGGAAATAGTGAGCTGGTCTGAGGCTAAGAAGGTGATTTGTGGCGACTTCTACAAGGTACGATCTTGTTCCTGTTCTCCCATGAATGTGAGACTTCAGTGGGGCCCAGCTGCCTCCCTGGCCCAGCTCCAGGGACTGAACCCCAGATGTGCAGCTCTTGGCCTCCCCAAAGGATCTTGTGTCTCAGGCATGGGAGAGGAGCTTCGGGGCCTTGGAGACTGAAGGGACCAGCAGGCTGAGACCGGAGGGACCTTTGAACCTTGCAAGAAACTGAGTGCTAGCCTCTTTCAGGAGGTGGGGTGGAGAATTCTATTTCTCTGAGGTTACATGTCTCACCAACCCGGCAGCATGAGTCTCCAAGTTAGAATAAATACAGCTAAATAAAATGAAAGAATATGCTATTTCTTGCACACAAGTTTGTAAACTGAGATCTACAATGCAAGACGTTGACAAAATTATTACCGTGCCTTGTGCAGCTAAGGAGTCCATCTCCCACTGCCTGTGCATGGAGCTATAGTTCCTGGAAGTCTAAAATACTGACTATTTCTACTTCACCAGACCTTCGAAATGCTGGGGTGAGAGCCTCTGGAGCTCATGCTCCCCATGTCATGATGAAGGCAGCTTTAATGGCTTTGAGTCACGTGCCCCTCAAAGGCCAGCCCCCCGGACAGCTGTTTGCAAACTCCTCTCCAAAGCAGCTTCCCTTGAAGAGAGTTGCTACACAATCATTACAAATTGATTGCAAAAGAGCTAACAATCATGATTAAATCATTAAATTCTTGTCTACGCTTCAGAGAGCGGTGAGAAAATTAACTTCCCACCAACCTAATTTTTTCCTGAACATGAAATAATGATTTTCTGCCCGTCTAATTACAAAGCCAACATCTGATCAAGCCAGCATCCAGAGGGGATTATCGCATGCACGAGTATTAGACCTCATTACCAGCTTGAGTGCAAAATTATTACATCTTGTAATTGGATGGTGAGATTTATATACAGATCGGCCCGGTTTCTGTAAGATTGTAATTACAAGCTTCGTTGGTTAGCTACTTATCACTCAGCACAGAAGAGAGGAAAATAAGCAACAGAAAAGGCATTTCATTAACCCATAACCCTATCAAGGGAAAGCCACTGTAACACCCATGTCTGCATTAGGGAGAACAGCTAAATTCACAGATGAAACAATTTATTATACTCTTTGCAAATGGGATTGCATTTTGTTTAACCCCTAATGAACTCTTTGGGTAAAGTGTCTGAACAAACCATTCATTTTATAGACAACTAGGTTCAATACAGTAATTATAAGGGGTAACTGACTGAGATAAATGCTCACCTGCTTAGAGGCTGTTGATTAGAGGCACAATTGCTGGGCGCTGGGCTCCGGCACAAAGGGCCGGGGGGCTGGAACAGCCTTGGATTTCCCGGGGAGCTGCTGGGGGGGCAGCAGGACCCCGCATAGCAAATCTACTCTGCACTCGGAACGCTAGGCATTCGTTGTCAAGCCTGGCTGGAACAGGCGAGGTTTAATAAAGCCGCAAGGGCGATGCAGTTTAACAATTTTAGAGGCACTGGTGTGGAACGCAGAAATTTCAATATAGCCTGATGAAGGCTCCTCACATGCTCCAGATGTGTGACCTAAATTAAATGTTGCCTTTTCACATGTTTATGGCACAACAATGGTCTTCACACAAAGTCGGCTCGGCAGGGTGTAAAACCGGAGGAGGATTGCGATGCTCAAGGTGAGTTATTTCTCAGTCCTCTGGCCCTCAGTCCTCTCTTCCAGGAGTCTGCAAACTGAAGCTCCCCGGTCAAACGCAGCCCGCTGCCTATTTTTGTACCTCCAGTGAGCATGGTACATTTCATGGCAGGTGAAAATGCTATGAAATTCACATTTCGGTGTGCATAAATAAAGTTTTATGAAAACACAGCCACATTCATTTGTTTGTAATAGCTATGAGGGTTTTCTGCTACAACGGCAGATCTGCAAAGCCAAAAACGTTTACTGTCTAACCTGTAACAGAAAATATTTGCCAACTTTTATTCTATTGCATTTAGGCATTCACTTATCTGTTCATTCCACCAAAAAAAAAAATAAATAGAAATACAAAAAACTGAGCACCTACTATGTACCAGGTCCTGGGCCAGATGCTAGGAATACAAACAAAAACAAAAACAAAAAACACAATTCTTGCCCTCCAGGACCTAGTGGTCTGTTGGGGAAATAGACCTGGGCACCTTTAGGGGCTTTGGCACAACTGCACATCTGTTTCCCCTTCTTCTGGTAACAGGATCCTGGATTTCCTCTGGGGAACCAGCCTCACCTTGACCCACTCGACATCACCTGGCCACCATGATTGGTTCAAGGATGGGCACGTGACCCACTCGGAGCTCACGAGCTGCAACCCAGGCCCTCTGTGAGGAGAGAGGCACTTTCTCTTTTAGTTGGAGTTAGACTTAGTTGGCCTAGTTCTGCAACCATAGAAAGCACCTTGCTGCTCCCGTAGAGCCTGTGAAAAAGCCTCCAAAGAGGTGAGTTGGAGCTAAGTGATGGAAAGAAACCGGGTCCTGATGTTCTGTTCAAGCCCCTGAGCCCAGTTGTGCCTGAAATCCCTCTACCCTTGTACATTTTCATTTTATGAGCCAATAAAATGACTTTTCTTGTGCTTGAGCCAGTCTACTGTCACTCACAACAGAAAGAAGGTACTGATTTACACACAAAAGAAGGCAGAATGAAGTGAGTGTTATGTGAGGGATCTGATCAGCATATTGTAGAAGGACACAGGAGAGCGTGATTCTGCCAGGGACTCCTGGAACCCTTACTGGAGGAGGGGGCCTTTGCGTCTGGGTTTGAAAGGTGAGTTGGGTTCTCAATAAATGGGAAAAGCATGTGATCTCTTTCATGGTGAAGACTAGGCATGGGCAGTGGGCAGAGAGCACAATGTATGTACAAGGAATAGTATGAAGGGATTCTTCATACATTCTCCTGCCCTTCATACAGGCAGGGAGAGAGTTTAGGACCAGGTGAAGCATGCACACTCATCTCTTCTCCTCCTGAGCCACTCAGAGAGCTTATTCTCAGAGTACCGGGAACACCAGGACCCTCTGAGCCAGGAAGTTGTGTGGGCCATCACCCAAAGATGCTATACCAGGCAGACTGTAAGTTGGCCTCCAACAATCCCCACATCCAGGTATTCACACCTTGGTGTAGTCCCCTCTCCTGGAGGGTGGGAGGGAATTTGGCCTTGCTTCTAACCAATTATGACAAAGGTGGCAGAATGCCACTCCTGTGACTGGATTACGTAAGTTTGTGACTAGTCTTGCTGGCTGGCTCTCTCTTCTTCTAGGCTTGCACTCTTTGATGAAGCAAGCTGCCATGTCAGAGAGGCCCATATAGCAGAGAACTGAAGTTGGCTTCTGGCCAGCAGTCAGCTGGAAACTGAAACCCTCAGTCCTACATCTCTCAGGGAACTGAATGCTGCCAGTAATCACGTGGCCTTGGAAGCTGATCCTTCCCCAGTCAAGCATTCAGATGAGACTCCAGCCTGGCTCACAGCTAGATTTCAGACATGGGAGAGGTCCTGAAGCAGGGGACTCAGCAAAGCTGTGCTTGGATTCCTGACTCACAGAAACCAGGAGACAATGAATGAGTGTTGTTTGAAGTTCCTAATTTTGTAGTCATTTTTTACACAGTAATAGATAACTAATACTTATACCAAAACCACCAGAATAATAGTTCTCAAAGTATGGTTTTCCTCAAGATAGTACAAGAGAAGGAGAGAGAACAGAAGAGAGCATCAGGCAAGGGGAGGGAGGTGAGTGTGAAGTCATCTTTATTCTGGAGTTAAGTTTAATATCAGCACCTCTCAAATGTTTTCTTCCAAGTGCCATCCATGACAAAAGATCATGTTTAAATGTTTGGTTTATCAATTTGGTTGGCTTGTGGTTATCAATTTTTTAAAAATTATTCAGCACAAAAAGAAAAAAAATTGACTTCTCACACATACAAACACACCCTCACACATTTCTGCACAAATATATAATGAACATTATATCCTGTATGCTTTTTCTTTAATTATTGTCAGCCTATTCCCATAAGAATGTCAGCTTCATGTGGCAACAAGGTTGCTTTTTTTATTATGTTGTGGTTGGAATGTTGTTGTCTCACCAAAATGCATATGCTGGAATCTAATCCCCAATGTGACAGTAGTAAGAGGTGGGGCTTTTAGGTCATGAGAGCTCCACCCTCATGAATGAGACTAGTGCCCTTGAAAAGAGGCTGGAAGGAGCTCCCTTGTCTTTTCCATCATGTGAGGATGCATAGATGGCATCAAATCTGTTGGCATCCTGATCTTAGATTTCCTAACCTCCAGAACCATAAGGAATAAATGTAAGTTGTTTGTAAATTACCCAGTCTAAGGTATTTTGTTATAGCAGCCTGAAAGGAGTAAAACAATTACTACTCCCTGAGGGTCGCTAGATCAATGCTTTGTTGAGTAAATGAATGAATATATGCATGTCATACACTATGCACATATACAACAAAGTAAATTTTTTAAATGATGAGATAAAGATAAAATGAGCAGTATTTTATTTTTTTGTTTGTTATTTTTGCTGAGATGAGTTATCGCTATGTTCCCCAAGTTAGTTTCAATCTCCTCACCTCAAGTGATCCTTCCCCCTCAGCCTCCCAAAATGCTGGGATTACAGGTGTTATCCACCATGCCTGGCCCAAAATGAGCAATATTTTAAAACGTTATCCCAATTGTGAGGGCTTCATACTACCATCAGTTAATATCTCATGGCACAATATGCCTTTAGGGAGAGATTGGTGTCAACAATAGGGATGTAAAACCACATTTCAGATTACCTTTTTGATTATTTCAATTGGCCAACTTCTTTCGGATCTTATTAGATAACCATTGTTTTACCTCATAATGTGGCTGGTCAAAAGCGTTTGTACAGAAAGGAAGTGACAGCTTGGCCATGTTCTTCTTTACTTCTACTGGCATTATCATTATTAACTTTAATTGTGCTTTCTTTGAGGGAATCGTCTCCAGCCACTTGTCTTTTTTTGTGAAGACTGACTTAATTAAAACAAGATAAGATAATCTGTAAATACAATTAACCTGGCATGTGAAAAACACAACTTGAGATGTGCCAAAAGCAAAAAGAAAGAAAAAAATGGGTAAGAGGGACACGATCCACCCCTGTCCCCTGCCCACACACACACAGTGTGACTTGCACTCTTTCCCTCAGGTACCTTGTAGAGTTTATGGGACATAAATATAACCTTTTTGATATAGGACTGAGTGAAGGAATCATGCCAGTCTGTGGATTAAAAAATTGCCAACACTATTTATTTCTCAAGTTTTAGTTTTAAAAAATCAATACATTTATTTCTGAATTCTCAAGTCTATTCCATTGACCTATATGTCTATCCTTGTGTCAGTACTATACTGTCTTGATTACCATTGTTTTGTAGTAAATTTTGAAACCTGGAAGCAGGGGTCCTCCCATTTTGCTCTTCTTTTTCAAGATTGTTTTGGCTAGTTGGGGTTCCTTGCAATTCCATATGCATTTTAAAATCAGCGAATAAATTTCTACAAAGAGGTCAACTGAGATTCTAATAGGGATTGCAGTGTATTCATAGATCAGTTAGAGGAGTATATTTTCACTTGTTAAATCTTTTAATCCATGAACATGGGCTATTTTTAAAATTTAGATTTTATTTAACTTCTTTCAATAATGTTTCGTAGTTTTCAAGGTACAAATTTATACATTTTTTTTAACATTTCTTTCCTTTTTTTTTTTTTTTTTTTTCAATTTTTTGAGACAGGGTCTCACTTTGTCTCCCAGGCTGGGGTCCAGTGGCATGAACATGGCTCACTGCAACCTTGACATCTTGGGCTCAGGCAGTCCTCCTCAGCCTCCCAAGTAGCTGCAACTACAGGTGTGTGACACTACACCCATCTAATTTTAAAATTTTTTGTAAAGAAAGGGTTTCACTATGTTGCCCAGGCTGGTCTTGATCTCCTGGGCTCAAGCAATTCTCCTGCCTCAGCCTCCCAACGTGCTGGGATTACAGGTTGTTATATTTATTTCTAAGTATTTTTTGATGCCATTATAAGTGAAATTTGTTTTCTTAATTTGATTTTTTGACTGCTCGTTGCAAGTGTATCTAATACAATTGATTTTTGCATATTGATGTATCTTGTAATATTGCTGATTTTCAACAAGGTTGCCAAGACCATCTGATAGAGAAAGAATAGTCTTTTCAACAAATAGTACTGGAACATATGGATAGCCACATACAAAAGGATAAATATGGACCCCATTCCACCCCATATCAAGAACTAACTCAAAATGGATCAAATACCTACATGTAAGTGCTAAAACTATAAAACTCCTAAAAGAAAACATAGGGGTAAGGCTTCATGACTTTGGACTTGTCAAATGATTCCTAGATATGGCATCAAAAACATGAACAAGAAAAGAAAAAAATCGATAATTCAGATTCATTAAAAATAAAAAATTTTGTGTTTCAAAGGACGCTATTAAGAAGGTGAAAAGCAGACCAGGCACAGTGGTTCACACCTGTAATCCCAGCACTTTGGGAGGCCAAGGAGGGAGGATCGCTTGAGGCCAGGAGTTCAAGGTTACAGTGAGCTGTAATTGCATCACTGCACTTCAGTCTAGGTGAGAGAGTGAGACCCTGTCTCAAAAAAGACAGACAGAGAAGGAGTGAGAGTGTGAGAGAGAGAAAGAGAGAGAGAGAGAGAAGACAATTCACAGAATGGGAGAAAACTTTTGCAAATTTTAAATCTGATAAGAAACTTGTATTCTGGAATATATATGAAGAACTCTAAAAAAAACAACCCAATGAAAAAATGGGCTAAAGGAGATGAAAAGACATATCTGCAAAGAAGATACACAAATAACCAATAATACATGAAAAGGTGCTGGACATCGTTAGTCATTGCAGTAATTTAAATCAAAATCATAATGTGATATCACTTTATACCCAGTAGGAGGGCTATAACCAAAAAGTCAGCCAAACATACGTTGGTGAGAATGTGGGGAAACTGGAACCCTCACACACCACCAGTAGGAATGTAAAATGGTATAACTGCTTTGGTAAACAATCTAAGAGTTCCTCAAATGATTAAGCATAGAGTTAATGCTTAATCTCTATCTTTAAGCATAAGCATACCATATGACCCAGCAATTCCACCCCTAGGTATATGCCCAAGCAAATCTAAAACATATGTCCACAAAGCAACTTGTACATGAATATTCAAAAAAGGAATACTTATAATAGCTGAAAGGTCAAAACAATCCAAATGTCCATCAACGGATTAATGGATAAATAAAATGGGGTCTAGCCATATAATGGAATATTATTCTTCCATAAAAAGGAATGAAGCACTGACCCGTGCAACAACATGCAAAAACCTTGAAAACACTGTGCTAAGTAAAGGAAGCCAGGCACAAAAGACAACATATTACACAATTCCACTCATATGAAATGTCCAGAATAGGGAAATCTACAGAGACAGAAAGCAGATTGGTGGTTGCACAGAGCTTGGAGGGAAGGAAGTGGGAATGTGGGAAGTAATGGCAAAATAAGCATTTAGCGATCTTTTTGGGGTGGCAAAAATGTTCTAAAATAGATTGGTGATAGTTGCTTGGACTTGCAAATATATTACAAATGAATCAATTATACACTTTAAATGGATAAATTGCATGGTATGTGAGCTAATATCAACAAATCTATTAAAAATTAAAAAAATAGATATTCTTTTCTGCTGGCTGGACTTTAAACAAAATGGCTGGAGCTTGAGCAGTTGTCTTAAACCCTGAGGTAAATTCATGGTAGTAGCCCAAGAAGATAGGCCCTCAATCCCTGTCACTATGGAACATCACACCACCTCTTACCTCTACAGTTCTATTACATGAGACATAGTCTTCTACTTTTTTTTTATTAAATAATAGAAGTAGATGTGCTGATATTGCCTTCCCATATGTCATTGAGTACCCTCCTCAGCAGACCTGTGCAGGACAGAAGAAATAGGATAGATCTGGAGACAGAGCCCAGACAACTGGGATAGTATTAGTGCCATTCCCCAAATGTTTCTGGCTCTTTACCTTTCAGGTGTTTAGATTGTACTTCCTGCTTCTTTGTGGTTGGGTGAGGCAACGTGACTAGTCCTAGATGATGAGTTGGGAGTAAAAGTCACATGTATCTCTTCTGGGATAAGCACTTAATTGGGACACAAGACCCTCCAGAGCTCGGTTTCCTTCATTCCCACAGTGACAAGCAACATTCCAAATGGAGGTTGCTTCATTTACCTGGATCCTGGAGTGAAAATGAAGCGGAGCAGAGACCCTGGACAACAGGCAATAGAAATGTTGTAACAAAAAGAAATAAACACCTGTCATTTTAAGCCACTGAGATTTTGGAATTCTTTGTTATCACAGCATAACCTAGCCTTTACTGATTGATACAACTGCCTATATCAAGATAAAAACTCTTTGAAATTTTGTGTTTTGACTTTTAAAATGTCGTACTCTGTAGTATATCAGTGGTTGTGTTTAATATAAAAATGACATTTTCCCTCAAATTTTTGACTTAAATTAAGGCTTCAGGAAGATATTGCTTGTTTATCCTGTGGTTTTACATATCCCCGAGAACATCTGGTGAATGCATAACTCAGTTTAAAGAAGTGTTTTTTGTTTGTTCGTTTGTTTGTTTTCAACCCTGGGACCACATGCTGGGCCCTAAATCCCAGGTGATACAATGGAATAACTTTAAAGAATCATTGAAATGTATTTGCAAATGTTCTTAATTAACACTGTTTGGTAAATGTGCAGGAGACCTTCCATCTCACTAAGAATGAGTCTATTATGAATGATGACAGTGAGAGAGGCCACTGAGAACAATGGTAAGGTATGTGCATGTCTTTGGGGTCAGGCCTGAAGACAAATCCTCACTTCACCAAAATTTTAATTTTTTTTCAGCATTAGCTTCTTCTTTGCAAAACTGGAATAATAGTAGCACTTATTTCAGAAGATGAATGTAAGGATCAAAGGGTATAATGAGCTAATAAAGGCCTTCACACAGAGCCTGAAACTTAGTAAGCTGCAACACACATTAGTTACTACTGTGGTTTGGATGTGGTTTGTCCTCAATAAAATTCATGTTGAAGTTTAATTGCCAAAGCAATGACGTTGGGAGGTGGAAACTTTAAGAGATGGGAGGGGTTTGCGGATTCTCGTTTTTTGGGTGTCATGGTGTGCTCTCAAGGTAGTGAGTGAGTTCTCACTCTTGAGAGACTGAATTAGTTCTTGCAAGAATGGATAGGTTCCCAAGACAGAGTTATTATAAAGGGAGGATGCCCTTTCTGTGTGGTCTCCTAACACATGTCCACTTCCCTTTTGACCTTCTCCACTATGTTTTGACCCAGCACATGGCCCTCACCAGAAGCATAGCAGATGCTGGTACCATGCTTCTTGAATTTCCCAACCTGCAGAACCGAGAACTAAATAAACCTCTTTTCTTTATAAATTACCCAGCCTCACTCAGGAGGTTTCCTGTTATAGCAACATTAAATGGACTAAGACAGAAAATTGGTATCAGCAGAGGGATGTTGCTATAAAGACACCTGAAAATGTAGAAGCAGCTTTGGAACTGGATAATAGGGACAGGTTGGAAGAAATTGGAGGATCAGGCTAGATAGGGCCTGTGTTGCTAAAAATGAAATTAAGGGTGATTCTAATTGGGACTTCGAAGATGAGTTAGAAGTTTGCAGACATTGATTAAGTGGTTTTGACTAGAACACTGATAAAAATATGGACAGTAAAGGCCATTCTGATGAGGTCAGAATGAAATCTGATGAGCTCAGATGAAAATGAAGAGGAACTTCTTAGAAACTGGAGCAAAAGTCACCCGTGCTATACCCTAGCAAAAAAAAGTGGCTACGTGGTCTCCATGCACTAGGGCTTTGTGGAAGACTGAACTTAAGAGTGTTGAATATTTGGCAGAGAAATCTCTAAGCAGCAAAGCAATCAGGCAGTTGCATGGTTACTTTTAACTGCATAAGTGAGATTCTGTAGCAAGAGCATAACCAACAGGAAGAATTTATTGTCAAAAGGGGAGCAGAGCACAAGTATTTGGAAAATACACAGCCTGGACATGTGGTAGAGAATGAAATAGCATTTTCAGGAGAGGAATACAAGGGTGCAAATGAGTGACTCCTTGCTAAAGAGATAAGCACAGATAAAAGAGAGCCAGGTGCTAATCATTCAAACAATGGGAAAAAGGCCCAAAAGCATTACAAAGATCTTTCTCATAACAGGACCAGAAGCCAAGGAGGACAGAATGATTTTGAGGAACAGGCCTAGGGTGTAGCTGTTTGAGGATGTTGTTCCCTGCATCCCCATAGCCTGGCTGGAGTAACCATGGCTCAAATTGCCCCAGATATGGCTCAGGGTGTCATTCTGGAGAGCATAAGTGGTAAGCCTCTTTATTATGAGCTAATACTGATACCACCATGTAGTGGTAAATCTGCAAATTCCCAGGATGCAAAAACTGTGGAGACTTGACAGCTTTCACCTAGACTTCAGATAATGTATCAGAGATTTGGAAAGCCCAGGCAGAAACCCACCAGAGAGAGTTGCCATTGGGCAATGCCAAGTGGAGTCATGGGAATGGGGTTGGCACTGGCACCCCAGAATTTTAGTGCCACCAGCAGCATGCAACCTCAGCCCAAAAAAGCCACAGGCATTATGCTCCAACCTGTGAAAGCAGCCATGTGGGCTGTACCCAGCAAAACCATGGGTGTAGGGCTACCTGAGGCCTTGGGGATCCACCCCTCATGTCAGCATGCCCAGGGTGCAAGACGTAGAATCAAAGGAGATTTAAGATTTCATGTCTGCCAAGTTGGGCTTTGGACTTGTGTGGGGCCTGTTACTCTTTTCTTCTTTTAGCCTGTTTGTCCCTTTTGAAATAAGAATGTCTACCCTCTGACTGTTCCACCACTATATCTTGTAAGTAAATAACTTACTTTAGATTTTACAGGCTCATAACTGGTCTTTGGACTTTTAAGTTGGTGCTGGAGCAAGTTGAGACTTTTAAGACTATTGGGATTAAAAGACTATATTTTGCATGGGAGAAGAACATGAGTTTTAGGGGGCTGGGGGGAATGCTATGGTTTGGATTTGGTGTGCCCCCACCAAAATATATGGTGAAATTTATCTCCAATGTGGTAGTGATGGAAGGTGGGGCCTAGTGGGAGGTATTTAGGTCATGGAGGCAGATCATTCTTGAATAGACTAATGCCCTCCCATTGGGATGACTGAGTTCTCCTGGAAGTGTATTAGTTCCCAAGACAGTGGGTTGTTAAAAAGAATCTGGCTTCCTCCATTTATCTCTCTTGCTTCCTCTTTTGCCACGTGATCTCTTAGTACACACCTGCTCCCATTCCTCTTTCTGCCATGAGTGGAAGCAGCTTGAGGCCCTCACCAGACATGGCTGCCCAATCTTGAATCTTCCAGCCACCAGAATCATGAGCCAAATAATGTAATATAATTTCCTTTACAAATTGCCCAGCCTCAGGTATCCTGTTATAGCAACACAAAATGGAGTAAGGCAGTTACTGTTTGTAATGATATTGTGTTAAACAACAGGCTGGCAATGTTAAATGATGATAAAATCCAGCAGTAATAAAAATCAGTGGTGGTCAGAGGATGGGTAAATAGGAACGTTTATACCAGCTAGTCAGAATATATATCAGCTTAGTCTTTCTAGAAGACACATTAGAAATGGTCATAACCTTACGACCCATTCTGATTCCATTAGAAAGCCTGAGGAAATAATCAGAAAAAATACACAAAATTTAGTGTTCAAACAATACAAAGGTCCAAGAATTGGGGATGGGTTAAACTGATTCTCTTGTATCTTATTGAGAACACATCAAAAATTTTAAATCTTTTTTGACTAGAATTTACATAAAATATTATCACAACCTAATACACACATAGATGCTTAACTATACAGATCCTTATAAAATACTTATCTTCACCAAGATATACACAATAGTATTTTTCTTTTCTGTTCAATGCTATCTTTTTCTGTTTTATTCATTTTTAAATATTGACCTTGACACACTAAATTCATTTTCTAACCCACTGATGGGTCTCAATCTGTACTTTGAAAAACACTGCTATATGTAGCTTTTATAAAATATGATTTGCACTGTATATTCATTGACATGGAGAGGTATTCAGAGGATAATGATAAATTAAAAAGTAAGTCACAAAATAGAATGAGTAATATCATCCCATTTGGAGTGTCTGTGTGTATGTGCAGGTATGTGTATTTCATCAAATGGAATAATAGTCTCGAATAATATACAACAAAATAAACAACAAAACAATAGTCATCAGAATGTTGAGATTATGGATTTATGGATAATTTAGTTTTCTTTTGGCTCATATTTTCCAACATTTCCTACAAATGGCATACATTACAGTATACTTAAAAAAAGATTTTATTTCATAGGAAAATCAAGAGTAGGAGTATACAGAGTCTTCTCTAAAGTTAGTAAATGTGGTTGTTTAGACTCGTAGCAAGAAGCTGAGAACGACACTCAGTCAAGAAAACCTAACCACACTTCCTTCATTCTTTCCTTTCTTCCTCCCCTCCCTCCCACCTATCCTCCCTTCCTCCCTTTTTCCTACCCCTCCTCTCTTCCTCTCATGCTTCTTTCATTCCTCTAATCTTTCTCCCTCCCTCCTTCCTTCCCTCCCTCACTCCTTTCCTTCCTTCCTTCTTCCTTCCTCCCTCTCTTCCTTCCTTTATTGTTTCCAACAAACATTTATGACACATTACTCCACATTCTTCCTTGCAAGGAAAAATAATGACTCTGGGACATAGTGAAGGCTGAACTGTGTTTATTGGTGAGGAGAGCAGAGGAAACCTGATCCAATACAGGAGCCTAGGCTCTGTGCGATGGGGCCTTTTGAGAAAATAGTTGGTAAAGGTTCTTAAAACCAAGAACCTCAAAAGATCCCCTAGACAAAATTTTACTTGGGATATCTGCTGAGCATCACCATTTGGGTGAGCTCAGATGGAACAGTTAAGTGACCAGTGTAAACCATCACAGTTTTACCATTTTGCTAGTTCTAATCAGTTTTCTGAGAACACATTGATCTATTACTTTCTTCTGCAGCCCCGGCCACCTGCTGTCCTGGAATTTCTCATCCCCTCCAGGCTCTGGGTCCAGCACATCCTCTTTTACATTAAAGACCAAGATACTTCAGAATATAGAGGTAAACGAACAAGGCGGGCCAAGTCTCCGCCCCTTAGAAGCTCACATTCGAGAGAGGAAAATATTCAATAGAAACATAAATAAGTAAATGCTTTGGGTTTTGGTACATCTGTGAAATTACTAAAAATAGAGCATTGTGACAGAGAGAACAGGGTGGCTACTTTAGTGCCTGTGTAGTCAGAGAGGGCTTCTTGGAAGAGGTAACATTTTGTGCTGAATCCTGAATAAAGATAATAAGCTAGCCTTAGGTAAGAACACGTTGCAAAGGGAGCAGCAAGTATGAGAGCCTTAGAGAAGGAAGAGCTTAGCTTGTTTTGGGGCCTCAGGAAGGCCAGAGCACCTTGAATGTGAACAAGACTGCATGCAGGGGCTCAAGGCAAGGGCAGACAGGTATCCAGGGTACTTCCATGCTAACGGATTTAGAAACTTGTCTTAAATGCAGTGAGAAGCCACAGGAGGGGAATTGGCAGGCTGTCAAAAGATGATAACTTTAGCTAATATTACTGGCAAAAGCTTTATCAACATCATATACTTCCTGATGCTCTAGGAAGGACCCAAGTGATGGCTTACGTGGTGTCCATGCAAAAAGGAATTTAAAAAAGCACAATATCAATACAATCATGAGAAAACACTAGAAAAGCCCATATCAGGAGACATTCCACATACCACCTGACCAGTGCTCTTCAAAAGCCGTAAAACACCAAGGTATTATCAGAGAAAGGAAACTAAGGAAACTCAAAAGCCAGATGTCACATGGAATTCTGAATTACATCCTAGAACAGAAAAAGGATGAGGGGAAAAACTGGTAAAATTTAAATAAATTCTGTAGTTTAATTAATAGTGTTGTACTATTGCTAATTTCCTAGTTTTGCTCATTGTGTGGCTCTGAAAGTTGTTAACATTAGGGAAAGCTGAAAGAAGTGTACATGTGAATCATTATAATGTCTATAACCTTTATCTAAGTCTAAAATTACTTTAAAATAAACCATTTAAAAAGCAAAGTACAAAACATGTCTCATGTACTGCATAGTTTTAAAGCTATGCACTCCCACATGCTCACATATGTTTAGAAAATGAAAGTATCACCATCCTCGCTAACGCGGTGAAACCCCATCTCTACTAAAAATACAAAAAAAAAAAAAAAAAATAGCCGGGCGTGGTGGTGGGCGCCTGTAGTCCCAGCTACTCGGGAGGCTGAGGCAGGAGAATGACGTGAACCTGGGAGGCGGAGCTTGCAGTGAGCCGAGATTGCACCACTGTACTCCAGCCTTTGAGACAGAGCGAGACTCTGTCTCAAAAAAAAAAAAAAAAAAAAAGAAAACGAAAATATCACATAAAATGTAAGACTGGGTGTCCCTGGAGAAAGGTCTGGAATGGGAGACAGATTTACTTTTTTAACTCCATTTCCTCTTATACTGTTTGCATTTACTGCATATACTTTTCATAATGATAATAGGAACAAAAAGGATGCATTAACCCATTTATGCCTGAGGTTGCAATTTTTTGTATTTTTGCAATCAGACCTTGGCAATGACCATGAGCCGTAGGATATAAGTAACTCCCACACGCTTAGCGTTCCAATAATGGAACACTAGGCATAAATGGCTATTTAGTGTTTGGAGGTTAAAAGAAAAAAGACAAAGCCTTTGGCTGTCGTTATAGCGTGGATCATAGGGATTAGGTTGGAGGCAGGGAGACAAATGAGGAAGTGGTGGTCGGGTAGAAATGGGCTGGTTTGTGCTATGGCTGTGTAAGCTGTTAACATTAGGGTGGCTAGGCGAAGGAAATAATGCTGCAGTCTATGTGTCCCCCGCAAATTCGTGTGTTAAAATCCTAATCACCAAGGTGATGGTTTAGGGAGTGAGGCCTCTGGGAAGTGATCAGGTCATGGGGGCAGAGACTTCATGATGGGGAGCAGTTCCCTCATAGGACACTCCAGAGACATAGATTGTCCCTTCCACCATGTGAGGACACAGTGAGAAGTGTAACAGTAAAACAGCAAAAGAATTAACATAACTAACTCCATTTTTGTTTAAGGGGCTTTTACCCATTCCTGTACATTGGCTAGGTAATTTTAGAGCCCTGAGTTGGTATGCAAAAAGCAGCAATCACGTAGTTTTAAAACTAAGTCTGGGGTTAAAGGGGAAGTGTGTAAACAACTAACTATGTTTTGTTAAAGATTTATAGAAGCACTGTGACCTCACCAAGGAAAAAGAAGTTCCCAGCCTCCTCAAACCCTCACTGATGCTCAGATGTTTGTGGTTATCAGTTCCTCTTGATCTCAACTCCCTCCTTTTCCCTCTGCCCTTCACATAAAAAGCCTAAAATGTGTACTGACTTATGATGGTACTTTAGAGCTCCAGTTCACCATCTTGTTCATTTTGCTGGCTCTCCAAATAAAACTGCTTTTCCTCCCACACACCCTTGTTTCTTGAGTCTGGCTTTTAATTGGTGAGCAGCCCAATCTGGGTTCAGTTACAGAAGGTACCGCCTATGAACCAGAAAGCAGGCCCCTGCCAGACACCAAATCTGCCAGTGCCTTGATCTTGAACTTACCAGTCTCTGGAACTACGGAAAATAAATTTCTGCTGTTCCCAGTCTAAGAAATTTTGTTATAGCAGCAGGAACAGACTAACACATATGTGAACTCTCTGCACTATTTTTGCAGCTTTTTTGTAAGTTTACAATTGTTTTAAACGTTCCAGGGAGGAAGCAGTGGAGACTGAGCTGTGGAAGGAGTGGAGCATGTTGTGGAGATACACAGGACTCAGCAGTGGACTGGATTGGGGTAAGGAAGAGAGAGGGTCAGAGTGACCCCACAGAACTGGCTTGGATACTCGGAAGAACGAGGGAAGCACAGGATGGAGCAGTAGCCCAGAGTTCTGACTCCAGTGTGCTGGAACAATGGCAGAATGAGAAGCAGTCAGGAAGGGCGCCTGCTACTCCTTTCTACACACAAAAAAATCAGCCAAAGAAGGACATGGAGGGTGGGACATTCAGGAGCCCCTCTCCAACCCAGTCTTCCCACAGGTAGGGTAGCTAGGCCTGAGAATGGGAAAGGGGACTGCTCCAGTTCACTCTGTTAATTGCAGGGGGTGTAGTGGGAGCAGAGAAGAACCAACCTCCTGCTGACTTCTCTCCTGTGTGCACTGCATGTGCCCTTGACGTTCAAGCACCCATTGAGAAAAGCAAATGCTGCCTTAACTAGGGAGCACCAGCACCCCATAACATTATCCACTAGGAAATCCACTAATCTGCTCCTGGTCTCCATACTCCTGACAGCTGTCATTGTTAGGAATTGGTGTATTGTTCTGTTAACAGCATGAATGTTTCTGTAGTGCTTTACAGTCTTGTCTCGGTAAATTATTTCATTTGATTATCTGTAATCCTCTGAGACGGAGGTTATTTTTAGCCCCATCTCACAGGTATCTGCTCTAGCTGAAGATAAGTTTCGTCTCAGAGAAGTCAGGTGACTGTCCCACAGTCACACAGCTAGTAAGTGGCAATGCTAGCGCTTGAACTCGTATCTTCTTTTCATAATTCCCATACTACTATTTTAGACCACACTGCCTCCTCTGTAGCAGAGCAAATAAATGCCTTGGCACATAAAACATAAGCCTGTTTCACCACTACTACCAACAACAGTCTAGAAATTTATAATGAGGGCCTGCTGTGGTTGGTAGTATAAAATGTTACTTTCTACTGCATTCACAGGACAGTCAAAAATAAATAAATAAAAAGTAAATAAAATGTTACTTTCCTTGGTCTTCTCTTTCACATCAGGGAGATGCAGTGGAATGAGGGAGCTTCCAGCTTGAGCTTTCGAGGCTGGCGTTCATGGATTTAAAACCTAGTTCTTTGGCTTCCTGGTTATATGCAAGGTGCTTAACCTGTTTGCGCTCTACAAAATGGAGATGCTACCTCCATGTGATGAGGATCAATGAGACGGCCACACAAAACACTTTCCTAGCTTATGCACACAATGGGTCGCAACAAACTGATACCCTGTTAACAATGTCACCCAGATAGAGGACTGCTAGCAGGTTTCTGTAAGGGAACTCTGGCCAAATATTTAGGGCACAGTCTGGCATACAGTAAGCCTACAGAGTGAGTGTTGATATTATTATTATAACAAAAATTCCCAAATTGCGTTGTTGACAAAGAAGTAATTCCTGAGTGAGTTGATCTTTCCTCCCAGCTGCAGAACAAGCCTTAGACCCTTACACATACGTAAAGGCAAAATCTGTCTATATCATAGTTTATGGCTACTGTCTTCCATAGCCATAAATTATAAACTGATACTTCAGTCCTAGGCTGCTGTTTATTTCTTTTCTTCACTGCCTCCCACCCACTTCTCCCTTTGGACGACCCAGCCAAAGTCAATAGGAGATGATAGCCTTGAAAACTGGACTTTCATGGGCACAAACCACCCACTGCTGATTGATGTCCAGGCCTTGGGAAATGGTCCCAAACCGAGCAAACACGAACCCGCTCCTGGCAGCAGGTGGTCTTGTTGGCCACCTCTACAGAGGCTGTGTGAGATGTTAGGTCTGCCAGGGTCAGGAGTGACAGGGGGTGGTCAGGTGGGGCTGGTGAGCCCCTTCCTTTCCCAAGGGGCAAAAGTCATCCTCCAGTTTAAAAACATGTCAGGATAATCCTGCCCATTGTGATGCCTGTGGCTTCTGGCCACACGTGAAAGGATGGGCAGAGGTATTTGAAATCAGTCTTTCTGTCCCCATTCCTTAAAGCCTGCCACATGCAACAAACAGAAAACTGTGTGTGCCTTCATTTCCTAAGCTACTTTGATGGGTTTCTATTACTGACAAAAAATTAAAGCAAGCACAAGAATAACAGCTATTCCTGTTGATGGGTGTTTATGCCCTTTGTGCCTGGCCCTACAGGTGGGTTAACTCATCGGGTCTTCCCAATAACCTCTAAGGTAGTCATGGCTACAATCCCCATAAACAGGCTCAGAGGGGCTGAGTACCTAGTCTAAGGCTGCACAGCAAGCATTTAGCAGAAACACAATTTGAACCCATCTGTGTGAATTCCAAGTCCCAAGTGTTCCAACCAGCGTAAATGCCCTTGGCTTGGAAAGACGGGGGCTGAGGGCATTAACCTAGGGCTCAGAGGCCTCCCTCCCCATAACTATTCAGGCCAAGGATCCAGCCTAAGGCTTGGCGCCCCAACTTCTAAAGCTGGGGGAAGGGGCAGGACCATGAAGGAGGATGGGAGAGGGGGAAGCATCCCACAGCCTGGTGCTCACCTCCTGTTCCAACTCCCTCCCCACCCTCAACACCACAATGGCCAATCAATACAGGCTTACATTTTATGAGACAAGGAGTCAACTTGTTCAATTACGGGGGAGACAGCTCTATTCTTTCGTAACAAGTAATCTGAGTAGGGAAATCGATCCTGAGAGGCCCCATGCACGCTGGCTAATTTTATATTACCCTTAGCCAATGGGCGAGCACAGAGTAATGAAGTTGTTGTTACAGTTGATTATGGGGGGGGTGGGGATCAATGGAGGGAAAATCTGAGGCTCAGCGTCACCGCTGTAGCAGGAAGGGGGTGGGGGACTCAGGCTGGGGGAGCAGCCTTCCTTTATTCGTATTCCCTGCCCAAACACGGTCAGCTCCTGCCGAAACCCCTAAGACAGAAGCATCTCTCAGGATGGAGACCCAGAGACTCCCCACCACCCAGGTCCTGTTGCCCCCTGACAGCCAGAGTCCAGGAAGAGGCCACCAGAGATGCAAGGGTGGATGGAAATGGGGAGAGGTAAAGCCCCCGTCATCACAAGGCTGGGCTTGTGACCACCACGTTTCCTCTCTGTCCTTGCAAGTGGCTTTTGGACAGGGGCCAGGTTTGGCCTGGCAGTGAATCCTCCTTGGCATCTTGATGACTCTGAACACTAATTCCTGTTTTTCTTCCTAAATGCATGGCTGAGAGATAGACAGGCTGCCTCTGTCCTCTGTGTGTTCGGGGACCAGGAGATGCCTCCCCAGCTCCCCCTGGCTCCTGGGCTGGAATTTAATCTCCCTGGGGCAGGGGCCTCCATTCCAGGCCCAGCTCTGACATTTAGGCTGTTCCAATTTCCCCCCTTGTAATAGAAGTGGTTTGTACTAATTCAGCATTTTAAACTCCCGCCCTGTTTGTACCTCTACAAGCATTTTGGAAGCTGCATTTATTATGTGCATGGCAGGAACTGTGGTTAGTTTCTTTATCCACATGATCAGGTTTATCATCAGACTGTTGAACTTATTTACAATATGATTTAATAGCTATTGTGTGTGAACCATCTACTAGGCATTTTCTATGCATCGTCTTCCTCAACCCTGATAATGTTCCAGTACACAGGTGAGTAAACTGACGCTCCAAAAGGAAAGCAATGCACTCAGGACACATAGGTAATCAAGGCCAGAGCCAGGATTTGAACTTGATTTCTCTGAGGTGTCTCCAGCACTGAGAAGTGCTCTCTATGAGGGCAGAGACCATGTCTTTTTGTTAAAATTCTCTGTCTTCTCATGACTAGCCCAGCACCTGGCGTGCAGACATGAAGATGTTTTTTAAAGTATTAAATCAGCATATTTTGTATATGCTGCCTTCCCCATTAAACATGCTCCCCTGCAGCCTCCCTGCCATCAAGACCCCAGGGCAATGGGGCAAATGAACGTTCCCTCTTGGAAGGGAACATTTTTCCCTTGTTCCATCAAGGAAGGAGGAATGCTGGTACTCAGGAAGGGGGTAAAACAGTAGCCCTCCTCACCCAGGGGAATGTGAGAGGTAGAAGGAAAACAAGAGGCTAGGGTACTAAGGGTCACATGTCTTGGGGGCTAACTGCACCAGACACTGTATTTATTGATTAAATGTATGCAAATGCACATATATGTATCCATTAATATATATTAAAGTTCTACACATTCTATACGTATTAATTTAATTCTTACAACAAACTTTGGGTTAAGTACCATTGCTATCCCATTTTACAGATGAGGAAACTAAAGCATTGGACAGTTAAAGATCTCAGTGAGTTTGAAGCAGGCCCACTAGTTCCAAACGCTGCTATCCACCATGCTATTCTGGAATGGAAGTCAGTAGGATATGTCTAGGTTCCTCTCTCTGGATCAGAATCCCAGACAGGAGGATGTTGGGCTGTGGGGAAAGGTGAAATTGGAGGGCTGGTGCCTAAGGCCCTGCAGTGGTCTGTTCTTACTCTTCTGAAGAGCTCTATGGACACTGAGGGAGGTGAAAAGTAGGGTTCTTCAGGGACAGTGAGGTGGATTCTCAGAGGACAACTATATATGGGCTGCAAGACAAGTATCCTCCATGAGAACCAAATATAATGCTTTAAACACTACCGCGCATAGGACAATTAACACCTGTGTTCCAGGCTAGAGGTCAGCAAACTACAGCTGTGGACCAAATTCAGCCTGACTGTCTTTATCAATATGGTTTTTTTTTTCTTTTACCTTTTTTTTTTTTTTGAGACGAAGTCTTGCTCTTGTTGCCCAGGCTGGAGTGAAGTGGTGCGATCTTGGCTCACTGCAACCTCCGCCTCCCCAGTTCAAGCAATTCTTCTGCCTCAGCCTCCCGAGTAGCTGGGATTATACACGCACATGCCTGGCTAATTTTTGTATTTTTAGTAGTGGTAGGCTTTCACCATGCTTGCCAGGCTGGTCTCAAACTCCTGACCTCAGGTGATCCGCCAGCCTTGGCCTCCCAAAGTGCTAGAATTATAGATGTGAGCCACCGCACCCAGCCATATCAATAAAGTTTTATTAGAACACAGGCATGTCCATTTTTTTTCACATTGTCTATGGCTGCTTCCAGCCATAGTGCTGAGTAATTGCTACCACAAATCAGGCTGAATGGCACCAAAGCCTGAAATATTTACTATCTGGATCTTTACTACAAACAATCGAACTACAAACAATGTTCCTGTTAACAACGATGGCTAGATTTTCTAGGAAGGTTGGAGTATGGCTTGAAAGATTTCATTTATTCATTCAAGTATTCAGTCAGTCAGTCAACAAATATTTTCCCAAAGGACAGTCATGTACTAAAAGCTGTGCTAAGTACTAATTATCTGATACTGAACAAAAGACACACACACCCTCCCAAGATACTTAAAACCTGTCGGAGACATAGACGTTAAACAAATAACTACATATTTGTGCCATGCTAAGCTGAGACAAACTCAGTGTTGGAGAATTCAAGAAGCTATTAAGGTATATCTTCTGGTTCCTCCAGAAGCGCACCTGTGATAAGGGTGCAAAGGTAATTAGTTTACCGGGAAGATGGTCCCAGGAAGTACCAGCAGGGGTGTGGGGAGGTGATGCAGGGAAGGGAAGGACCCCAGTAAGAGTGGGTAATTGAGCAAGTGCCTTTGTGGCCCTCTGAGGACCTCAGTGACACAGTGGAGAATGTCCCGCAGCTATCTCATCACTCAAGGGCAAGAGAGGAGAACTGTTAACCCCATCCCTATCATTGGTTGAGGGCTGCTCCCCTGACGTATTTACTATCTAGATCTTTACAGAAAAGACTGTTGCAGGGCATGAGGTATCTTGCCCTGATCTGGTGGAATTGCCTTCATGCCAGAAAAAAACACCCTTGGACAGAGAATTGCAGGTGATCCCTAAGCAGCTGTCTCTGTGCAGAGGTGAATACAGAAGGAATAAGGGTGTCTGGGTTTAGGGTCGCATTTGAGCTGCCCTGAGGTCCAAATGAAGAGTAGAAGCTGGGCTGGGCAAGGTATCTCACACCTGTAATCCCAGCAGTTTGGGAGGCTGAGGCAGGGGGATCTCTTGTGGCCAGGAGTTCAAGACCAGCTTGAGCAGCACAGCGAGATCCTATCTCCACAAAAATAAAAAATTAAAAAGAAGAAAAGAAAAATAGAAGTTGACTAGTTGGAGGGGCCTTAGAGAGGACTATTCCTGAAGAGGAGACCTGTGCCCCTCCCCCTAGGCACAACAAGCTGCTCTTTCCTTGGGGTTCTGAGAATTTCTTACCTCTATCAAGACACCTACTTGAGGAGGTTTGCTCAGTTGTCTGGTTGGAGAGGATAGTTCGTGCCAAATCCATTATTCTGGGCCCAGGGCCTAGTTCTGTAGCCAGCACAGAGTGGGATAACAGAGAATGAAGGGTCAGCCTCCTTCCAGCATTGCTGGCTACCAAGAGCTCAAGCTCATCCTCCTTTTGTCTAGTGCTTCCTACAAACAACTCCTAAGGGTGCCAGGGCTATGAACTATGGGAGATGGATGCCCTGCCAGCATGTAGGGCAGAGAGGAGGGAGGAGCTCGGGCTCAGGAAAGTCTTGGTTACAGAGGACATGATCTAGGTATTGGCTTTTGTCTGACCACTGACTTCTTCTGTGTGTTACAGCACCTGTTCCCAAAGTGAGGTCAGGGAACCCCTGGGAGTTCCTAAAAGCTGCCCACGATTTTCAAGTGCTACTAAAACATTATTTGCCTTTCTTACTATCATTCTCTTATGAGTGTACAGGTAAGTTTGCCAGAGGCTACATGATGCGGGGTGACCCACTGGATTAGTACAGGAGCAAACAGAATCCAGCTGCCCTCTGTTAAGAAAGACAGTAAAAAACTGTGAAAATGTACAATGCCACACATCTCATTAAATTGGCTTTATGTAAATATGTAGATATTTACCTAAATAAAACTGTGTATAAATGTTTCTGTAAATATGCAGCAGGTTTGTTATTGTTATTTTAATTTAATTATGGAATAATTATTTCTTATTAATAGATATAACCTACTTAAACAGAAGTTTTCTCAATAAGGATAATTTTTTAATGGTGTCCTGGCTGGTCAGACTCCCTAGGCTGAAGCAATTCTCGTGCCTCAGCCTCCTGAGTACCTGGGACCACAGGCTTGTACCACAATGCCCAGCTGATTTTTGTATTTTTAGTAGAGATAGGGTTTCACCATGTTGGTCAGGCTGGTCTCAAATTCCTGGACTCAAGCAATCCACTCACCTCAGCCTCCTAAAGCACCGGGATTACAGGCGCAAACCACGGCGCCTGGCCCTAAAAGATAATTTTAAAAGATAGTTCTGAGGCCAAAATGTTTGAGGACAGCCATGCTCAGGAATTCTTCAACATGTGAATCATAACAGGGCAGAGCCCTCATCCTGCTGTGGATGTTAAGGTGGCTGGCCAACCACCTTCCCAGTTGTTGCTGCAACTGGGATGTGGTTGTATGACCTGGGTCCAGCCAAATGGATGTTTCTAGGCCTGTCTTGGATCGAGAGCTGTTAGAAATGGCAAAAGCGTTCTTCCTACTCTCACAGAGTCACTCAACACAACGCTTCTTGCAACAGATGTGTGGGAGGTTTTCCTCACACACCAAACAATCTATCCTCAGGTTGAGGGCTCAGTTCCAAAGACTGCCCCCCACTCCAGATGTCAATTTCAAGCCCCAGATTGATTTACCTGTGCTTCTGACCAACTGGCTAGAAATCAGGATCCCCACAACCCCCTCCTCAGGTTCAGTTAGTACACTAGAGTGGCTCACAGAACCCAGGGAATCGCTTTACTTACATTTACCCATTTATCCTAAAGCATGTTACAAAGGACGCAGGTAAAGAAACAGAAGAAAGAGAGCACAGACCAAGGCACAGGGAAAGGGGTGTGGAGTGTCTATGTCCCCTTTGGCTGTACCACCCTTCAGGACTCTCCTCATGCTCAGCAATTTGGAGGCACTCCGAACCCTGTCCTTTTGGGTCTTAATGGAAACTTCATTACATAGACATTTTTCATTAAACCATTGACCATTGGTGATCAACTCAACCTTTAGCCCCTCTCCTCTCCCCAGAGGTTGGAAGATGGGGCTGAAAATTTCTACACTGCCTCTAATCCTTCCTTGGTCTTTCTGGTGACCAGCCCCTATCCTGACACTACCCAGGGCCACCGGCCACCAGTCACCTCATTAGCATACAAAGGATGCTGTCATCACTCTGGTGATTCCAAGGGCTTTAAGAGCTGGGCCAAGTAATTAGGAAGAAGACCAACTATTAATACATCTATCTAAATATACATCTATGTACAGCTATGTAGATAGATATAGATATCTTATTACAAATCACAAGATCATAGGAGCTAACGATCCCAAGTAGGGCACAGAGTAGAGGTGTTCTGACAGTGGGAGCCACAACCTGATTAAAGGTCAGTGGAGCCCACAGGGCTGCAACGGTGACCCAGTTTTCCTGGTGGTATCTTCCCTGGACAAGGACTGTGGCATGATTCAGCTGTGTCCTGGCTACTGCCTGGTCTCCTCTCTCTGAGCCATTGTCCAAGCCTGTTTCTCTAGTCAGCCTGGCAATGCAGTGTGAGCTTGGGCAACTTGCTTGTCCCCTCTCTGCCCCAGTGGAAATAATAAAGACAACCATCCCATAACTTGATTGTAAAGACCATAAAGATTAAATGAAATAATACACATCGCATGCTTAGTGTCTGGCAAGTAATAATATCTCAACATGTTAGTTGCTGTTAAGATGATAATGATGATGATGATGATGATGGTGATTGTTATCCTTATGATGATTTGCCATCAGTAGCTTTATTGTTTTATTGTGGAGTCATTGATGAGGACCTCTTGGGACCCAAGGCCTTGGCCCTGACCTTGGCACTCTATGCAGAGGTGTAGATGGCACTAGCCAGGAACATTCTTCCCGTAATTCCTCTGCTCCTTACATCAGAAAAAGTTGGTTTCTGTTGCCTGCAACTGAGAATGGGGATTGATCCAGAGAAAACCAGATTCTATCCCATTCAACAGGTCTCCATCGAAGAGCCAGTACTTACCCATATATTATGTATAATATTTACACAATGTTCTTTCTTATAGTAGCTCACATTTTTACTTAAATGAATTTGCATTAGAAGTTTGATGTACTCGTTTTTACTTTTCTCCTGACTCACACTGAAGTCAATGCACAATCATTTAGCAAGATCTCTTGGTCTCCATACACTCTAAAATCCTTTCCCCTACCACGAGCACCACAATTTGGGGAAATCTGCTCTGATTGTCTTGGCTTCCTGAGTAGGGTGGTAGAGTAGGACAGATGGGTGTCATGATTTTGTCCCTCAGTCCTAATTTCTTCAACAGAAAAATGAGATAGTTATAGCTTTTCTATGGGTATTGGGACAATTGAATGAAATAACAAATGCAAAGTGCATGGCCAGAAGTCTTGTGTCCAATAGGGTCTAGATAGAAGTTTCCTTCCTCCTTCAACAGGTGACATTTTTCCATGTGACTGCTGCCCAAACCTTGCCTCTCACAGTATGGTTCTACTCTCCCTTCTATACCCTGCACTCTAAGACCCCAGGCTCCCTCATGAAGAAATAGAAAGGCCTGGGAACCCAGAAGAGGAGAAGCTGAAGAAGACGATGAGGGAAGGAGGAGAAGAACAGGAAGGAGGGAGGAAGGGGAGGAGGGGTGAGGAGGGAAAGAGAAGAGGGAGAAGGTAGAAGAGAAGGGGAAAGGAGGATGAGGAGAGGGGAGAGGGGAGAGGAGTAGGTAGGGAGAGGAAGAAAGAGGGAGAGGGAAGGAAGAAAAGAGAGGAAGAGAAGGATGGAGGGTTGGGGAAGAAGGAGATGGAGAGGAGGGGGAAGGAAGAGAGGAAGAGAGTAAATCAGAAGGGAGGAGGAGAGGAGGACAGGAAGGAAGAGGTGAAGATGGAGAGAAAGGAGAAAAGGAGGGAGGAGGAAGGGAGTATAAAGAGGGACGAGGAAGACAAGGAGAGGAAGGAAGAGGAAGAGGAGGGGGAGGAATGAGGAAGAGGAAGGAGAACTAAGTTTTTAGCCTGAGGCCATTCAGTGCTTAGCTCCACTCCTTTCCCTTCCCCACCCCGCGTCTACTCAGACCTTGGCTTCCTTTCCAGAAATGTCCAACAGTTCACATTTAATTACTTCATAAAAAAACTGGAAAATAGAAGAGGAAGAGTTAAATGTTCTCCTAAAAGGAGGAAGCTGCAGCTAATCCCAATTAGGAGGAAGTCCCAGGCTATTGAAACGCTACAATCCAATTACATCAGGTAAAATGAATTACTCCTTTAATGCTGACTTATTATGAAGACACCTTCTTATTGCTCTCATTAATAATCTTTAGACATCATTTTAGCGCATATTGGCTGCAATAACATTTCTATTAGCATCATGGTGGAGCAGGGCTGACAATTAAAATAAAAAATAAATCAACCCAAGGAGCGAACAAACGTAATTATAGTTCAGAGAGAGCTTTTATGTGTATTTGATTAGTCAAGGGGACAGCGCCTCCCTTCTTGCCTTAAATTTGAGTTAGCCTCAATCTATGCAAATTCCTGGGGTTGGGGAAGAGGAAAAAGGGTGTGTGTGTGTGTGTGTGTGTGTGTGTGTGTGATCATGTGTGCAAGGGTAGGGGCTTGTCCATCAGCTAATGGTTCAGACCCCAGGCCCTGGCTTGCTGTGTGTCTATGCAAGCTCCTTCTCCTCTCTGGGGCTCAGTTTCCCCATCTCCGAAATTGGAAATTTTCAAATTTTATAATTTATGAATATCTACTTTAATCTAGGGTTCTACAAAATTTTTCCACTCAAGTGGACTAAAGATCCCCAAATACTGAATGCTAGGTGGCAGAGGCCAAAAGAAGAAAAGTTGTTATTTCCACAATGGCTGCTATTATATATGCCTGGAGTTTGGTGTCTTCTCAAGCAGAAATTCTCAACTGGGGGCAGGTTGCTTCACAGGAGACTTTGTTGAGCAGGAGGGCGGAGCTCCTGGCATCTCATGGGTGGAGACCAAGGATGCTGCTGAACATCCTACAGTGCCCAGGACAGTACCCATCAAAGGAGAGATATCCAACTCCAAGTATTCATCGTGCCGAGGCTGAAAATCCATTTCAAATCCTTCCTCCGACTGCATATCTTTGCACAGTTGGGACCAGACTTCCAGGGCAGCCTTGACAGATACCAAACCTCTTTAGCCTCCTCGATGAGATGACCTCCTTCACCAAGTACAACAGGAAAATTCAGCAGAGGATTGAAGTTTCACTTAAATACAGTAATATTAAATTCTCAAGTAATTGTGTATATAGTCTCAAATAGTTATATGTAATATACACACACAAATGAGCTTGTATCCATCAATGACCTGAGCTCTACC
The DNA here is from genome assembly GCF_000001405.40 of Homo sapiens. Classification (NCBI taxonomy): domain Eukaryota; kingdom Metazoa; phylum Chordata; class Mammalia; order Primates; family Hominidae; genus Homo; species Homo sapiens. Next base: position 55,216,207 of record NC_000016.10, read on the forward strand.
CCTTACTCAGACCTCAATTCCCTTTCCAGAAACTTTAGATACACAGACATATTTTATATATATATATATGAGATATATATGTAATGCCTCATATATATAGATATATAATGCATCGTGTGTTTGTGTATGTATAAATATTTATAACCTAACACTTATTTAAGGTACTATGAAAGAAGGAATAAGGCACACTGACTAAGGTAAAGTGATTTTTTTTTTCAGAGCCAAGGTCTCATTCTCTCACTAAGTTAGAGTGTGGTGGCTCAATCATAGCTCATTGAGGTCTCAAACTCCTGCTCTCAAGCGATCCTCCCGCCTCAGTCCTCCAAAGAGCTGAGATTACAAGCACGAGCCATTGTGCCAGGCCATAATTTTAGATCAATAAGAAATGTGCACCTAGAAGGTCCTTGGGTAAACTGCCAGTGCTGGGATTTTGCCTATGTCTTCTGGAACCCTAAGATTTGGTGAAAGCCATGCTGCTTCCAGGGATTTCTCAAACATTTGATTGAAAATTATTTTTTAAAACATAGGTTTAGCTATTTTAAGAACTGTAATATAAAAAAATCCCTATAACTCTCAAGATGTTGGATACCAAATTTAATATACCTGGGACCACCAAGTCATTAACATGCACTGCCAGGCATAGTCATTCTTGGACAGGCTGAACTGAAGCCTCTCTTTCCAGATCTACGTAAGTGACCAGAATTTGAAAATTGAGTTGTTCATAGCTACTCCTCTGAGGGAATCCAGATATTCTTGATACTGAGCAATATTTGAGAAAAAACTGGATATAAGATTAAAATAAAATTTGTTATTGTCACCCACGATTTCTAATTTCAAATGGAGAAAGGTCTGTTAAATGTGGTCTGTCAAATGAAGAAGAAGAAATCTGTCCAAAAAAACCCTCCTTGATTGACTTTTAAAAATTAAGTGTTGCATGTGAACTTTTTATTAGTTTTCTATTGCTGCATAGCTCTTTACGAAACACACAGTGGATTAAAATAACACGTGTTCATGATATCAGTTTATTATCCATAGTTTCCAAGACTCAAAAGTCAGAACACAACATAACTGGGTTCCACTCTCAGGGTCTCTCAAGGCCAGAATCAAAGTGTTGGTCCCCACGGTGGTCTCAGCTGAAACTTGGGGTCTTCTTCCAAACTCATTCAGGTTGTTGGGAGATTTTAGTTCCTGGCAATCACAGGACCAAGGTTTCCATTTTCTTGTTGGCTGGTGGCTAAGGGTTGCTGTCCACTGGTAGAGGCAGCTTCAGGTCCTGGACACATGGCCACCCCATAGGCAGTCCACAACACAGCTGTTTGCTTTTTTCCAAACCAGCAAGAGAGAATCTGCTGCTGCTTCACATCTCTTTTAAGGAGTTGCCTGATTAGGCCAGGCCCACCCAGGATAATCTCCCTTTTTATTAACTCCGAGTCAGCTGATTAGAGACTTTAATTACACTTGCAAAGTTTTTTTTACCTTGGCCACACTGCATTGGCTAGAAGCAAATCACATGTTCCACCTGCACCCAAGGAAGGTGATTACACAAGGGGATCACCCCAGTAGATAGAGATCATGAAAGCCGTTTCAGAAATCTGTCTACCACAGAGGTATAAAATCATTATATGCTAGTAATAAAACAATTTCATTTGTTTCCATTTTATTCAGATGCCACATAAGATTTCATCTGAAAATAGCTGGTCTGAATCAACCCTGTCACTCTCCAAGTGGTAAAGAAAGACCCAAAAGTAGAAACTTGCCCAAAGTTAAATAAGCAAGGGCAATACTAGCATAAGTATGGAATTCTATTGTCGTCAGGCCCCAGGTCATCTACAGGTGAACTAGGATGGAGGCCTTAAAGGTATTTTTTCTGAGCACATGGTTTTCTGCAAGGTTCTTGGAAGCCCCTTGTAATGTATCTCTCCGGGTGACCCACATACAGTATTATTTCCATTACTGTGGACATAGGTCCTTCATAGCCCCTGAATTTCCCTTGTGACATTGTTCCTTGTTGAAATGTAATGCTAGGAAAAAATAAGCCACTAATAGAATGCCAGCTCTTAGTGTGCAGGAGTCTCTTATCTGAAGACAATGGAAATCAGGACCCTCTTGGGATGGGGGATAGGGAAGAGGGTTGTGATGGAAATGAGGTACAATTGGGCAGGTGCGTTGATCACAGAATATTGGGAAGCGACTCTAATGTAGGGGGGACTGAGTAGGCTTCAAGGAGGAGGCAGGGAACGCCCAAGGCCCTCTTCCTGGCTATGGGTTATCTATGGGGAGATGGTACTCCCCATCCCCAATACTATGTCTGAGACCTCTAGGAAGCCAAGACCCAGCTGCCTGGAAGTGTGTGGGCTACATTCAGAATCCTACATGGAGCTGGTTCCTTTTGCTAGAGAATGCAGTGATGTGGCTAGAACGTGTGATGGAGATCTTAGACCTTGGTGGATTCACTATCTGGGTGTTTGGTGAAGAACAGAGGCCAATTCTACTGGATGTTGGTCCTAGACAAACACTCAGATTATCTGTATTAAAAGTACTATTAATACAGAGACTATTACCTTTAATATTAATAATAGTATTATTAATACAGAGACTTTCAATAGTAATATTAATATTACCATTACTTAAGGGGTGATGGTAAAATCAGCCCCTCCATTAAAAAGAAAAAAAAGAAAAAAGCACTACCTGTCAGAATGAGAGAAGGAAAGGGAAAATCTTAACAAATGGCAGATCCTTACTTTGTAACTGGAAAAACCCCAAACACTCTTTAAATATTTATTATCAGCAGTCTTTCAAACAGCTGTTAAAAATTTTTGAACTACTTTTAACCTACAGAAAAGTTGCAGCAATAGTACAGAGTGGGAACACTTTACATACCACACCCTTATGTTAGCATCTTATAGAGCCAGAGTGCAATCACAGTACAAGAATAATCAAATAGCTTCTGAAGTTTGCTTTTCACACTGGCAAGGTCCACCTTCCCCTTACCTGCTGAGCATTAGGTGGTCCCCCGTCTATCCCAAATGTCAAGAGACCCCTCTGCCCTGAAGATAGCAAGGCTAACCTTGGAGGAGGTCTGAAATTATATTTCTCTAAGAAACAGTCTGATGTGTTAAGGAACTGAAATGAGGGAGCCTCCAGCCTCTGACTAGTGAGCGCTCCCTTTCTTTGTTCCCACACTTCAGTCCTTATAAACAAGATAATCCTGTTTTAAACTTAAAATTTTAAAATTTGACATCTTCTGATTATAGTTTTTATTTCCCCCACAACAGAATATACCTAGTTTGCTCCTAGTTAATCCCACTCAGCTGCGTATACGATCTGCATGAACTTTTCTAAACCTCTTTGTATTAATTATCTATTACTGCTTTCAAAGTACTCAAAAATTCAGCAGCCGAAAACTATAAACACGAATGCTCTCACAGCTTCTGAGAGTCAGGAATGTGGTGGCGACAGCTTAGCTGGGAGGTTCTAACTCAGGATTGAGGCTGTGGTCAAGCTGTCCATGGCGGAGTGCAGTCATTTGAAGGGTGGATCGAAGCAGAGGATCTGCTTCCCAGCTCACCCTCATAGTTGTTAGCAAGAGGCCTCACTTCCTCACCACATGAGCTTCTCCATAAAATAAGACTGCTTGTGACAGGCAGGTGGCTTCTCCCAGAGCAAGTATCCTGAGAGAGAAAACAAGTCATATGTGAGAGATAGACAGTGTGAGAAAGTAATCAAGACAGAAGCCGAAGTGTCTTTAATTACCTAATCATGATGGTGACATGGTGACATGCCACCATCTCTACCATAGTCCATTGGCCAAACAGATCAAGCATGGGAGGTAGTCCGCAATGGCATGGCAACCAGAAAGCAGGGAGCATTTGGGGCTGTCGTGGAGGCTAGCTATCATACTTCCTGTGCCACAGTTTACTCATCTCTAAAATGGGGTTAATGATGATTTAATAAATACGTATATGTAAAAGTGGTTAGAATAGTTCCTGGCATATAATAAGCACTAGAGAAATATTAATTATCATGACTATCACTATCAATTTTGTTCAGCTGGTAAGTTGCAGAGTAGGAGTCAAAACCCTTTAAATTTTTTCTTACTAGCCACTATAAATGCAGGGCCTACAATCTTAAAAATTTAGGCCAGAATAAAAATTATATGCAACAAAATATGAAAACTGCAATATTATAATTAATACATGCCAGGCTTCCATGTCTGACTGTGAGTTTGTAGAATACTTTTCTATTGAGAATAAATAGGAAAACTGGATCAATTTTTTAAAAAATACCATTTGAGAGAAACACCAAGCAGCCAAGACACAAGGGATGAATATCTCAACGAAAAGAGAGAAATTTTGGGGGGTAAATTTAACATTCTATACCACTCCAAGAAACCTACTAATTCTTAAGTGACGTGGATGAAGAGGCTGGTACTCAATCTCAACTCATCTCAATGCCTGATTGGATTAAGGCAATCTGCTTCTACTCTGCCTACCAGAAGCTAAACTCCCTGAGACTCCCTGATGGTTCAATAAAAAATTATTAGACACACCAGGAGGCAGAACCAAAACAATAAGAAAGACAATAGAACAGACTCACAGGTAATCTAGATATTGAAGTAATCATATACAAACTTTAAAATGACTGTGATTCTTATGTTAAAAAATAGATTTAAGAAATGAAGAATTTGACCAGAGACTTTGAACCCATATTCAATAAATCAAATGAAAATTCTAGGGCTGGATAATACAACTGTATATGTTTATTAAGAATGCAATAAATTGATTTAACAGAAGATTCGACACAGCTGAAAAGAAGATTGAGGGACTGGAAGGTAAGTGGGTAGAAAACATCCACCCTGAAGATTTTCAGAAAGGGAAAAGAGAAAGAATAAGGAAAAAGCAATATTTAAATATGCTTCAAAAATGGCTGAGAATTTGCCAAAGCTGCAAGAGACATCAAAAGAACACACTCAAGACTTGCTGTGAGCCACAAGCAGGATTAAATACAAAGAAAAACACACATCATAAAATAACTGCTGAAAACCAAAGACTAAGAGAAAAATCTTAAAAGCATCTGAGGATACACACACACATGCACTGTCATCTAGTCAACTACATCTCAATTAAAATCTTGAGGTTATTAATATATTTATTTAACTACATTAAATGAAAAATGAGTGTTCCTTTTAATATGTTTGCTACTAAGTAGGACTACCAACCAGTGTGAAGCTTAGAAGCCTGCCCAGATTCAAATCCAAGACAGCAGACCTGATCCAAAGCTCCCTTTGGTCTGTGTTGCCTCCTACAAGACCACTTTGCCTCTCTGTTTCCTATCTCCTCGCCTATAAATTGTCCATCCCACAAGATTGTTAAAAATATTACATAAGATACTACATATAAAAATTCTATGTAAACTGCAATTCGTGCTTTAAAGGTAAGGTTCCTCTTCTCCAGGAAGCCCTGCCTGATACCAGCACCTCTGAAACCCCTCTTGGGGCTAAAGACTCTTCCACCCTTCTCTCATTGCACCTGTTCTTACTTTTCCTGCAGCTCTGTAATGAAATGGTTTACTTCCCTACCTTCCACACTATCAGTGAGGCCCTGGTAGCAAGGTAGAACTAAGTCCGTATTTACAATATCCAAAACATAGTTCTCAAATTAAATATGCATTGACATAGTTATAGTGTGGTGGCCCTGAATACTTCTCAATTAGCTAACACTTCTGGGAGGTGACCACGTGCCAAGCTTGATGCTAAGAGTTTGCAAACATTTTCACATATAATCTTCACAGCAGCCTCAGGGAGATACTATTATTATACCCATTTTATGGACAGAGAAACTGAGGCTTAGAGAAGTGAAGTAAAACATCCAGAGTCAGCGAGCTAGGAAGTAGAAAAGCCAGGATTACAGTCTGTGACCATCAGGCACAACTCTTAGTAATTCTTTTCTTCCACCTGTCACAGGCTGGCCTCTGCGACCTCAAGGAAAAATAGTTACTTTCACATCCTCACCTACAAATGAGTCCTGAAAGCTGCTGGGGGCCACACACAACTAGAGTACCCCTGAGAGGCACTGGCCAGGACGACCCCAGCAGCCAGCTGCTCTGGCTGAGAAACTGCAGAGGAACTCAGAGCCTGAGGAGCTCACAATGAATTCCCTTTATACCATCCTAAGAAAGAGAAATCAAAAATCTGTCTCTTGTCTCCAAAGCTCGAGGTTAAAGAAAAAAATCCCCAGCCACAGGTAGTTAAGTGATTATAAACTGTAAAAATAAATCAGCCTGATATAATTGCTTGAAGGAAAAAGATGACCAACATATTTAAAATGTCCATGGTGCCCCCTTTCCCATCTCCATTTGGCATCCTCTAATTACCTTCACATTTCATTTCCATCAGCAAGATGACCTGTATTTCCTTCGAGAAGTGATGGGGAGGGGCCTGGTGGAGGAGCAGGGCCCCTGGTGATAAATCAGGCTTGCCATTAGGAGTGAAGTGCTCATCTCGGCAGCGCTAAATGCAGGATTTATAAAGATGTCTCTGCCATCCAGCCCAATTGTGGACACCATAATAAATTCATGAGCGGGTGCCAGGGTAGCGCACTTCATTATGTGCGAGGCTTCTGGCCATTAATCTAGCCAGGAGGCGGGCAGGATTCCTGGGGAAGGAAGACAAATTTATGTGGCCCAAACTTACTCATTCCATTATGGATTTAATCGGCCCAGGCTCCGGGCTGCACAGAGGCGAGAGGACCGTTTTTTACACTTTGGATCAAGTGTTTGTAACTCCCTGTTGTGTCTTATTTCTTCACAATAACGCCCTAATTTTATCCTTCACTCCGCTCTCAGAGAAAGTCTTCCAGAGACCTTCATTGCTGCCACTTACTCCAGATAAAATATTTATACAATCAATTGACAGAGAGCATTTTCCCTTAAATGTTCTATTAACATGGAAATGCTTATATGCAAAATGGGCCTGGGAGCCTCTCTAGACACTTAACCCTTCACTTTACTGCAAAGAAAGTTCACAAAGAGTGTAGAGGGGGAAAGAAAACGTGAGTCACAAAATTGAAAGCATTTTCATAATCACAGTCTGGTTGCACATGTGCCTGATGTGTGTGCAGTGTTTGTACGTGCACATGCAGTCATTTCTACGATGAGGGACTGGGAATGCCTTTGGCATTTCCATGGAACTAAACTCTAGAAATTGACTAGAAGTTGGCAGATCTATACCATGTATGTCCACGGAATCCCACTAGAATAAAAACTTTTCAGTTTCCTATTGCCCTATAGCGAGGTCAACAAACACTTGGTCCATGAGCTACCACTTCTCCTTCTTGCATACTTGACAGTATATTTTTTTTTCTAGCTAAGCCCAGATAAGTCCTCCAAATCCTTCTCAACACAGGTAGGCAATGCCAATCTATCTTCATCGATGAGAATAAGCATAATTGCATCACATATATAGCACTTACTATGAGCTAGCACTATGCTTAGAGCTTTACATCTAGTAGGTCATTTAATCTTTACAACAATCTTACAAGGTAAGTACTAATATTATTCTTATGTTACATATGAGACTGGGAACAGTGAGTAATAAGCGTGACTGAGAGCACAACCAGTGAGTGGTGTCATTCTTACCTTCCCCAAACTCTGGAGCGCTGCATTCGACGCCTTCCATGATGCACTAGTGTTTCCCCACAAAACTGATCATGTTAAACAGACCACACTTAAGGAGCTTCCCAAAGAGAGGGGTAGCACCCTCAGGGAATTACTGGGTTAGCAACACCCCTCATACCACTGGACTGCCAACAGGTGCACCAAGGCCTGATCTTATGACATTAGGACCTTCTAACTTGAGACTTGCTTCTGACACCAACTTGATAAGAGACTTTGGGCAGTCCAGTCAATTACCAGATACAAGACAGGCATTATCAACCCCTTCGACAAACATTGACATTGATATGTCAAGCACTGTGTCAAGCCTAGGCCTTGCCAGGGGTGGGGGTAAAAGGGTGAATAAAGTCAAACTTTCGTCTGTGAGGAACTTGCCGTCTTTCAGAGAGCTAGATGGCAACTAAACAATAGTTAAAATAGATGATGGAACGAGCTGTATAAAACCGGTTCAAATCCTATGGGAGAACACAGCAGAGATGAAAACATCAGAACAAAGTGTGAAGAGGAAAGATGGTGACATTTAACTGGTTCTTGGGAGATGAGCAGGACTTGACCACGTGGGCTGAGTGATGGGAATGTGGAAAACAGGCATCCCAGGAAGAGAAACGAGCACAAGCAAAGGTGTGGGGAGGTGAAGGAGCTGTGCTTGGGAGTCATGAACAGAACAACCCTCACAAGAGCATCTAGAACCTTCATCTTTGGTAAAGTTTTGTTGACATTGAGGAAAGAGAAGTGAGGGGTGTTTGCCTTTAAGGAGCCCTTCCCCAGATCCCTCATGTTGGCTCCTCTTTGGAGGAAGTGTCTTCATTTTTTCTCAAATGACTGTTTCTTTATCTGTTGTCCTAATCCTAGAACTTTGTGTCTACGTGCTGAAATGAAGCTCCAAAGGGTGTGGGAGAAGGATTTGGAGACAGAAAGAGGTTTGCAAACATTCAAATCAGGAGAAGATGGCTGGGTGAGGTGGCTCACACCAGTAATCCTAGCACTTCAGGAGGCCGAGGCAAGAGGATCTCTTGAGGCCAGGAGTTCAAAACCAGCCTGGAAAACATAGTGAGATCTCATCTCTACAAAAATAAAAAATAAAAATAAAAAAATTAGCCAGGGGTGATGCCACATATCTGTGATCCTAGCTACTCAGGAGGCTGAGGTGGGAGGGAGTTTGAGGTTGCAGTGAACTATGATTGTATCACTGAACTTCATCCTGGGCAACAGAATGAGACCCTATTTCTAAAAACTTTTTAAAAATAAAAATAAATTTAAAAAATTAGGAGAAGACTCAGAGAGAGGGAGGAGATGTCTCTGTTTGGGTTTATTGGAGCCATAAGAGATGAAAGTCAGCTAGTGTTGTGATTTAGGTTAGGCTAGGCTAAAATTAGGCACATCAACATGCCATTCAGCTCAGATTAGGGGTGGGATTTTCCTATAATGCTGGTGAAAGAGAACTGGGTAAAGATATGCAACAATTCTTTGTGTCTGGAAAAAGCTTTCCTGAGAAACAGAAAGAAAGCTAACACTGTGGATTACCAAAGCCTATAGAGGAGAAGGCAATGAGACCAACATTCTGACGACTCTGAAGATGAGCAGGTCTTTCAAAACACAATCTACAAAAAAAGAGATAATAATAATAGAGAACTGTTTGGTATAGAACACAAAGCCCGAAGAGTATGAGTTAAGACCAACAGAATGAGATGCGAATAAAAATAAATGAGATCAAGAAGAAGTATATGAAAACTAAAAATGCATTAGGAGAAGTAAAATCCATATTTCATATGGAATAGAGAAGAATTGCTACCGTAAATATTAAGTCATGAAATGGAGGGTAAGCTAGAGAAACTCCAGAATGTAGAAGAAGTAGTAGGGAAAAGTAGATAAAAATGATAGAAGAAAGATGATAAATGTGGAGAAAAGACAAAAAAAAAAGCGAGGGAAATTGCCTCTCTACTTTTTGTTGGTTACAGTTTGTTAACAGAATTCCTAGTACAGTGTTGCTTAAGCCCAGTTAATAAAAGCAGATTTCTCTGGATTGTATTTTTTGCTGTCCATATAGTACTGAGACATACATCAATGCAGGGCTGGGTTAGAAGAGAAAAGTGAATGGTTGTGACCACTCAAAATCATTAATCCCCTCCAAGATCAAAGCTTCAGTGTCAGTTATCTATTGCTGGTTCACAAACTACTCCAAAACTAAGTGATTACAAAACTAAGTGATTATTTTGTGTATGATTCTGTGAAAAGGAATTCAGGAAGGGCTCTGCCGGATGGTTCATCTCTGAGTTACATGGTGTCAGCTGGGGTGGCTGGGACCGGACCTCTTCCAAGATGGCTTCTCTACGCACATACTGGTTCCTTGGGGATACAGCCAGGAGACTGGGCTCAGCATGGTTCCTTTCACTCTCTGTGCGGTACAGCATTTCCTCATGTGAAGCAAGGAAGTCATACTTCTTACATGGCAGCTTAGGTTGCCAAAAGTGAGACAGGAAGTGAAACTTGCCTAGGCTCAGAAATGCACAATGAATCTTTCACCATATTCTATTAGTCCAGCAGTCATTGATCCCACTCAGGTTCACAGGAGATAACATAGATCCCCAGTTCTCAATCCGAGGAATGTCAAAATTTCTGGCCATCCTTCACCATTGTCTCTCTTTTTCCTTAGGATCTTTTCCCCTATGTTTTTCCCTTAGGATGATTTCTTTTCCAGGACACCCCTCAGTCCCTTATGAAAACAGATTCCTGGCAGATGCCCCTGTGAAGCTCACTAGGCTCATCCAAACCCCTGCATAGCCCATGGTTCAAACTCAACCTAGACCCCTTTCTTGAAAAAGTAATGGTAAAAAATTAAATATTTTTTAAAGAAATTTTAAAAAGTAAACTTTCCAGATTTTAAGAAGAGAAAAAGAAAACCCATGGGACTTATAGCAAAAAATCAATAAACACATCATTTAAAACAGAAAACACAAAATAAAATGAAAGAAATGAGAACAAGAATGCTAATTATAAAAAATAAATCTATATTTCCCCAGGCAACACTAACCTATGATGTAGCAAATAGTGTACTGGCTATAGTAACTACCCTTGTGTTTGCTTTTGTCTCCACATGCAGGGTTCTAGGTCCCAGAAATATGCCCCTTAAGTTGTCAAATTTGTCCTGAAGTCTTCTGGGGGAGTTCCTTATAGGCTTATTAGAATATGAAGTTCAAACAGCTGCTAGTTTACAACCTCTAGGCTCCAGCGCTGCGTGCCAGGCACCTACCAGGGCCAGTTGATATTACTGCTACCTCCCCTAGTACCTGCTGACAACCACAGGCACCAAGGTCCTTGAGGCATCTCATGGTGGGTGTGGCAAAAGTGAGACAAGGTTTGTCCCACCCTTTTGGGATACAGTGTGTTATAAGGGCTGTGAGATAATGCTGCTTGAGGGGCTACACCCTACAAAGTTGGTAGCCATGTTAGCTCCACCTCCCTTTCTCCCTCCCTCCTGCCCTCCTTCCCTCTCTCTTTCTCTGTCTCTCTCTCTCTTTGTCTTTTCCTACCTCCATCCTATTCCTTTCCTATTTCTCTGTCACACATGACCTGGCCCCAGCCCCATGTGGATGAGAATACACAAAATTAGAAGGTATTATATTGCCCTAAATAAACATCACCTCCCCTCCCCAATCTCTAAGTCTTTGCCTGTAGGTAGTTTCTCTCACAAGTGACTTTCTCTTTTCCTGAGAAGGACTTTATCCCCAGGGCATCTGTCAGCCCCTAAATATATACCATGGGCTGCCAGGTGTGCTCAGACCCAGCCGCAGCTCACTGTGGCTCCCAGTATATGGAAATGATTTTAAATACCCCATTAAAAGACTCCCTGATGGGAGTAAAAGTAAAATTTGATTACACGCTACTTCCATGAATTATGCGTAAAGAAAATGGGACGGAGGGGTATATGAAAAGTGTTATAAAGAAGAACAAGGCAAATTGAAACAAAAAGAAAGTGAGTTATAATTCAAGTCTTTAAATTTAAGAGTCATTTTATTATGATAGAAGTAACATCTTCAATGAAGATAAAATAGACCTTTATGAAAATTCAAAACATTTAAATTTTTTTGAAATGTAAGGAGAGTTAGACAGAGATGTAATTGTGAGAAGGTTAACAAACCTTGGATGCCTTCAATACATCAAGTAAACTGAGAACATTTGAATAATACAGTTAATAAGACAAAAGATATGTAGTATTTCCAACTTTGTTCCCTATACATACTTTTTCAAGTATTAGGAGAACATTTTCAAAAGCTTACTATGTACTACATCATCAAGAAAACCTTAATTAAAAAAAAAGTTTATAGGGCAAGTTTTCTGATAGAACTAAAATAAATGGAAACATTTCCAACAACCACAAAGAAAATGATAGAAACTTGGATAGTAAATAAATAAGTAAAAAAAAGTTCTCATAAGTAGTTATTGAGTCAAAAGGGAAATAAAAACCTGAGTTGCAGACTATTTAGAAAATAATAAAAGAACAAAACAATGCTTCCTTAAAGCCTATGAGCTGTTGCCAAAACTACATTTCTTCAGAGCAAAGAAATGTAAAGCAATAAATTGTTTCATTATTTAAAAAGAAAGAGAAAAAATAAATGAATTAAAATTTGCCTTCAAGAAATTAATAAATGCACAACAAATACAGCAAGCCTAAAGAAAGCTGGATAAAAATTAAATTGATAAAAACAAAAAGGGATTGAATTAACAAAGAGAAGCATAATATAAATGTATGAGCTGACTCTTTAAAGCTATGAGAAAACATATTGTACTCCAGCACATCTAACAATAAAAAAGAAAGCAAGATTAAACTCAAATAAAACTAGAATGAGAAAGAGAATATAATAAAAGATAAGAACTTTTAAAATGAAATAATGAAGTCCTCTATGTATAGAAATAAAGGAGGAAGGCATAAAGGAAAAAATAATAGACTACATAGAAAAGAAACGTTTTTGCACTTCCACAAAATTAAAAATCAGAAGTATATGACAACCTAGGAAAAATACTTTTAATATCCACAGTTGACAAATGATATGGTTTGGATCTGTGTCCTCACTTAAGCCTCATGTTGAATTGCAGTCCCCAGTGTTGAAGTTGCAGCCTGGTGGGAGGTCGTTGGCTCATAGGAGTGCATCCTTCCTGAATGAGTTAGCACCATCCCTTTGGTGCTGTTCTCGTGATAGAGTTTTCATGACATCTACTTGTTTAAAAATGCCTAGTACCTCCCTCTTTTCTCTCTCTTTCTCTTGCTCTGGCCATGTAAGACATGCCTGCTTCCTCTTTGCCTTCTGCCATGATTGTAAGTTTCCTGAGACCTCCTCAGAAGCAGATGCTGCTAACTTTCCTGTACAGCCTGCAGAACCGTGAGCCAATTAAACCTCTTTTTTTAAATAAATTACCCAGTCTTAGGTATTTCTTTATAGCAGTGTGAGAACAGAACAATAAAACAAATCTTCTAAATTCATAAGAAAAATATAAACACCCATCAGAAAATGGGAAAGAAATATGGGTAGACAACTCAGAAAATAAAAACTCTAAATGCCCAATACATATAAGAAAAAAATGCTTAATTTCAATAATAATGAAAAAATAAAAACACAAACCATGATGCAAATATTTAAAATGTAGTAGTCTGAGCTGCTGAGCGAGCAGGCAAGCTGACCATCCCATATGCTGTTTATAGATCTGTAAATTGCTTTAAATTTTCTAGGAGGAACTTGGAGTGTAGAACCAAAAAGATTTCAAATATCTATAACCTTTCACTTAATTATATTTCTAAAAAATATACATTGGGGCAATAATCACATATGTACACATATGTATATTTACAAACTATATATCCTAGCATTATTTGTTAGAAAAAAATAGAAGTAACTTGCATGTCTAACAATAGATTGAAAAAATAAACTATGGCACATGTATATAATAGAATATTATGCAGTCATTAAAATTACATATTTGGTAACTGATGACAGAAAGTTCTTCGTGTCTTATTAAGCAAAACAGTGAGCCAGCTAGCCAAATAGATAGTTAATAGACTGAAATATTAAAAGGAACTTAGAATTCATATGATTTTTATTTTTCAAATTTACTTTTGTATACTTTTCAAATGTTCTAAAATTAATACATATTTATCATGGTCATCAAATTAAAAATATATAGCTGTATTTTATAAATTTCAATATTAAGTAAAGTTTCCTGAAAAATCTTAATAAAATAGATAGTTTCTAAGAAAATATAATTGGTCAAAATCGATTTAAAACATTTCAAAAACTATCAGAGTTGCCTTTGAAAAACTCTCCAGGGGTAGACTGTCTTATTGTAAATATTTTCACACTTCCATGGGGCCAAATTAGTTCCACACTAATAAGTTTTCCAAAGTTAGAAAAAACTTGAAAGCTTTCTGATCCATTTTATAGCACAGTGAAATATGACAAAGATAACAAAGAAATAGCCCAATCTCACATATGAATATAGATGCAAACATTTTCTAAATTAAAAAATAATAATAACAAATTGAAACCAGCAACACATTAAATATAAAAACCAAATATTATATCATTCCAAATATTACTTATATCAGGAAATAAAGAATGGTTTAATATTGGTAACATCTAAGACAAAATGTTATATCAATAAATCAAGGAAAAAAACATACAATCATTTTAATAGATGCCAAAAGAGAATTTGATTGAATTCAGCACCCAGTTCTTAGTAATCTGGAAAGAGAAGCATGCTTTTTTACTGTATTAAAATCTTGTATAGTGGTTTCAAACATGTGTTCTGGCACCAAAGTCCATGGATATGAATCTTGGCACTTCTACTTGTTTTGAGATGAACAGCAAAATCTGGATTATTCTGGATGTTCTAGCCTCAGTCAGAACTTGAGAGGAGCAAAGATATTGTTTTTGCAGATGACATGAAGTTTACCTAAAATATAGAAGAGAAAAATATATGTGACATTCTTGAGGCAGAAGTACTTGGACCTCAGAAAAGATGTTAATTCACTTTGTATTGCGCATAGCTTTCTACTGCTTGAAATTTTTTAAACATTTTATCTTAAACAAGTATTATCAGTTTAATCAAAAACAAGGATGAAACCATACTGGGACAGCCAAGACAGGTTTTCTGAACATCTACAATTTGGAAAATTAAAATTAAAGAAGGAGAAATTGTGATTAAGGTTAAAATTTTGATATATGAAATACAGATGAAGTGATATGATCTTGCAGGGTTTGCTTCAGAATCATTCAGTGCAAAAGTGTGTGTGTGTGTGTGTGTGTGTGTGTGTGTGTGATGGGTAGAGGTTGGGTTAGTATAGATAAAAAGATTGGTGATGTGTTAAATATTTTTTTAATTTTTAATTCATAATTTTTCTGTGTACATACTAGATATATATATATTTATGGGTTACATGGGATATTTTGATACAGGCATGCAATGTCTGATAATTACATCAGGGTAAATGGGATATCCATACCCTCAAGCATGTATCCTTGGTGTTACAAATAATCCAGTTATACTCTTTTAGTTATTTTTAATGTACAATTATTTTTTATTCACCCTGTTGTGCTAGCAAATACTAGGTCTTACTCATTCTTTCTATGTTTTGTACTCATTTACCATCCCTACATCGCCCCAACACTCACTCCCCATCCAACAACTACCTTTCCCAGCCTCTGGTAACCATCCTTCTACTCTCTATTTATGTGAATTTAGTTGCTCTAACTTTTAGCTCCCACAAATGAGAACATGTGATGTTTGTCTTTCTGTGCCTGGCTTATTTCACTGAACATAATGATCTCCAGTTCCATCCATGTTACTGCAGATGACAGGATTTCATTCTTTTTTATGACTGAACAGTACTCCATCGTGTATATGTACAATTTCTTCATCCATTCTTCTGTCGATGGACACTTAGGTTGCTTCCAAATCTTGGCTATTGTGAATAGTGCTGCAACAAACATGAGAGTGCAAATATCTCTTCAATATACTGATTTCCTTTCTTTTGGGTATATACCTAGGAGTGGGATTATATGTTGAAAAATTTTAAAGCTAGGAGATAAGCCCATGTGAGTTCATTATACTATTGTCCATGAAGAGATAAAAGTCATGCTTTAGGTTGGCGCACAAGAAATTGTAGTTTTTGCCATTAAACTTCTTTTGTACCAACCAAAAGCATTTAACTTTAGAAAAACAATAATAATATATAAATTATAATTCTAAATTAATAAATTCAAAAATAATTTATGTCTTACTTGATCTAGTCACAGTGTCATTTCTAATTGTCATAATAAAAAATTGTTCAAATTAGAACATACAATTTCAATTTGAAAAGTAAAGATTTTGAAAAACTATGCAAAACAATGAACTGAAAAATTTATTAGAACCAATTAAAATCCAGTAAGATAGCTGAATTCATAACAAAGGTACAAAATAAAAAGCTTTCTTAAATAGCAGTAAAAACCAGTTAGAAAAGAGTATTGATATGATGACCTCAGACACAAAACAACAGTATACATAAAATATTTAAGAAAAATGTTATAACATATGCAGAAATCTATACAAAATATTTTATGAAAGTACACAAAACAGTATATTAACAAAATGAATATGATGACATGTTTCTGGATGGGAAGGTGAAATATTGAACGGATGTCAATTATTTCTGAATTTAATAATATAGTTCATATAATTCAAACAAAATCTCATTGAGATTCACCTTGGAGAGAAAGGAGCAGCAATATTTGAACAATGAATCAAAAAGTTTCCTGGAAGTACAGATAGGCAAAATCATTCCGAACAGTTTTTGGGAAGGAAGCAAAAAAGACTGATTTACTTGACCATGTATTCAAATGTATTCAATTAAAACAAAATGTTCAGCAGGACCTTGAATAGCATCATTTTATTCAACATCCTTTCATTGTAACATTGATGAGGGAAAAAAGTCAATTCCCGGCCAGGATCCTTGTCGGTGTCAAGTTTACACGTTCTTCCCATGTCTACGTGGGTTTTTTTCCAGGTACTGTGGTTTCCTCCCACATCCCAGAGCTGTGCCCATTTGGTGAACCGGCATGTCTAAATGGTCCCAGGATCAGTGATTGTGGGTATGTGTGAGTGCAACCTATGATGGGAGGGCATCCTGTCCGGGGCTGGTTCCCACTTTGTGATTGACAGCTGGGTATTTACACTCAGCTGTAAATGGGCAAATCAATCCCTGAGCTTCTGGGATAGGCTACAGTGATCCATGACTTGGCTGGCATAATTGGGTACATAATTCTCTCACTTGTTTTTATTAATCTTTCTTACACGTATGTATATATCACATTTATTTCACTATTTAATATTAGACGTGTTTTGGGTCTTGATTTAGAAATTTAGTGATGTTTTTGTGACCAGAAATATGCCATAGGAGCTCAACTCTTATTTATGTCAATTAGGCTATGGTAAAACTGGTTTTCTTATGCATTATTTTGCCTAAAGATCCAGTTTCCAAGAACCTATCAATGACATTAAGTGAGGACTTACTATTAATATATATGTCTCAGTCAGCACACACTAGGTTCTGCTAGCAGTAACAAACAACCCCCAAACGTCTTTTAAACAGACTTACATCTTATTTCTGATTCATGTCCATTACAAGTTGACTGGGGACACTGCTCCACTTCTCCTTACTCCAGCTGATGGGGTCACTGGTGGAGGAGAAGAGTTCTGAGTGGTTTCCTACAGACAGGTAAAGCCTACCTGGGAAAAGACTCACATCACATCTGCTCATATTTCCATGACCAGAGCCAGCCACATGACTTCATACAACCCTAGGAAGGCAAGGTAATGCAATATAACCACATTCCCAGAAGCCAACAAGCCAGACATTTTGGTGAATATCATTAATAACTACTACAGACACTTGCAGAAAAAAGAACAAAGCAGCAGCTAACCCACAAAAAACCCTATTAAGTATAAGAATACCATATGTGATGGCATCATGTCAGAGGAAGAATGCAGAATTAGGTAATAAAAACCACTGAAAAAACTGGTTAAATACTTGAAGTGAAAAAAATTGGTTTCTTACTTTGGCCCATAATAAAGTTCAGATGCTAACTAAACAAACAAACAAACAAAAACCTTTAAGAAGGTAGGAGAAACTCTATATATGTATCTATTTGTATATACACTATATAATCAATTATATTTATATAAGTAAACACCTCTCTCTATGTGTGCATATATACAGATCATGTTTATATGTGATTAAGAAACAGAAGGAATGACTAACCTTAAAAGTAATGTAATAAATATCAAAAGAAAAAAAAGGATTTGATCAGACATATTAAAATTTCTCAACATAACCACACAGGTGTATGTGTATATATATATATATATATATATATATATATATATATATATATATACACACACACACACACACACACACACACACATATACGTTAAACAATAGACAGGAGGAAATATTTATAACAAATATACTAATTTTTTTTTTTATTCCAAACATAAAACACTTTATTTTGTGTAAGAAGAGTTATCCCTTGCCTATCCAGGGTGACACCAGTGACTGCACATGTGTTCTTTTTTTTTTTTAATTTGTTTTATTTTACTTTATTTTTTTCTTTTTCATTTTTTTTTTTAAATTATACTTTAAGTTTTAGGGTACATGTGCACAACATGCAGGTTTGTTACATATGTATACATGTGCCATGTTGGTGTGCTGCACCCATTAACTCGTCATTTACATTAGGTATATCTCCTAATGCTATCCCCCCCCTCCCACCCCACAACAGGCCCCAGTGTGTGATGTTCCCCTTCCTGTGTCCAAGTGTTCTCATTGTTCAATTCCCACCTATGAGTGAGAACATGCGGTATTTGGTTTTTTGTCCTTGTGATAGTTTGCTGAGAATGATGGTTTCCAGCTTCATCCATGTCCCTACAAAGGACATGAACTCATCATTTTTTATGGCACATAGTATTCCATGGTGTCAAATGTACTAATCTTAATAAAGACCAGTGTGTTCAAAGAGTTTATACAAAATAAAACCAGAAAAAATATCCTAAAGAAAAAATGGGTAAAGGATACAAACAATTCACACAAGAGAAATATACAAATAATTACAATCATTTTAAAAATTTCAACCTCATTAATAAATGCAGTCTTAAAAACAATATACTATTTTATTTCTTAAAAGACAGCAAGTTTCAAAAATTGTCATTTTTGATAAAAATTTAGAGAAACTAGCCCTCGTATTCCTTCTCAAGAGATGTATAATCTAGAGTCATTTTTCTAGAAGAAACCTGACACTATGTATCAAGGACTTTCATAATAATTCTTATAACCTTTAAGCCAGTCATTCCTCCACTCATAAAAATGGAGTGTAGGAAAATACTCATCCATGTTCAAAAAAAATGTGTATAAGTTGTTTATCTTGTAACAATAGCAAAAAAAAAAAAGAGAGAAATAAATAAAAGAAACCTGGAGGAAACCCACGTGTCCAACTACAGGATATTTATTAAATAAATGTTAACAATCCATTGTGCAGTGTATCATTACAGCCTTTGAACTAGCAAGGCTTACAAAAATATTTAATGACATGGGTTATGCACATATTTTAGTGTTAATTTAAAAAACAGCAATAAATCATCATGAATTCAATTTCAGAAAAATTTAAGAGAAGAAGAGATACTTTATAGAATAAAAGTCTAAAGGAAACTATCAAACTATCCTTTGTGGATATAGAGGATTTGTATGTATGGGATATAGAGGATTTGTATTTTCTTCTTTATTTGTCTTTATTTTCTACAACAAGCATGCATTACTAAAAATTGGATAATTTTATTTTTCAGAAGAGTATGTTAAAAGCATGTCTTTTAATGCAGCCTAACAAGATTCTAAATATGTTTTTAAATGGCCTTAAATATGTTTCTCTATGGATAGTTGAGGCTAAGAAAAATGGTGAAGTACAAGGAAGGTAAATATGTTTCCCAAGTGCCATCATTCCTCTTACCTGCATCTGTGGCAGACATCACAAATCAATCCCAGTACTCTTTTCTGCTAGGTTCAGGTGCCTGCTGGGCACATGCACTGGAAAGCTGCTACCAGTTAATCTCTTAAAATGATTGCCTATCTCTGATTTTGAAAAGAGCCCTGATGTGCTTTTCAAGAGACAACGATCCCGATTCTATATATTAGCCACCACCTGAGCCTTAGAACCTATCTCTGTAAACTGAGGGTTATAGACAACTGCGTCAGCACTGGGAAATCCTGACCAGCTGTTCCATTTCCGAAGACCACCACCACGCTCATCCATCCCCCCAAACTCCTGCCTTTCCACAGTAGTCTTGCAACAAATCATCACATACCTGTAGAAGTTTCGTTGAGCCGTCTAGTACCCCATTTTGATTAACGTTCGCTCTTCCCTGTAGATCTGAGTTTCTTGATGGTGGCATTATTGATGCTTTGGACCTCACAATTCTTTAACTGGGGGCCTGTCTTGTGCATTTTAGAATGTTTAGCAGCATCTCTAGACACCATTCACTAGATGCTGGAAGCTCACCCCTAGCCAAGACGTTCAAAAATGTCTCTTGACATTGCCAAATGTCCCCTGGGGGGCAAAGCGGCATTTTTTGAGGACCACTGTTGTAGATCCTCCTCCTCTGTAGGAAGAAATTAGTTCCTTTAGATTCTGAGGTTCACTGAAGGTCACTCCCTACCCTCAGCAGGGATGGAGTGAAAAAGGGATCTGAGAAAGCTTCCCACCTTTCAGTCAGGCCTCTCTTCGGGAAAAGACCACGTCCCTGAGGGTCTAGGGTGGAGACCCTGGGGATGCAACCTGCTGCACTTTACTCTCCCTACTGTGCACATGGCACAGCTGCCAAGGACCAGAGCCATCCATTGGAGAGCATAAATCACTATTCAGGGCCGGCTGGGCACTTAGCATAATGGGGTGATTGACAGGTGGATATTTACACTCAGCCGTCTTTAAGTGGGCAAATCAATCAGCTGGTGGCAGTGTAGAAAGGGGGTAGCAGAAGGAATTAACAGGCTCCAGGACCACTGTGTCCACTCCCTGCGGGTACCACAGAAGATTCTGGAAAATTTTTGTACAGAGCCCTGCTTTGAGGCATTTATAATGAGGCTCCTTTATGGCCTCCTGGCTTTCCAAGCTGTTACCTTACACGGGCAAAGTCTCCATTTTCTCCATCTCATGGTGAGAAAACTGAGGCCCAGTGAGGTAAAGAGATGGGGTCAACCACTGGTGATAAAGTCAGGCTTGCTGACTTATGTTCAAAGGGTCTAGTTCTTCAAATTAAACAAAGAAAATAAACATGCCCCATTTTTGTCAGAGCCAACATGATTTCTAACTTTCAGTTCATCATTTTGGGCTGAGGGGGATGTAATTCAATTAAAGACAGAAACATTAAGTACACAGTAAAACTATCACACGTTGAGGATTTATAGGGGTATGGATTAACAGCATCAGTAAAGTATTTACCTTAATCAATAGGAAAAGGTGATTTAAATGTTTAGGAGCCTCCTGCACTTCTGCCGGCCAAGGCTTCTTTTAAAAGCTTGTATTTGGTTGACACACTCCTCAGTTTCCCCCAATGTGCTCCCCTTAGCAAAGTTAATTACCATGGTTGACGTCCTTCCCTTCAAAGTTAATTACCATGGCTGACGTCCTTCCTTCCTTTCCATACCACCATGGCTGCCTTTGACCCCTCTTTTAGGTTCTCCTAAAGGAGATGCTGCAATCAAGTTCCGGGTACAAGATTTTTTTAAGAATCAACATCTGTGATACTTAGGAGGAAACAGGATTGAGCACAGGAAGGATCTGAACTCTGGTGCAGCCCAGCAGAGACACAGCCAATCTGGCAGGGAGCTCTGGAGTGGGAGCGCTGCTCTCAATGGCTCCAATTAAATTAAGGCACAATGACCAGGCCTTTGTACCGTCCCTCACCCAAGTGCCCACTAACCCAGGAAGGGCATAACCTCAGGCAAGGTGGTTCTCTGCAGCTCAGACAGACCCTAAAGGAGCTGCCACAACCCCTCAAGGTCCTATGAGAGAGTGTCTGTGCTATGTGAAACCTTGATTGCTAAAGGTCTGTGTTCAAAAGAGGTAGCAAGTCAGAAGCCATTGTAAATCAAGCTTGGGGTGATAAACTATGACTTTTTTTTCTAAAACACTCAATTCCATTGAGTCTTTATGGTGACCGAGTTAAGGCATAGACATTTTTCTAGTTATTTTGGTATATTGGAAAAGATACCTGGCCAGGTGGGAGCTACATCACCTGAAGTCAAGCTGCAGTTGGAACCTTCTTTCTGGGTGACTTTTGTCACTTCCTTTTCCCTTTTTTGGGCCTCAGTCTTTATATCTAAAAAAAAAACCAACAGGAATTGCATGACAGGTGTGTTTCCCAGCTTTCCAAATCAGTGGCTTTCCCTCATGGGGAACTTGTTAAAATCCAGGTTCCCGGGCTCTCCAGGAGAGTGGCCCAGGAGTCTGATCTGTTTCATCAGTGTCTCAGATGATCCTTAAGATCAGTTGGTTTTACACCTGGAGTAGGATTCCCTAAGTCAGACCTGCTGCAACAGAATCACCTGGGAAAGTGTGTAAGGTGGAGATGCTCCAGCCCCAGCTGGAAGATCGGATTCAAAGTCTGCATTTAAATAGAAACAGGGCTGATGATAATCAACATAATAGATCAATTGCATTAATGGCCCCTATTCTTCACCTTGCCTGCACCCATGCCCTTCTCATGTGACATTGGAGTTCCTCCAAAAAGGGAGAGTATATGTTTTCCTATCCCCACACGATTTGTTTGGCCAATAGAAGAGATAAAACGGACTGTGTGCCAATCTCTATTCTTGACTTCCAGAGGCCCTGCATGTTTCCATTTACTCATTTACACTCCCATCATTGCCTTGAGAAGTCCATTCCTGGATCAATCCACTGATGCCAGGAGAAGGATGAGAGATGTGTGAGGCAGAACTGCCCAGCTAAGATGTCCCAGCCAACCCAGCCTACAGCACAGCCCCAGCTGACCTGCAGATATGCAAGTGTGCAAGCCTAGATCAGCCAACCTCTAGCTGACCACCATAACTAATGGGAAACAAACTATCCTGGTATGCCACTAAAGTGATGTGATTGTTATATAACATTACTGTGGTCCCAATTAATCAATACAATTAACATAATAGATGCTAATAGTTATTGAGCACTTACTATTTGCCAGGCCATGTATTAATTATTCCGTATATGTTAGCCATTTAATTTTCACAGTGACCATAAGACACTGGGACTGTTATCCTCATTTTACAGATGAAGAAACTACAACACAGATTATTGACATCTGTGCTGAGCTCCAGGAACCCCAGAAGACTTGATTTGGGGGAATGGCATATTGAAGGGTCATTGACAGGGCTGAGAAGGGGAAAACAGAAAGTTGGAAAATAGTTGACTATGCTATGAGTCTGAGTGCAGAGAAGAAAAGGAATAATTATTGCCATGATTATAATTATGCCAGAGTCTCAAAAACATACCATTTGCAAATCCTTCCCTCACAATGCAAAGATGATGAAATCCAAATCATCTATGGTTATGATGGAGGAAGCCTGTTGTGTTTTCTTCTTCCTTTCATGTAGGGATCATAAAAAGGGAAAGTTGGGGCAGAACAGCCAGGCACAGAGGCCCCCCATCCCTTTGCATACAGGAGCCTCTGAACTTCGGAGGCAGACCCCGCACTAACAATTTCTTGTCAACCCTACCCAAATTATAGTTATAACAGGGCTCAGCGATTACAGAGAGCAAGTGTTTTGTGGCATTCCAAAGGAGTTCAGTAAACCAGGTTTGTCTCTGAAGTAACTTACAGGTGTCTTTTGTTATGTGGGGGTAAGACAGGTAATAAGGTCTTTTGCAAAGTGTGTACCCCCCAAATCTAGGATAATCTCCCCTTCCCCACCCTGTGGGGATGTTAGGCTTTCTCTTGATACAGAGCCTTTTTTCAGTTCCTTTTTTTGGCCAGCACTGGGGACTCTCCTGGGGCCTTTCCCAATTTCTGGGTACTGACTGGGGGCCCCAGGGCATGCAGGCCTCTCCCTCCCACCTCACTCAGCAGGAAGCTGGTATTCCAGGGCTGACCTGGACAATTGACCATTGCTGTAGGCAACCCCTGTGGTGGAGAAGCCCAAGCTCAAGTGCCCTGGCCTATAGAGAGGCAGTACGGTCCAGCTGTTAGGAGCCTAGACCAAGAGTCTCATGGTTGTGCACTGCCCCTGGGCAAGTTCCTTAATCTCTCCATGGCTCCATCTCATTATCTATAAGGTGGGGATGATAACAGGATCATTATACAAAGATTGGGTTAATTCATATAAGATGCTTAGAATAGTATGCGGCACAGGGTAAGGTCTACAACAGTATTAGCCTTACTTGGTGTTGATCAATCTCCCCTTCTCCCCTCTCTTTTGACCCTCTTTCCTCTCTTCAACCCCTGCACCTGGAAAATATGCCCAGGGAGTTAGGAAATACGCTACCCACTAGAAAAATGGGAATGCTGCTTTGGGAGAAGGAAACTCAACAGATCAACAGATGAAATATGGAGCCTTCAACGGAAGAGCTGGGATTTCAAAGTCACCCTCCCATGACCAGAGGGGAATGTCAAAATCTTTCCATCCTTAGATCCCAAAGGTCTGTGCTACCCACCCCTATGATCACTCTTTAACCTGGCCTGCCTCAATCCCTCCTCAGCCAGAGGGTCTAACATCATTTCTGCATCTCCTCCAGGTCCCTTCTGTTTTCTCAGGGGAGACCATGGAGTTGCCTAGATCTCTTTTATTTTAAATCCATTCTTCATCTGAAATGAGCCTTTAATGCAAGCCATATCAAATTCTTTTGGAAAGTAGGAAGCTAGACATCATAAATAAACACATTTGGATTAAGTGGGGAGCAGGTCAGAGAGAAGGCGGAATTACAGGATAATTTTTAAGTGGATGCAGCTTTATTCCTCTCAAGAATTTACAGTGACTCTTCCCGCGCTGTCATCCTATGAATCTAACTGCTGACAAATTATCTCTAAGTTGAGGTCCTGCTGGGACTTCTTTGTTGAGTAAATTAGAGGACAGGTTTCCATACTAATTGTAGGCTAGCAATTGTACTAATGACAAAGGAATCCTCCCTATTCATCATAAGTAGGTTGAAGCAGGGTCTGCCTCATTCTCCATCCCCTTCACATAACTGATGCATTGCTCAGGGAGCCTCGGCTTCATGGCTTCAGCAAAAGCCCTGCTCAGCTGGGGCAGCTTTAGGCTGGACTGCAACGCGATCTCGGCTCTCTGCAACCTCCGCCTCCTGGGTTCAAGTGATTCTCCTGCCTCTGCCTCCTGAGTAGGTGGGATTACAGGCGTGAGCTACTGCGCCTGGCCGGCCCTGATTTTTTGTTGTTGTTGTTTGTTTGTTTGTTTGTTTGAGATGGAGTCTCACTCTGTCACCCAGGCTGGAGTGCAGTGGCTCAGTCTTGGCTCACTGCAACCTCCACCTACCAGGTTCAAGCGATTCTTCTGCCTCAGCCTCCCTAGTAGCTGGGACTACAGGCGTGTGCCACCATGCCCAGCCAATTTTTGAATTTTTAGTAGAGCAGGGTTTTACCGTGTTGGCCAGAATGGTCTCGATCTCTTGACCTTGTGATCTGCCCATCTGGGCCTCCCAAAGTGCTGGGATTACAGGTGTGAGCCACCACGTCTGGCCAGCCCTGGGTTTTTAACCAGATTTGGCACCTGTGACTGTAGTCAATGCCCTTTGAAGGTGCTCTCTGCTCATTTCTATTTTTCTGAGAACTGCTCACCAAAGCAGGATGGGGAGGTGGTGGGGAAATGATGGTTCGTACTACATGGCTCACTCCTTTTTATTCACTCAGCACTGAGCAGCTACTATTCACCAGTCATTATAGACTACTGGGTGCTGGAGATACAGTACTAACCAACATAGGGCAAGTGCTTTGTCCTCCTGGAGTTTGCCTTCTGCTCCAAGGCGAAATAAGACGGTTCATATAGTGGCAAGTGCTATGGAAAAGTGAAAGCAGGAAATGGAATTGTGAGTGACAAAGGAGCCAGGAAGAGGCCACTATGGCATCAGAAAGAAGGATGGCGACTTGGACCCAGATGGTGGGGGTGGTGCAGATGGGGAGAAGTGAATAGATTTAACTGATATTTTGGTTATAATATTTGCTGGATTTGATGATGAGTTGATTGAGAGGGTGAGGGATAGTGATACAGAAGAAGGGCAGGGAAGTGCTGGGTAGAGAAGGGCAGGGTCCCTGGCACGGTCTTCACCCTTGGGCCTGTGCCCACAGACCTAAGCGAGGACAGGCACTCCTGTTTTTGCACCCAAAATTTGCATTTTCCAAAACAGCTCCCGCTTGCCATGCCCTGCCAACCCTGTGCCTATAAAAACCCCAACACTCTAGCAGGCACACACACAAGTGGCTGGATGCCGAGAGGAGCAAAGGAACAGAAGAGCACACCGACAGGCACCAGCAGATGAGTGCAGGCCGTCAACTATGAGACAACGTGGAATTTGGCCGGAGGCAGTCAGAGCAGAGTCAGGCCACTGGGCAGCCCAATACCAGGGGAAGATCACCTTCCCACTCTATTCCTCTTCGGGCCTCCCCATCCATCTCACTGAGAGCGTCCACAACTCAATAAAACCTTGCACCCATCCTCCAAGGCCACATGTGATCCAATTTTTCTGGTACAGCAAGGCAAGGACCTGGGATACAGAAAGCCCTCTGTTCTTGGGATAAGGCAAAGGGTCTAATTGAGCTGATTAACACAAGCCACTTGCAGATGGCAAAACTGAAAGAGCACACTGTAACACATGCCCACTGGGGCTTCAGGAGCTGTAAACACTCAACCCTAGACATTGCCATGGGATCGGAGCCCGATGACCTGCCTGTCTGCATGCTCCCCCTAGGGGTTTGAGCAGTAGGGCACCAAAGAAGCGAGCCACACCCCTGTCACACACCCTAGAAGTAAGCCACTTCTGTCACATGCCCTGCCAGGGGGATAAGGGAAAACTCCTCCCATTTCAATAAGAAGAATGAAAGATGATTGAAATGTTTAGCCTGTACATGTGTGGCTGATGGTACCATTGATCAAGCTGGGGAAGGAAGGAAAGGAAAAGCTCTAAGGGGAGAATCAAGGTTCCCAACACATGGGCACAGTTCGAGAGGCTGGGATGAGTTTGTCTCTCCCAGGAATGTGAGGTTAGGACGCACACTATTGGGATAGTGAATGATGTGGCAAGCCATGAAAAGCCAGGGTTGTGAAGTTCAAGGAAAGGCACAAAGGCACAAAAAAATGTGGTCAAAGTCAGCAGAGAAAGCCACTCTGTGGAGGAAGAAAAGTGTGAAGAAGATGCTCAGCTTGCCATAGAGATGCGACACCACCTGGCTTCCAAGGGGCAGCAGCTGCCTTGGTTTAAGATGACTTCCAGTTTTGATTCCTGATCTGCAGAGACCCTATTCTCCTTCCTGCTCTTGGGTTCTGTAATAAGTTGGTTGAATTAAGGGCACCTCTCTGTGCTGACACCCTTTGCTGTGTTAACTCTGTTGTGTCTTCCCACTCCGAGTGGGGATGTACTACGCTACCCTTGACTCTGGGCTCCATTGTCAGACTTGTTTTGGGATGTTAGCAAGTGACCCAGTAGAAGCTTGAGAAAGCACTTGGGCATTTCCACATATGCTGTTGCTCCTCAGCCTTTGACATGAGAACACGCCCCAGCTATCCTGTTGGAGGATGAGACACACAGAACACACCTGGGCCACCCAGGCTGCCCAGCCAAAGCCATTCTAGATTAACTGACCTGCAGCTGACCCAGACGTGTAAGTGATCTGAGCCCAGAAGGACTGCCCTGCTGAAGCAAGCCTAAATCGCTAATCCAGACTTATCAGATAAATTCATGTTATTTGTTTCAAATTAGATAATATTTTAGCTGGTTTGTTACACAGCATTACTGTGGCAATAGGTAACTGACACAGGTTTCATAAAATTCCTCCACAGCTTTCAGAATAACTCCCTAATTTGGGGATTTCTTTTTGCTTAAATTAGTTAGGTCAAGTAATCCCTGCCTAAATCAGTAGAGACCATGCCAAAATAAGATCACACTTCACAGCATGCTGGTATTTGCAGGTGGTGTAAGGACATGGGAATGCTCTCAGTTGCCTGTTATGCCTCAAACTGGGAAGAAAAATATATACTGGGGTGGAGTAGGTAAAGCATTCTAATCATAGCCCTCAAAGAAGAAGAAATATTTAATATTTTATGAACTTTCTCTTCTCATCATTTAAACAACAATAAATGTAACATATCAATTTACATTATGATCCTTTTATTGCATTATAATCAGGTGCCAAGTGGTTAAAGATTTATGAAGAGATATTATTACAAAGGCAGTAATGAAAATGAATGGGCAGTGGGTAGAACCGCTTAGGGGTGAGGGGAGCCTCATAGAAGGTGCCCTGTAGCAAAATGGGTTGCCAGGGAGGTCACGAAGGCTACAGTCATGAAATGAATGGAAGGAAAAAGAATAGCTTGGGGGTAAGTGCAGAGAACACGGAGGAGGGTTTGAGTCCCAACTCTGGCACATAGTAGGTCTGTGATCTTTGAAAAATCATTCAACTCAGCCTCAGAGTTGATCCCTGAAAAGGGCATGATACCCACTCAATGCACTTCATAGGTTCATGGTAAAGATTTTATCACATCCTGGAAGTAAGCACCCAATATGCTGTTTGCTTTGTTATTTATATTTTTAATGCTGTTATAATTATTATTACCCATAGTAATATTTCAAATTATTGAATTCCCAAAGATATTATTATTGTTATTATTATTATTATTATTATTATTTTGAAACAGAGTCTCCCTCTGTCACCCAAACTGGAGTGCAGTGGTGTGATCTCAGCTCACTGCAGCTTCAACCTCCCAGGCCCAGGTGATCCTCCCACCTCAGCCTCCCAAGAAGCTGAGACTACAGACACATGCCATTATACCCAGCTAACTTTCGTTTTTTGTTTTTGTAGAGACGGGATTTTGCCGGGTTGCTCAGGCTGGTCTCAAACTCCTGAGCTCAAGCAAGCCACCCATCTTGGCCTCCCAAAATGCTAGGATTAGTGTTGAGCCACCATGCCTGACTCCCAGAGATATTCTTGGGGCCGCTTCCTTTTATTTACTGAGATGGAATCTAATGGTCCAGCTATAATTGTGGTGTGTGGAAAACCATACTGCAATCCCTTGCCTGGTCCTGGAAAATCCATGAATGAACTGTAATTAATGTCACATGGATTGAACTGTCAGGCCCTGAAGAGGCTCCAACACCCAGCCCTATTCACCTGTGTCCATTCAAGCATTGCCTAAACTGTGGGCACCTCAGTTTCATTTGTGAAATGGGGATAAAGCCATCTCTGCCATAGCGGTAATGAGGAACAAATGTGATAACATTTGCAGCAACATCAAAGTCAGGTTTTTAAATGCAAGGCCATATTCTTTTGTGATATTTTTTTGAATCAGTACAATATGAAGCCAGTCAAGATTGCGATGTCTGGAATCAGAGTTCCTGGGTATGAATGCTGCCTTCACCACTCATATGTCCTCGAGCGAAGGGCTTAACCTCTAGGCTCAGCTTCCTCATCTTTGAAATGGGAGCAGTTCTAGCACCCAGCTCATGTGACTGCCCTGAAGCTTACACGAGGTGGTTCTGGTAGAGTCATGACCCACGCTTGGCACAGCCCATAAGCTCAATAAAATCTCAGCAACCACAGAGAGCTGCATTTCCAGAAAAGTGAGAGAAAACCCAGAGAGTGATGTTGGTCTTGTCTGGGAAGAATGGTGTGTGTATTGAGTAGGGAGGTGTCACTTGCAGGCACAGGGTACTCCATTTGAACAAGCCTACATGAGGCTTCGGGAGACTCCCCCAAAAAAGAATGCACACAGACCATGATGCATAGATACCCCCTCTCCCCCAGTGTGTGACATCAGTTAAACATGGTGAAACACAAAAACAGAGAACATCCAGTTCTTAAAATCAGGGATACCTACTAAAAGATCAGGAGTAATGAAATGTTCTCTTAAAATACAAGTCAGTGGGAAACTAACTCTGTCAAATTTTCTGGACCATTTCTAATGTCTAAAATAGGGGCATTGAAGCTGGGTGTGGTGGCTCATGCCTATAATCCCAGCACTTTGGGAGGCCGAGGAGGGTGGATCACTTGAGGTCCGGAGTTTGAGACCAGCCTGGCCAACATGGTGAAACCCCGTCTCTACTAAAAATACAAAACTTAGCCAGGCATAGTGGCATGTGCCTGTAATCCCAGCTACTTGGGAGGTTGAGGCAAGAAAATTGCTTGAACCAGGGAGGCAGAGGTTGCAGTGTGAGATCGCGCAGAGTGAGACACAGTCTCAAAAATCAATCAATAAATAAATTAATAAAATAAAATAAAATAGGGGTGTCACCAGCAGGCTCTAAAGCAGTGGTTTTCAAAGTGTGGTCTTCTGGACAGCTGCATATATCAGGCTCCACCCAGAGTTATGCAATCAGAAATTCTGGGGGTGGGGTCCAGGTATTTTTGTTTTAACAGCCCTCTGGGTGATTTGATGTGTACTCATTTGAGCATCACAGCCCTAATGGAGAGGAATGGAAGCAACTCACAAACATGCCTGTGGCAATCCTTGGGGACCCAACCCTCCCATTTCACACCCACTTCTGTCTCTCCATCCTCCCTCCTCACACTTATAGATTGTCTTTCTCTTCTTCAAAACTGATCACAAGCCAGTTTGGAGCATCAATTTCTGCATCAAGTTTTTTTGGATACAAGTGGATTTGTTAAGAGTTGTGGGCACATCAGGTGTCTCTGCTATTTTCTTTCCAAGCCCATGGCTTTATGGCACTGTTCTGCCTGTGTCACTGAATCACAATGCATTGTCACAATAAGCTCTACTTTGAGTATTCATCCTATAAATACTTCATATGGCTTGTTTCTTTTACCCCTCATAACAATGTGGTTTGATATCTGGTTTGACATCTGTCAAAAGAGGATGATACTTATGTGGTAGGTGTCATTATCATCCCTTTTGATATATGGGTAAACTGAGGTGCAAAAAGGAAAAGAGTATCTGAAACCACAGAGCTAGTAAGCAGCCCAGCTTGGGCTTTAGCTCATGTAGTCTGAATCCAAGGCCAGTTCTCCTGCCCACCAGGCTATGTGGCCTCCTGAAGATGGGATCATTCGCATTCTTACTAATGAATTAGGAAGAACAGTAAATTTATAATATGAGAACATACACACAAGTCCTGACCCTGTGACTGACCAGGTATATGCCTTGGGCAGAGGCCTTCAGATCTTAACACTCGGTTCTTCCATCTATAAACTGGGGATACTAAATTCTGCCCGGCTTTCCCTCCAGAGTTGCTTACAGGAGCATCAACGGTGATGTGCTGGAAGATACCTTACAAACTGGAGAATGCCTGGTAACTGTAAGTGATTATTATTCTCATGAGATGCCCAAGACTGAGATTGGCTGGTCCTCTGGGTGAAGGTAACATACACGTAGCTAGTGACAATAATTGCTTCCACTTCCTATGGTCACACCCACCAGCATTCCCCGAGCTGCATCCCACCAGACTGCTCCCCTGCTCCTCAAAACTAGAATTGTTTAATGAGGTGGCTAATTTTCCTGGGGTGAGTCTGAAGGTCAGGTGCTACATTTTTCACTTGCAAAAGACAAATCAAGGAGACTGGTGGACTTCAAGTGCAGTGTGATTCAGGCTCCAACAGTATCAGCAGAATTCGTCTTGATTCTGTTTCCCATAGGTTGACTCCATTCTCAAGCATCTGTGTGTATTATTCCATTCTCATGCTGCTGATAAAGACATACCTGAGACTGAGTAATTTATAAAGAAAAAGAGGTTTAATGGACTCACAGTTCCACATGACTGGGGAGGCCTCACAATCATGGTAGAAGGTGAAGGAGGAACAAAGGCATGTCTTACATGGCAGCAGGCAAGAGAGCATGTGCAGGGAACTGCCCTTTATAAAACCATCAGATCTTGTGAGACTTATTCACTGTCATGAGAACAGCACAGGAAAGACTCGCCCCCATGATTCAATTGCCTCCCACCAGGTCCCTCCCACAACACATGTGGATTATGGAAGCTACAATTCAAGATGAGATGTGAGTGGGGACACAGCCAAATCATATCACTGCAGTAGTTTCAGGCTCATATATTCCCAGTGCCACTTCAGAGAAAAAGAGGCCCTCTCTCTGATACCTCAAACAAAGGCCCCAGGGTTGAGTCAGCTTGGTTCTCTGATTGGCCCAGCTTGAGTCATGTGCCCATCCCTAAACCAAACTCCATGGCAAGAAGGATGGAAAGAGTTGATTGGCTTATCCTTGGTCACAGGCCCCTCCCATGGAATTCTGAAGCATATGAACCAAAAGTAAAGGAGGATGAGACTCCCCAGAGCAAAATCAGGGTGGTTTTTGCCTCAAGAAGAACGTATAGAAAATAAAAAAAGAATTGCAAATGATTTTTTTGCCAACTTTTTAGGGAGCAAAAATTGCAAAAAAATTGCCAGAGCCTCTGTGGCCTGGCTCCAGTCCCTCCGCATTCATCACTGAGGGCAGGTGACTTAAGCCTGCAGAGGCAGTGCATGCTTCTTCCTTCAGCAGCTCTCAGAGGCCAGCGGGGGCCCCACAGTAGCGCAACGCTAGATAGGGGCGGATGTGTTTCCTGGCCTTTCTGGAAGGTGGCATCGAGCAAGATAAACAGAGTCTGCTTTTCCTTATTGCTCTGTCATTGTAATCCAGAAACAAACACACCCTCAGATGCCCTGTCAGTATCTTACCAAAGCCACTATAAGTTACTTTATCTCCTCCTTGGGATTTCCTGCTTCTTTTGCTGAGCTCCGTGTGTGCGTGTCTGTGTGTGTTTGTGTGTGTGTGTGTTTTCTCTTGAGGCATCACGATTCAGCAGCATTTTTCAAAGTGTAAGAAGTGTGAACTACAACACTACACAGGATAATTTCAGGTGACACATGATACTTTTTTAGTAGTTGGTATCTATTTTAAAATGTACTAAAAAAAATTTACTGGTGTTAAAATAATAGCTAGCATTTATTGAGTGCTTCCTATATTCCAGGTCCTGTTAAAGGACTTTCTGTACACTGATTTACTCCATCCTCACAACTCTATGAAGAAGGTACTCTTCCTAGCCTCATTGTACAGATTAAGAACAGAGGCACAGGGAGATCAAGTAACTTGCTCAAAGTCACAAAGCTAATAAATAGTGGAACCAGAACTCCATCCCAGGCAGTCAGCCAGTCTGGCTCCAGAGCCACCCTTTATTTTTTTTAGAGACAGTATATCACACTGACGCCCAGGCTGGGGTGCAGTGGTACAATCATAGCTCACTGCAAGCTTGAACTCCTGGGCTCAAGTGATCATCCTATTTCAGCCTCCCAGGTAGCTGGGATTATGGACACGCACCACCCCACCCAGCTAATTTTTTAGTTTTTTGTAAAGACAAAGTCTTGCTATATTGTCCAGGCTGGTCTCAAATTCCTGGACTTATGGGATCCTTCCCCCTTGGCCTCCCAAAAGAGCTGGGACTACAGGTGTGGGCCACCGTGTCTGGGCTGAGAGCCAAGCTTTTAACCACTATGACAAACCTGTGATTTCACAGCTATCATGATAGTGATATCAAGTACCCCTTTCCAGTTAAATTAAAATATAGGAAGTCAATTTATAGGAAATATTAAATAAACATTGGAAAAGGAGATATGGGGATGTGTTAAAATGTTTCTAGGTGGTAAAAAGCATTTGGGAAACCCCAAAATACTTCATGGAAGTCATTATTAAGCCGAACTCCATGGATTCCTAGTGGGTGCAGAAGTGGCCTTCGGGGGAGCCTGGGAACCCCATTATCATGCATAATTTTGTATGTATATGCGCATTTTTCTTAGGAGAGGGCACATTGCTTTCATCTGTCTCAAAGGAGTTTCTGACCAGAGCTGTTGCTAATCTATATAACACCTTTGAGAAAAAGGTGCTCCCTTGGGGAGAATGAATTAGAAAAAGATGCCACATCTTCCTCTAGGATGACATGACCCTGAGCCAAGACACACAGCTCAGCGAGCAGTGCAAGGCCTGGTTTCAGTCCCTCCTTGCCCTCATCATAAGCCCTTGTGATGGGCAGAAATTTCATGGTCATTACTGTGGAACTCCTCTTGACCAAAAACAGATTGAAAAGCACTGCTGAATCCAAAGATAGCCAGGAATTTTCAGAGGGGAACATGAAGGCACTTGGGTATCACAGGATCCTGTCAGAAACTGGAATGATGTCTGGAAGGGGATCAGGGCTGAAGAGTGTGGTCTTTAGGGTTGGATTTTAACACCATGGACTTACTGTGTCACTTAAGGTAAGTCCCCTGCCCAAACTGAGCTGCAGCCCAGATGAGAATCTGTAAGGTGAGGACAGCGTCTTCTATTTCTTCTGTTTGCTCATGGGGGAATCACTGGGTTCTAATGAGATCTGATAACATGAGGAAACAGGATGCCCTCAAACTTTAAAGGAGGATACATTGGTCAGGGTCTGATTTGGAAAATGGGGCCCATTCCAGAGACTCTAATCAATGGAATTGAATGCAGAAAATTAGATACAAAAGTGGTGGAGAACTGCAGAGCCAAATAGAGGGGGCAGAGGCAACTCAAAGCTGGTGGCAGCAGTGCTGGAAGGCCAATGGTAGTGTTACCAGAGTCCACGGCCTGGAGGCAGAGGTTGCCTAGCCCCCAAGCTGGAGCCACAGAGCCCAGTGGAGAAGCCATCCAAAGCAAGAGGGGGTGGGGTGGGAGAGAAATGCCCAGGCTCTTCACTTTCTCCTGTCCTCCAGCCTCCCCACATTCCCTCTCCCTTCTCCCCACAGTTGGCCCACCCCATCCAGAAGTCAGTTGGCAAGGGAACCTGGAAAATGTAATTTTCCAGAGAAGGACAGGAAATGAAGCAGGCACATGGCCAGCATGCCCTGCTTGAACATCTTGAACCAGGGATATGATTTTAGTTGCCTAACTACACATGGAACTAAATTCCTAGTGGTTGAAGTTGATGATACAAAGCAGCTGGTTAGAGTAAGTCTCACAGCAATCAGTCTTCTTTCAACAAATACTGACTGAAAGGCCTACTGTGTGCGTGGCACCACCCTAAGCTCTGAAGCCTACAAACACCTTGTTCCTGCTGCCCTGCAGGACATAGTAGGCTGCCTTCTAACATGACTCTCAAAGATCCCCACTTCCTGGTGTTCCTGCTCTTCTGGAAACCCTTCCCCCTTCAGCATCGGCCATACCTGGTAACTTGCATGTAACAAATGGAATATGCAAAAGTGATGGGACATCACTCATGCCTAGGTTATAAAAGACTGTGATTTCCATCTCTCACATGCTCTCTGATTCTTCTCTCTTGCTCTGATGAAGCCAGCTGCTCTGTTGTGAGCTGCCCTACGGAGAGAACTACTTGCCAGGGAACTGAGGGTAGCCTACACCTGACAGTCTACAAGGAACTGAATCCTGACATTACCACACCAGGGAGTGTGGAAGTGGATTCTCCCCAAGTTGAGCCTTCAGATGACTGCATCACAGCCAGGACCTTCACTGCAGCCTTTGAGAGGCCTTGAGACAGAGCACCCAGTTAAGCCATGCCAAGATTCCTGACACTCCGAAACTGTGAGATGATGAATGTTTGTTGTCTTAAGCCACTAAGTGTGGGAATAATGTGTTATGTAGCAATCAATAACAAATACACCAGATCATGCCAATAAGATGCAGTAGACATTGATGAGTGCCTATGGACAAGAAAAGTAAATAACTGACATTAACATTTCACCCTATACTTTCCAGAGCACTTTAACAGATCTGCTCATTTCAGTCTCATATTCAGTACTATTGACCTTCCACAGGGTATGGGGATAATATCCCCATTTCTCAGATAAAGAGAAGAAGCTCAGAGAAGTTGAGTGATATTCCAGAGAGGTTAAGTGACACCACTAGTAAGTATGAGGCTAGGAAATTCGGGTCTGTCTGACACCCAGTCTTTCCAAGCAAGTGTTCTTTCCGTTAAATAATATCACCTGAAAGTGCTACTGTGAACCATGGTTGAACTGACAGCTTAGACTTAGGGAAAGCAAAGTCAGAGCACCAAAAGAAAAGATTTCTAAAATGTCAATACTTCAGAAATGCATTGAGTCCTAAAACAATGAAGGAAAGGGTAGTCTTTTCAGGAAATGGTGCTGAAACAAGTGGGTATCCACAGACAAAAGGATGAAGTTGTACCTTCCTTACACCATTCCAAAAAAAAAAAAATTTAACTCAAAATGGATTGTAGACCTAAATGTAAGCACTAAAACTATGAAACTCTTAGATGAAATCATAGGAGAAAATCTCCATGACCTTAAATTAGACAGTGGTTTGTGTCTTAGCTATGACACCAAAAATACAAGCAGCAGCAACAACAAAAATAGATAAACCTGACACATCAAAATCAAAAGCTTTTGTGCTAAAAATAATACCATCAAGAAAGTAAAAATGGCATTCACAGATGGGAAATATTTGAAGATTGTACATCTGATAAAGGACTAGTATCCAGAATATATAAAGAATTCTAGCAACTCAAAAGTTAGAAGAAAATCTAATTTTTCAAATGGGCAAAGGATTTAAATAGACACTTCTCTAAAGAAGATATGCAAATGGCCAATGAACACATGAAAAAATGCTCAAAATTATTAGCCATTAGAGAAATGCAAATTGAAACCACAGTGAGATGGCACTTTACCCCACCCCCACTAGGAGGCCTAAAAAGATAGGCAATAACAAGGATGTGAAGAACTCTGAACCCTCATACACTGTTAGCTGTAAGGTAAAATGGTGAAACCACTCTGGAAAACAGTTAAGCACTTTCTCGAACATTAAACACAGATTTATCATAAGACCCAGAAATTATTCTAGGTATATACTGACAAAAAATAAAAACATGTTCACAAAAAAACTTGTACGGGAATATTCATAGCATCATTATTCATAATAGCCAAAAGGCAAAAACAACACAAATGTTCATCAACTGATAAATGGGTAAATAGAATGTGAAATATATATACAATAGAATATTATTTCTCAATAAAAAGGAATGGAGGGCTTATACATGCTACAACATGAATGAACTCTGAAAATACTGTACTAAATGAAAAGTCAAAAAAAAAGACCACATATTGTATGATTCCATTTATATAAAGTGTCCAGAAGAGACAAATCTATAGAGACACAAAGTCAATGAATTGCTGCTAGGAGAAGAGAATGAGAGTAATTGTTAATGGATGTGAGCTTTCTTTTTGGGGCGATAAAAGTGTTCTAAACTTAGTGATAATGATTGTGCAAAGCTGTAAATATACAAAAACCATTGATTCTTATGGTTTAAAAAGGTAAATTTTGAGGTATGTGAATTATATCTCAAAGCTTTTTTAATGCATTGAGAGAACTGTACATTTAAAAATGAATAAGATGGTAAATTTTATGTTGTATGTATTTTACCACAATAAAAAATTAATTGAGATAGATAGATAGATGGATAGATACACAGACAGACAGATAGATAGATAGATAGATAGATAGATAGATAGATAGATAGATAGATAGATAAAGGTAGATACTTTCCTCCTCTAAGAAGTAGATCTTAAATCTCTTTCCCTTGAGTATGGGCTGGACTTAGTGACTCCTTCCAAAGAATAAAGTATGAAAAGGAAAAGTATTAACCTTACAGTGGAGAAACCTAGCAAATACTACCTTAAGCAAGTGGTGAAGGTTAGCATCACCAATGACAAATCATGGTGATATCATAAACTCCTGATATGAAGTGATGAGAAGGGCATCTCACCTCTGTAATATTCCCCCTCTCCCTAGACAAACCATAACTCCAGTCTAAACATCAGACAAACCCACAGGAAATTCTGCAAAATACCTGACCAGTATTCCTCAAAATTGTCAAGGTCACACAAAACATGAGAAGTCTGAGAAACTGTTATAGATTGGAGGCATAAGAGACATGACAATTAAATGTACTGCAAAAATTTGTATTCTACATTAGTGGGGAAACAGTGAAATGCTAATAAAGTCTGGAGGTTAGTTAATAGTAACTGTAGCAATGTTAGTTTCTTAGATGTAACAAATGTCTCATGGTTCTGTAAAATGTTAACATTAGGGGAAGCTGGATGAAGGGCATACAGGAACTCTCTGTACTATCTTTGTAAGTTTTCTGTAAATTTAAAATTATTTCAAAATAAATAAATTTAAATTTAATTTTATTTTAGATTCAGGGATTACATGTGCATGTTTGTTATGTGGGTATATTTTGTAGTGGTGGGGATTGGGCTTTTAGTATACCCATTAACCAAATAGTAAACATTGTACCTGATAAGTAACTCTTCAACCCTGACCCTCCTCTGACTCTCCCCACTTTTGAAGTGAAAATGAAAAGTTTGCTTAATGAGTAAAAACCATAACTTTGTTAAACTTCTGTATACTTAGTTCATAGTTTAACACATACATAGAGAATGTATGACATGTATGTGTGTAATATATGAAGTAGGAATGCATATATAATTGTTTCAGTTTTAGTAACATGTAGTGATAAGGGGCCTTCTTTTTGGACCTCAGGGGTAAGAAGTTGAGTTAATTTTATTCTCTGTTCATGATACCTTGCCATCATTGGTCTGGGCAAGACCTCCTTCACTGTACATGTTTGGTTATCTGATTATTCCCATTAACTCCCATTTCCCTCCTCCCCCATAGGCAACTCTTCTAATGTGTATCTTCATGATTGTTGCATGTATCCTTACAAAATCTGTATTTTTTGTTTGCATGAATATTTAGTCTACATAAGTGGCATCGAGTTACCTATCTCATTATATTTCTTACTTTTTTAACCTAATACCATGCATTGAAGCTCTAGCCCCAATGCTGTCCATACACCTAGTCTGTTGCTTCTATCTGCTTCACAGTTCTCCATGGTGAATGTTTTCAGTTTTCCCAGTGGTAAATCCCTGGACTTTCTCCAAGTTCCCACCACCAGAAAGTAGAACACAATGAATTTCCTCTTGATAGCCCTTCACCATGGACTTGCGTGGGAATTTCCTTGGGGCATATACACAGGGGCAGAATGACTGAGGCTTGATTATACATATGCTAAAGTTGACCAAGTGCTGCCATATTGCTTTCAGAATTATCTTACATCATAGAAGGAAGTTTCTCTACAGCCCAGTCCTCTCAGCATCATGTTTTCAATGCTTAGTGCCTCAATACACCTGGGTATGATTTAAGGAGTGACATGGATGAAAATAGGAAACAGCATCCTAATATTTGCTAAGATTCATTGAGCAGCACTAGCTTTGGACCAAGTATTGTTCTAAGCTTTATATGGGGGGGTAAAATTAGTTCTTGCAACATCCTTTTTGGTAAGTACTATTATTATCTCCATTTTACCCATGAAAGAATGAAGTCGCCGGGTAGTAACATGACGTAGCTGGATTCATTCAGCTGTAACCATAATGTTCTATGGTTCTGGACAGCCTGGCTCTGCTCTCCCATCTCAATCCAGAGCCAGCCCAGACTTCATGAATCTTCCCTCCCAGCCAGGCTACATGGGCTTGGGGCCTCTGAGCAGCACTTAAATTAATTCTGAGGTTTATTTAAAACATAAACCATGCTCAGAATAACATTAGCAATTCAGCTCTTCCAAGGCACCTTTTCTGCCCAAAAGGGGTAACATACCGGATTCTGGAGTGGTCAGAAAGTTGTTCTGAGGTCTCTGAGACAGGTGGACTCACTGTTGACCCCAATTTATAATGCTAAGAAGCGGAGCACAGAAAAAGGTTGCTGGAGAAATAGTAGGGGCGGGAATACTGCCCATGCTGGCGCCGGCTGCACCACGTGCCAATCAATAGTGCTTTATTAGGAGACATAA
Source organism: Homo sapiens (assembly GCF_000001405.40). Classification (NCBI taxonomy): domain Eukaryota; kingdom Metazoa; phylum Chordata; class Mammalia; order Primates; family Hominidae; genus Homo; species Homo sapiens. The sequence continues at coordinate 55,255,953 of NC_000016.10, forward strand.
TCAATGTGCAGCAGGCAGACCCAGCCAATTAGGCTTATCGGCTGACAGAGAGGAGCAGGAAGTCTTCCTTTCCTCCTGGTTGTTTTCCTGCTCCATGGAAGAAGTCAGTTCCCGTTTTTTTATCTCTGGGTTCCCACCACGCCATCTCAGTGGGGAGGGAGTTCTGACAGAAAGCAGGTTTAAGCTATCTCAGTCCCCTTGAGCCCAGGGTCAGACCAGCCAGCCCTTAAGGCCAGCTTGCAATAGGAGGCAAAAAAAAAAAAAAAAAATCAGAAACACAATCTATGGGCTTCTTGGCAAAGAAGAAATACCAATTAGGCCTGACCTGGTCATTCTCTCTTTCCTCTTTATCCCCCTCATCCTCCCTACAGGCTTGAGAAATTTCTCACTGGGCTCCTTAAGTGTCTCCTGGGCAGACAGAGGTGGGGGCGGGGAGAACGCACCCCAGTTGGGGCACTTCGAAATATCAGTTTCACAGCAAAAAGGCAGCCCTTTAACATTTAACTGAGACTGATTGTACGCTGGAAAATAGTGTATTTATCAACTGCATCTGTCTTTGCCGCTGCTTTCTCCTTCCAAAAAGATAAATTACTGCAGCAGATAAGGATCCAGCTTTCAGGGCGATCAAATGAACGCCAGGAGTCCTCAAGATAGGAACGGTTTATGAAACCCGGCTCCTGCCCACTTGAGTGAGCCAACTAAGAGGGTGCCAAGAATGTAATGGCCACATGGGTTATTGGCCTTTCCTCCCTGCCGTGGTACATTACACGGGGGTAAGAGAATTTGCTTTTAAAGTATCTTTTGCAGTCTCTTCTAATAAATCACTGAGCAATCCCTGGTGCTTGTTGTGGTCGGTGGTGGTGATCCATGGTGAAACGACAGGCGGGTTTCAGGGCCGGATTTTCCACCAGTGCAGCCTGCGCGTGGTAGGTGAGTGGCAAATGCAGCAAAACAAGATGGTGGCCTCCAAGCAATGAGAGATCGAGAGACACTGCCGCATGCAAGTATCGGGATCTCCTTGACCTTGGCTGGGACTTCACGGGAGGTTTCCGGAGCAGCCCCATGGACTCCCCAGCTTATGATTTAGAACCAGTTGAGCATTTCAGTTAGCAAATTGTATTTAATGCTGTGTAACCTCAGGGCTCTTAATGTAAGATTTGTAGATGCAGAATTCAGAGCTTTAAGAAAGCTTGCCCAACCTCTGGGAAACCAAGAGGGATTTTCAGTCTCTGTAGAGTATTACCTGCCTGTGCATAGGGAAGATGCATAGGAAATGTCTTAAGGGTTCAAGTGTCTATTGTGTCCCTTAGGCGGCTCTACCTTAGTTAAGTGCTAGCTCTTGTCAGTCACGATTGTGTGATATTTGTCGTAAATGTTCTTTATTATTATTATTATTGCTGTTATTATTATTTAGGTCATTTAATTACTCTTAATCTGACCTTGTCTCCCTGTGTAAATATCCCCCTTCTTCCTTGCCATGTGTCTCTGTGCAGATTTGTAGGCAGTTATCAAATCAATCCCTTCTCCGCACCCCACCCCATGCCAATCACCACCTAACCAAACTACATACATATATATTTAGCTCTTTTAATCTTTTTTCTCATAAGGTTCTAATTTTACATTTTCTGGGGTATTTTAGATTTGGCAGAATGGCCTTCGTCTGTGAAGAGTAGAACTTAATTATCAAAAGCTGAGCCGGAGTGAGCTATCCATCACTGGGTGACATATCCTTGCCTGTGTTCATTTGAAAAACATTTTTTTTGTAGCTCTTGGAAGAAGAAAAAAAACAAAGCTGCCAGAAGGAAAAAAGAAAAAAAGGAAGGAAAAGAGAAAAAAGGAAGAAAAAGAAAAAGAAGAAAAAACTTCATTCTGACATTCATCATCCCGCAACACAACCACATAACATATCAAAATATCACAACGTGAGGTATCAAGTGTTGAGAAGGCTCATTTGATTTCTCTCTTGCTTTTCTTTTCTTTTTCTTCTCTTTTTTATTTTGTTGAAAACTGAATCTAGCATGTGAAAGTTAGTCCTGTAAAATGCCTCCTACAGTAAACATCATCTTTTTGACAAGGTTTGCATTATAATTAAGGCCTGTCTGAGTAGCTACGCAACTGCGTGTTGCACTGTTTTCTTTAAGAGACGGGGTTTTTTAACAGCCAGATAAATGCTCAGCGTGGCCCAGCCCAGTGGGACAGCGACACCCTGTGGCCGTGTCTGCTCATGGACCCAGGGTGGGGCCACACAAGGCTTGGCTGGAGGAAGGCCTGTTCAGAAGGGTTCCCAGGGTGAATTCTGGTATTATATTGCCATGTGAATGCTGACAAGATTCGCCAAGAGGGGGCCAGTTTTGAGGCAGAGGAGCCTGTCCTGTGTGATTTAAATGAGATACAGAAGACAAAAGTACCTGGCAGAGGGCCCCACCACAGCAGGCTCTTACCCTGTGCCATACCCCAAATTGCCAGATGCAGAATGAGAGGCCAACTCTTTTCTGACAGGTCCGATTCAATGACACACTAACTCCAAAAGGCTGCCCCTGGAATCTTACCAGAAAGCAACCCTAAACCCCATGTCAGGAACTTCTATCAGCGATCAACAAGACTGGTGACAAATCCACTCAGTCATCCAGAGGCTTCCAAAAGCCTTTGAATAATGAATTCAAATATTTCATCCTTGAGAGGAACGATGGTTTTTGTCAGTTGATTTGTATTCCAGCCATTTATTTAAATAACCAACCGATAAAATACACGTTTTCATAGTAAATAAAATCTGCAGATCCTCACCCCATAATTGGTTAGTCCATCAGCACTTTTATCCATTATATATGGACTTAAATGCAACAAGATGAGGTGGCGTGCTCCCTCCTCTGCAGGAGGACGGCAAATGTTTACAACGGTGGTTGCAGTTTCAGCTAATATTTTCCGGAAACATATATTTGTCATCTCTCTTCTCTAAGTTATTCCAGGTTTCTTCAAAACACATGAATTGAGATCGCTTTGTCCAAATTTATTTATTTTTTCTCTTTTAGTTTGTTGTACTTACCGGGCATAACCAAAAAAGACATTCCCTCTGGCATGCCAAGGCCTGGCGGGTCCTCAACGGCCAATGGCTATTTCCACTCTTTGTTGATTGAGTCCTGGCGCCGTACCCTGAATGCCAGATGCAGAATGAGAGGTCAACTCTTCTCTGGTGGGTTCAAGTCAATGACAAACTAACTCCAAAAGACTGCCCTGGAGTTAACAAACACTCAGAGAAAATACGCAATGAAAATCATCAATTTACCAGGTGGAAAAACAGCCGCCTCCAGAGGCTAAGCCAGGCCAAGCCAGACCAGGATTACTTCCTATGTCTACCCTGTTGAGTGCCTTTATTTATTTATTTATTTATTTATTTTATTTTATTTTATTTTTTTTTTGAGACAAATTCTCACTCTGTCACCCAGGCTGGAATGCAGTGGCACAGTCTTGGCTCACCACAACCTCCGCCTCCCAGGTTCAAGCGATTCTCATGCCTCAGCCTCCCAAGTAGCTGGAACTACAGGCATAAGCCACCACACCCGACTAATCTTTGTATTTTTTAGTAGAGACAAGGTTTTGCCATGTTGGCCAGGCTGATCTCGAACTCCTGGTCTCAAGTGATCTGCCTGCCTCGGCCTCTCAAAGCGCTGGGATTACAGGCGTGAGCCACTGCACCCGGCCTGTTGAGTGTCTTTTACACAGAACACACCAGTTGGTGTTTAAGGGACATCTCTCAAATCCTAAGGCATAAGAAGAGAAAAAAGAGGCCAATGAGAAAAAAATGACGATTATGGTCAAAATACCTAACATTTATTGAGCATTTACTTTCTGCCAGCTACTGTTTAGGCACTTTAAGTTCATTAACTCATTTAATTTTCACAAGAACTCTACAAGGTGGCACTGCTATCATCACTGATGTAAAGATCAGAAAACTGAGACACGAAAGGATTAATTTTTTAGCTGCAGGTCACCGGCTTACTCGGGAGCAGTGGTGGGTTCCTATTCTGAGAGGACTCCAGTGACTAACTGCAAGGTGGCGATGCTGCAGATAATCAACACATGAAATAAACATTTTAGTAGTAAATAAAGCCTGCAGATCCTCATCCCGTAATTTGTTAGTCCATCACCACTTTTGTCCATTACATATGGACACAAACGTAGCAATCTGGAGATCAAATCCATTTTAAAGGTGGGGAGACTGGGAGCCAGGGTGTGGATGTTGGGTGTCCACCGTCACACCAGGTAGCAATGAAGTACCAGGGCCCAGCTTGGCTAATTTTCATGATACTGCACTTGATGTTGCGTGTCAGCCACCCAGGTGCCTGCCAGATGGCATCCACGTTGTGGTACCTTCACCTTGACAGCAAATATGTAAATCTCTGCTCTCAGCCTTGCAGAATCACCATCATTAGAGCCTCAGGAGGGTTTCAAGTCCATTCTTCTTTCCTTTTCTCTGGATCTCATTGTCACCATCAAAGAAAAATAATTACCATGTTAGAGAACAACTCTTTGTTACATGATACAAAAATAGGGCCTCAGGGCACAGTGAGCAAGTGAAAGATGAGAGTGCTCAGTTTTGAGATAAAGCAAATGGGAGGATGTCCACTTGGGACTGATTCAAGAAGGGCCTGGAGATGGTGGCCCTGATTGCACGGATATCCTAAATTCCCTTCTCGCCCCATTAATTCACCTCCACACAATGTCTGACCCCAGATGCATCTCTTCCAATCCCACAGGGCACATAGTGTTTGTCCTACTGTCTTCCCTTCTCACAGTCTCTCTCCTCCTTCAGCTCTCTCCACCATGATGGCATTAGTCTACACTACAATTGCTGCCCACCAGGTCTTTCCAAAGCAATTCAGACCTTTCCATCCCCTGCTCCAAAGCTTTCAATAGTCCCTCACTGCTTATAGAACAAAGTCCTAGGTCCTAAACCTAAGCCCAACTTTTCACTCTTTTTCAACCCCCTCCAAGTCCCCTATGCTCCAGCCAAAGCTAACACAAATTGTCCTGCCTTTGAGCTTTGCTCATGCTTTTCCATCTACCTGCAGGGTTGTTGCACTGCACAACTCCAGGAGGCTCATCTCCATCAGAGGCAATGTGACTAGCACCCAGTGGGGTTGGTCAGTATACAACCTGCACAACTATACCTGGCCACCTGGCCATCTGGATCTTATATCCCACCACACCCATGTCCCTCCATCTAAAGCAAGGTTGTCCAACATGTGGCCTCTAGGCCACATGTGGCCCAGGATGGCTTTGAATATGGCCCAACACAATTTCATAACCTTTCTTAAAACATTATGAGATTTTTTTGCAATTATTTTTAGCTCATCAACTATCATTAATGTCAGTGTATTTTATGTGTTGCCCAAGACAATTCTTCTTCTTCCAATGTGGCCCAGGAAAGCCAAAAGATTGGACACCCCTGAACTAAAGCAAGATTTCTTTAGAGCAGCACTGTTGACATTTTAGAACAGATCATTCTTTGTTATGAAGACATGTCCCGTGCATTGGAGAATGTTTAGCTGCATCGCTGACTTTTTCTCCTCCTAGTTGTGACAACCAGAAATGTCTCCAGGCATTGCCAAAGGTCCCATAGGAGGCAAAATCATCTCTGGTTGAAAGCTGCTGCTCTAAGTCCTACCCGAATTTGAAACTTCACCCTCAAAGCCACCTATTCCACTGACCTGAGAGTGCACTCACTTTCCAGGGAGTATCCCCAGAACTGTGCCCACTCCTCCTCCATTGAAGCACTGAGTTTTTTCTACTTCAAATTATGCAGATATATATGTATGTGTGTCTGTGTATAAATACATATACGTATGTGCAAGTGTACATATGTATGTGTGTATATAAGTATGTATACATATATTTATGTGCATGTGTATATATGTGTGTATGCAAGTGTGTATATATGTACATATGTGCGTATATATCTCTAAGTGTGTGTGTGTATATATACTTATGTGTATGTGTATATAGGTGTGTGTATATATCTAAGTATGTATTTATATATTTATATGCATGTGTATTTGTGTGTACAAATGTGTATATATGTGCATGTGTACATATGTTTGTACATATATAAGTATGTATATATATTTATGTGCATGTGTATATGTGTTTGTGTGTATATAAGTAAGCATATATATATTTTTGTGCATGTATATCTAAATATGTATATGTGAGTGTGTGCATATATGTGTGTACATATAAGTATTTATAATTTATGTGCATGTGTACATGTGTGTGTACAAATGTGTATATATGTGCATGTGTATATATGTGTTTATGTCTAAAGTATATGTTTATATGTATGTGTATATATGTATATGTGTATATATAAATATGTATAATTACATGTATGTGTATATACGTATGTGTGTTTATATATCTAAGTATGTATATTTGCATTGTATATATGTATATGCGCATATATATGTGTATATATTTACATGTATGTGTATATATGTTTGGGGGCATGTATCTAAGTATGTATATATGTGCATGTGAATGTATGTATATGTGTGTATATAAGTATGTATATATTTACATGTATGTGTATATATGTATGCGTGTATATCTAAGTATGTATATTTCTATTACATGCATGTGTTTGTATCATGTATGTGTATATTTATCTAAAGATGTATATCTTTATGTACATGTGTATATATGTGTGTATGTGTGTGTGTGCATGTGTGTGTGTGTATATCCCTTACCAGAATGTAATCTCTTTGGGGGCATGCTTTTTAATCGCATATCCCTCAAGGACTTACATATAGTAGAAGCTCAACAAACATTTATCAAGTGACTGGGGGCAGTGAACCAAACAGCTTGCTGTGCCTCCCTCCCAGTAGGAAAACAAGTTTCAAACCTGCCTTGTGACGGCTGCCGTACCAGTCACATAGAAGTACAGCCTGTTGCTCAGATGCAATAGAAACTTAATATTTTACCTGAAACCCTGATTTATGTGTAACCACTCTTCTCCTTGTGAAAAGAGAGCTTGTTTTAGCAAATGGGTCCAGATTTAGTCCATTAGCTTAAGATAAGTGAAAAACTCTAGGGTTTGGTGAAATCATGCAATAAAATATCATTAAGCACTACAGCTTGTCAAGGCAGACGGCAGGTTTGAGTTGAAAGTCAGGAGACCGTCTGAAGTCTGAAGTGAAGCAAAATGCACAATGGATGAGATGGGGGCAGCTGGCTTTCATTTGGGGAGGTCGTCAGAGGACTCTCGAGGCTGTGATGTAAATGAACAACAGAGGCCCTGACAATTTAACTGTCATCGGTGCAAATGCTGGGACTGGCACGGCCACAAGCTCTGGCCTTCACTCCATCTGGGCAGCTCCTGGCCTGCATTATAGGATGGGACCCCAGGGCTGGAAGATGAAAGAGCTGAGTCCGGCTTCTGGAAGCCCAAAAGATCCTGCTGGCGTGCCCGGCTGAGGACTCATGGGCAGCTGGTATCCAAGCGACAAGGGCCACTACCACTTCTGGTGGTCCCTGGGTGTAAGATCCAAATCCCCACATAGGCTGAATGAACTCCATTCCCTGCTGCATCCGGCTTTGGGAACCATGGGCAGCCACTGAACTCTCCCTCTTCTCCTTCCTCTCTCCGTCTCTGTTTATCTCTCCATCTCTCCTACCCTATCTCTCTGTGCTCCTATTTCACTCACTATATGTGTGTCTCTCTCTCCCTCTGTATGGCTGTCTCTGCATTTGTGTGTGTCTGTCCGTCTCTGCATTTGTGTGTGTCTGTCCATATATGTGTCTGTCTCTGTCACACCTTCTCTGTGTCTTTGTCTCTCTGTGTGTTCCTCTTTTTCTGTCTCTCTTCAACTTTAGCTCTTTCTTCTCTGTCTTCTCACTCCTTGTCTCTTCCTCTTCCCTATTTTCCTTTCTTTGTCTCTGTTTCCTATCTGCTTCTCTGTCTGCCTTCCTTAGTCTCATACTTCTGCATGCTCTCTCTCTCTTTCTCTCCTCTGTCTCTGTCTCATCTCTGTCTCTCTCTTGCTCTAAGAGAATCAACCTAAAATAGACTGTTTTCCTGGAACCTCCCCAGCCTGTTCCTGGAGATGCCAGCAGCACAGTGGAATTACAATCCAAGCTATGGCTTCATTCCACCTCACTCCTTCACCCTGGGTGTCTTCTCTCTTTACCAGCTGACCATGTGCAGGCAGCAGTTTTAATGCCTTTTTGCTAGAGTCTAGGGTCAAACACGCTCTTGTGTCCTCACTCCTCGCCCTTCACTCCTGGCAGAAAGTGCCAATCTCTCTTTCCCAATGAGGCCCGCAGAGCTTCTTCTGAACAAGCTGCTCCAGACATCTCCAACCAAGCAACCAGAGCAAATGCAGGAGACAGATGGATGTGCCATCCCAGACCTAGAGAGTAAGGGGCTCAAACTCCTTCAGAAGTAGCCCAGCCATGGCCATTGTGGAAAATAACAGTGGCATTCATTGTCGGTGCTTGATATGGTGCTTCGTTTTCTATATAAGGTGCTTCATGTAGTCGTTATAATCCATTATTTCCCCCATTCTCCAAATTGAAGAGGCTCAGAGAGAGAGAAAAAAAAAACTTTCCCAAAGTTGTTTCCTAAAGAGCAAGTCAACTAGTTGGGGTGCAACCCCACAGCTATCTGACTCTGCACACCAAATGAAGCAGTTCTTCCTCTCATTTTGGAAAAAGACTCTATTTTCTTCTATTTATTGAGTGCATACCCCATTTGAGTCCCTGTGCTTAGCACCTTATATGCATCATTTTGTTTCATATGTGTAATTCCATAAGGTAGCTACTATGCCTATCATCTCCCATTGAATAGATGCAAAAACTAAAGACCAGAGAGTTTAATTCATCTGCCCGAGGTCACACAGCCAGTTAAGCAGTAGAGCTAAGGTGATGGGCTGCAAACAAATTAATAGATTCCAACTGGCATACCTAAATTTATATTTCCGCCTCCGCCAAGGTCCCTACCACTGCAAGTAATCCTGAAAATTCGTCATGAAGCTTTCAAAACAATTTATGCAAACAAACCTCAAGTGGGGCTATTTGTATTGGCAGCCCATTTCATTTAACCACCCACAACAAGGAACAGATGGCCAGAGAACTGGAATCTACAGCAAAGAAAACAGGAGGGGCAAGGGCATCCAAAGCTGCCTTCCTTCCCCGATGCCCGCCCAACTGCGTGACGATTACAGGCTTGTTCTTGTTTATGTCTTTGATTCTGTTGTTATTTTATGTACTTGTGAAACCGACCCAGCATTTCATGAGACAAGTTTGTTCAAAGACCATTTGCCAACCATCTTTGGTTACCAGGAGCCTGGCTTTCGACACCAGACTTGGAGGCCTTTCCTCACTGAGCCTTCTGGCAAGGGGGCACGGGAGGAAGGAGAAACAGCCTGAAGATGTTGGATTAGGGATTGCCGAACAGTTCGAGACACACGTGGAGGGAGTCATATTTACCTGCCTGTTTTCCCACCTTTGTTTCAACTGGGTATCTCCCACTCTGCGAGGGGACAAGTCCTGAACTGGAAGGTAAATCCTGGGTTCAAATCTGCCCTCCAGCTGTGTTGACATTAGACACATTGTCTAACTTTTCTGAGGCCCCAGTGAGCTCATGGGTGAGGCTACCCTTGCCTCCTTGGCAGGGCTATTGTGATACTTAAATGACATATGAATGATGCATATATCTGGGTGACTTGTCAATGATATAATGCTATTCAACTCCAATTGTATTAACGTATGATATTTATGTGGCTGGCTCCGTCACAGGCCATTTCATCAACCAATAAATATTATTGAGCATGTATTACTTTTAAGGTACTGTGATGGGTCTGGAAAAGTTCAAAGAGAAATAAGTCATGGTCACTGTCCTGGAGGGAGTTCCTAGACCAGTGGCAAAAGGTATTTTTTTAAAGATTACTGATCTTATAGTGTGTCATTAATACTCTTTCTGCTGAGAGGTGGGGTCTGTTTCTCCTTCTTGAATACTAGACTTAAAGTAGAAGTGGTAATATGTGACATCCAAGACTAAGTCATAATAGACAGTAGAGCTTCTACCTAGTTCTCTTAGGGCATTTGCCTTTGGAGCCCTGAGATGCCATAGTAAGACTTCTGTGGCTGCCATAATGGGAGGAAGCCCAGTCCACATGAAGAGGCCATCTGAACATTTTCCTGTCAGTAGTCGGTGTCAAATGCCAGACACAGGAGTAAAGACATCTCCAGATGATTCCTGTCCCAGCCATCAAGTCACCACCATCCTCGGGTTCTTCCCAGAAAGACCCCAGACATTGTGGCACAGAGACCAGCAATCTCAGCAATCCCTTTTCCCAATTACTGACCCACAAACTCCATAAATGTAATAAAATGATTTCTTGAAGTGCTAATTTTGGGGGTAGGTTGTGTGCAGAAATAGATAACTAGAAAAAAAAGCAAAAGGAGATGTATACACATGAAAAGCTCATTTAAAATACATATTACTATATATCACAGATAGTAATCAAATAGGAGATGAGAGGAGGGGAATGTTTGGGCTGGAGGTCAGGAAATACTGTTTGAGGCAGGAAGGAAAAAGTTGAGCTTTAATTATATGGGTATTATTTGGATTGGGGAGCTCAAGGTGCAGGAGTAAAGTTATTAATAAAAGAACCCATAACTCAATATGTCTGTAATGATTATAGTAATAACAATTACAGTAATAGCTAATGATGTAGGGTGGTGATTTTAAATGCTTACCAATTATTATTTTTCCTTGGTATTTCCTGTTACCCCATGACCCCTTCTTAGCTTTTAGGCAGCTGCACCATGTGGCATCCATTCCCTCTAGAAAAAGATGTGAAAACAAAACTGGTGAAAAGTATTGGTGAGCCAGGAACGCAGGCCTCAAAATCTCCTTGGAAAGGAGCTTATGAGCTGCCGCCCTATTTACTGTCCCTGAGGTTAGATAAATAGCCCCTGGTGGTGAAGGATAATCTGAAGAAATAAAGAGCATTTAGATACCCTGGGGTCTGAGTGAAGGACATTGAAGCTTGACTCACCTATCCCACTTCCAAGCAGATATGTTTAAGGAATTCCAAAGCTGAAGATGCCAGGGTCTCTGTTCCCACAGAAGGAGCAAGACCCCCGACCCAGTATAGCGGAAGAGTAGAAGAAAGAGGGGTAGGTCTGACCAGAGGATACACACAGCCTCACAGGGTCTCGTGTGGTGGCCGAAGACAATGGCTCCCTCTACTTCTATGGGGAGGGTTTCCAACAGCGAAGAGACAAGAGGCAGATGCAGTCTTCTCAGACCTTCTGAGCAGCCCAGCTGCAGCCCAGGGAGCTGACAAATAGAGGAGGCCTTGCTTAGGAAGGAAGGTCACAGTAGTGACCAGTGTAGACAGGTGACCAGAGGCCAGATGAGAACGAGAATGACTTACCAGATGCCAGCAAGCTTACTGATGGCCACCCTTGTCCCCCTAGCACCCTGTTGGCACAAAGCCTATCCCCAGGGAAAGTGGACAACACTAAATTGGCTGGTTTCTAACTCTTGCCTTAAAATAAAGATTGAGCTGTTTAACAAAGCAATGACATTTATGCTCAATGAACTTTGTAAAATACATTTCACTCTGGCTGCATCAACATTTATTGAATATTTACTAAACTGGAAGCACTTTGCTAGGCCCTTTGTATTTTCTAATTCACCCCTTACAACAATCTTATGAAGTGGGTCCTGTCCCCATTTTTTGGAAAGGGGAAATGAGGCCCAGAGATGTTAAGTAGTTTGTCCCAGATCACTCAGCCTCTAAGTGGCATAGCAGAAATTCAAACTCGAGACTGTCTGGCTTCAGAGATTCTGCTCTCATCACCAGCTCCAGAACGCCTCCTCTGGATGTCTGTTGTCCACTTGGAGGCCTAGTTCTATTCAAGCTCCTAAATCAATGTTGTAACTTCTGTTCTAAAATAATCACATGTACCAGGCAGGATAGAGCAGGGAATGCTGCAGTAGCAAATGGCTGAAAATCTCAGTGCCTTAACACAACAAAGACATGGTTTTTGCACACACTGCATATCCACTGCAGGTCCGCTGGAGGGTTATGTCCCTCAAGTTCCTCATTCAGGGATTTGCACAGCTGGAGCTTCTGGAGCATTACAAACTGTGTGGCAGGGGAAAGAAGCAAAGACTAAATTGCACATTGGCTCTTAAAGTTTCTGCCCAGAAGTGACATGTGTCACTTCTGCTCACACCCCATTGGCTGAAGCAAGTCAATGGCTACACTGGCAGGGGGTGAGGAGATGTAGCTCTACCATGCGCTCAGATGGAGGAGAATTTGACTATAGTAGTGATGTTGCTAATGACCAACACATCTGAAAACTCCATTTATCATAAGATTTTGTTTAACAACGGGGAGGATGCAGGACATGGCCTCTGAAGAATCTCAGCCCTCAGCAGTTCAACCAATCAACAAGACCACGATTATTGTGACCTATTGTAAACCTTCTTTATGGTGACTTCTCACAAAGTGTCAGAGCTACTGGGGCAAGTGGGTTATTTAAATGAAGCTGCAGGTGATATTGAAAAGAATTTGCAGTCTTGAGAGGAAAAGAGATTGCAAAGGATTAGCATCTCCTTCCTCCTTCAGGATCACCCTCCACATATTGCAAAGCCATCTCTCCCTGGAATGGACCCCAGACTCCTCCTCAGCTGTCTCAAAAGCAGATCCATTTCAATGCCACATACTCTTTCAGAGTGGGAAGCACATTTCCTGCTGATGTCCCAAATGTGCCACTTATCTCTCTGATCTCATCTATGCTCAGATATTATGAGCCAAGGATTGCTACTGTAGCATGGTTGAGGTGAGTAGCATTTCCCTGGTGGTGGCTTCACACATTCCTATTGCCCTTCCCAGCCACAAACAGGACCAGCATGTCAGCAAGGCAGGGGCTGAGTGAAGAAGTGAGACCTTAGTTCTGAGATTACAACTTCTCCTGGGGATTTTGGTTGCATCTTTAACACCAAATGGCAATTAATTCTCTGAAAAGGTCTCAGATGTTAATCCCCTAGGAAATGTTAATTAACTCTTATTAGGATTATACTAGTTCTGAAACTTGGGAGAAAACAACAGACACATCTAAGGAATGATGAATTGTGAATGTGTCATCTTTCATACAAAGGGCTCACTATCCTTTCATTCCTCCAGCCACCCATCCATCCATACACCTATCTACCTATCCATTCTTCCATCCATCCATCCACCCATCTACGTATATATCTATCAACCATCCATCCATCCTCCACCTACCTATCCACCTATCTGTCCATTCATCCATCTATCCATTCATTCAACCAGCCACCTATCCATCCAACCACGTATCTATCCACCCATCCATCCAGCCACCTATCCATCCACCTATCCATGTATCCATCCATCCATTTACTTATTTATTCATCTATCCATTCATCCATCCATCTACCCATCTATCTATTTATCCATCTACCTGTCCACCCATCTGTCCATCTATCCATCCATTTATTCATCCATCTAACCATTTACCTATTCATTTATTCATCCAACCATCCATCTATCCATGCATTCATTCACCCATCTACACATTTACTTATCTATTCATTCATTCATCCATTTATCCCTCCACCCACCCATTTATTCAACAATAAGCAAATGTAGACATGGTTTCTGCCTCATGGAAGTTACATTCTAATGGAGATTGGGGGAAGGATGGACATTTATCATATAATCACACAAATATGCAATTACAAACTGTTATAAATAAGGTGCATGAAGATATGAGAGCAATAAAAAAAGAGACCTGGTTTAGTTTGAAAGACATGACTAATGTTCACTCACAACCAATTCTCTTCTGCTGCCTGGTCCTTCAGGAAACTAACTTCCCAGCCCTTTGGGGTCATGTGAGAATAAAATGTGAGCATACATGAACCATTGAAACACCTCTCCATGATTCTCCAGCCTCTCATTCCCCTTTGAGGCAAATGTGTTGAGAAGGTACAGCCACAAGGTGGAAATAACCTGGAGTTACCACGTGGAGGAACAGAGCCCAGGAGAATTGCCTGGACCACAAGCAACTCAGCATGATTGAAGTATAAACTTTAGCTGTGATGAATCATTGAGATTTTGAGGTTGTTTGTTACTGCAGCATAACCTATTTTAGCCTGACTAAGATCCCCAGGGTGGGGCAGGGCAGAGGGTTAATAAAACTTCCTAAGGGGATGGTAATTCCATTGAAATCTGCAGGATGAATAGGCACTAACTCTAAAAAGGAAGATAGGTCTGCTGCATGAAGTCACCGATGGCCTCCTGTGGCCAAGGCCAGGTCTCTGCACTGGATGATGCCAGATGAATGCATACTCCTACAGAGGAGCCCTGCAGTCCTTGTCCCAAAGTCTGACAGAATAAGCCCATATATGCAGGGGTATTGGAACAAGGAAGCACTCATTCCCCAGTGAGACCCAATCTAATCACCAGAATGACATTAAAAACTGAAGCTTTCACTTAAAGAAAGAGGCAGCATGACTGTAGTGGTTCAGAGCCTCGATTCTAGAACCACAATGTTTGGCTTCAAATCTTGATCCACCACTGACTAGCTGCATGACCGTGGGCAAGCTCCTTAACCTCTCTGCCCTCCGTTTCCTCATCTGTGAGATGGGGGTAATAATTGTACCTACCATCTTGGGTTTCTCTGAGGATTACTTTAGTTAGTGTTTGGAAAGGAATTACAATCCTGCCTTGTACACAGTCAGTGCTAGGCAAGAATGTGATAGATAAATAAATAAAAAAGAAGAAAGAAGAGATGGACAAGGCAGCCTTCAGTTCTAATGGCCCTTTCTCCAGTCTAGGGGTGAACACTGTGCCAGAGAGTGAGCCAGGCCTGCATGGATGCCCTGTGGCTCAGCCGGTGCCCCATAGCCTGGAGAGGCCCTGAGTCAGCCTCCATCTAGATTAGTGTTCCCTTCTCTTGAAATGGATTAAAGAGGCAGGAGGGAAGAAGAACATCTCCCACTTATAAGCAAAATATCTTTAGCATAGAGTAACATATTAAAATGGGCCTTAAAGTTCAAATAATAGAACTTCCCCTTTTAAAGTTTTAATTCTCTCTAAAATATTCCTATGAGGCAGTCACAGTTCCTTTGGTTACACACATCCAATGTCAGGGAATTCACTACTTTATGAGTGAGACAGCCCATCCTTCACTTGAGCAAAAGTTTTGTCAAGTAGTTTCTATTCATGGGTTTAACTCCCAATCAAGACCGCATAGATTGAATGTGTTCTCTCATCTGCACTATATTAACAATCATAAAGGTAGCCAGGGTCAGAGGTGGTAGGATAGGCCCTGATAAGAAACCTAGATGCTAGCCTCGTATAATGGGAAGTGCAGGGATATAGAAAGAAAACAATAACCTCTCAGCTTTTTTATTTTAAAAAGATCTCTTTGGAAGTAACCAAGATGCTCTTCCATAAGTTAATGGATAAATAAACTATGGCACATTCCGACAATATAATATTATTCAGCATTAAAAAGAAATGGGCTATTAAGCCATGAAAAGACAGCATGGAAACTTAAATGCATAGAAGTGAAAGAAGCCCATCAGAAAAGGCTATGTACTATATGATTACAACTATGCGACATTCCAGAGAAGGCAAAACCATGGAGATGGTAAGAAGATCATGGTCATCGAGGGCTAGGAGGGGGGAAGAGATGAATAGGCAGAGCAAAGAGGACTTTTAGGGGAGTAAAACTACCGTGTGTCATGCTATAATGGTGGATACATGTCATACACATTGGTCCAATCCCTAGAATGTACAACACCAAGAATGAACCCGACCGTAAACTGTGGACTTTGGGTGATCACCACGTGTCAGTGTAGGTTCATCAACTGTGACAAATCCCTCTAGTGGGGGATGTGGATAATGGGGGAGCCTGTGCATGTGTGGGGGCAGGGGCATATAGATATTCTCTGTACCTTCCTCTCAGTTTTGCTATGAACCTAAAACAGTTCTAAAAAAATGAAGTCTTAAAAGAGAAAAAAGATCTCTTTTGGCAGCTGTGTGGGGGATAGGCTGCAGGGGAGCGAGGGTGACAGCAGGGGGCCCAGGTGCCCTATCACTGTTCATTAATTAATATTGAACACTGAGGAGAGACTTGCCTGCAGCAATGGCCAGTGATAAAAAGACACTTCTTGGTGGGGCTCCCTGAGCCCTGGGCTTGCTTCTCTCCAAGCTCTAATCACACTGTGCTATAATTATCTGCTTACTAGTCTGTATCCCCTCAGAACAGAGTTCCTTGGATGTAATGCCTCAGTCTTACTCAACACCATAGCTTCCCCCTCACCCCTGTGCCCAGAATAGTGTCTGGCAGAACTTCACAAATGCCAGTGGTTCCCTGGTTGTTGGTGCACCCAACGTCAGGACCATAAGAGCAGGCTGTGATTACAGCTGGAAGGATGTAAGTTAGATGACACGCAGCCTTTCCAACGTCATGGAATATGTTGACGGCTCAAATACAATGTGCCTGAAGATTAGAGGTGACAATACAACTTGTCACCTGAATTGGTATACTTTTTTTAGGGACAAAGTCCAAACCAAATGGGACACCAAGGCAAGAGGTGCACACTGGGACTGTCTTGGGCAAGCCAGGATGGTGATGACCCCTCCGAAGACTCACCATTGTTTTCCCCTCTTTAAACCAGTTTTCTGGTTTGAAATATTAATAATTATGTTAATGGCACCACCAAGCTTCCACTGCTGACCCTTTGATTCCACACTCAGGCTCAAAATTTGCATCTTTTCTTACTGCCTCCACCAATCACTTGGCAGGGTCTGTGCACCTTGCCAGGCTGATATCCCTCCTTCCTATTTCAGTGCTACTCTCATTGGGTCCTCTACTGCCTTCCTCTTAAACAACCACAGCCACAACTAACAGTGTGATTCACAGATGTGATGTTAATCTTATGTGTCAACCTGACTGGGTCACAGAGTGCCTAGATATTTGGTCCAATGTTATTCTGGGTGTGTCTGCAAGGGTGTTTCTGGGTGAGATCAACCTTTGAGTATGTAGACTGAGTCAAGACGATTGTTCTTGCTAATGTGGGTAGGCCTTATGCATCAGCTGAAGACCTGAACAGAACAAAAAACTGACTATTGCAAGTAAGAGGAAACTCCGCCTGCCTGAGTGCCTTTGAGGGGGATATCGGTTTGTTTCTGGCCCTTAGATTTGAACAGAAATGGCTCTTCCTGGGTCACAGGCATGCTGGTCTTTGAACTGGAACTCCAGCACTGGCTCTCCTGGGCCCTCAGCTTGCCGACTGCTCTTGGTTCTGTTTCTCTGACTAATACAACAGCTACATCCCAGTACCTAGCACAATACTTGGCACTACGCATTTGATTCATACATGCTTAATGTGGGACCAGATTTAGATGTTTCTGAATCCCTGAGCCTTCAAAATATAATGAATTCCTCAACTGTCTATATATAATTCAAAATAAAAACAATATGGCAAG
The DNA here is from genome assembly GCF_000001405.40 of Homo sapiens. Classification (NCBI taxonomy): domain Eukaryota; kingdom Metazoa; phylum Chordata; class Mammalia; order Primates; family Hominidae; genus Homo; species Homo sapiens. The sequence continues at coordinate 55,273,487 of NC_000016.10, forward strand.
TGCCTGTAGCCCAAGCTACTCAGGAAGCTGAGGCAGGAGGATCACTTGAGCCGAGGAGCTCAAGGTTGCAGCAAGCTATAATCGCACCACTGCACTCTAGCCGGGTGACAGAGCGAGACTATGTCTCAAAATAAATAAATAAATACAATAGTAAAACACAAAATGTATATGCATGTTAATTTTCTTTATTATTTGTAGATTTTTGGATTTAACAATTCCGTGAAAGTCTATTGAAACTGAACCTCGAGGGAAGAAAAGTTCTCCTACTTTGCTCATGCCTTAAGCATAAGTTTAGTCTACAATTGGGCAATCCCACAAGAATAAATATAAGAATGAATGAATGAGCATACAAATGTCTCAGGTAATAAAGAGAAATTGACCTGTAAATTACCCTTTATTATTCTTTTGCCTCTCTTCATTTCAGCATTGGCCTCTTTCCAGGGGAAACCTTTGTCTTTTTTGTGGGTAGTGGTTACTTGAAATTTGCAAATTTGCCTTTTAATTTCTGTGATGCAGCAGTTTAAACTAATTAGCTTCTGGATAGGATTCCTTCCCAGCTCTCCATCTGACCCTGACACTCGAGCTTGCAGCTGAAGCCCTCTCTGGGGTTCAATACAGATCTGTTCACGTGGCAACTTCGCTGCTGAGGAGAATGGGCCCAGCAATGCCCATGTGCTTTTCCAAGACACTTGGAAACTGCAAAGAGTGGGTTCCCTGCTTCCTGCTTCAAATCTTGCTTCTGGCTCTGCCATCTCCTTGTTCTAGCTCAGCCTTTGTTCCTCCAGCAGAGCCACAAAAAGGCCATTCTCTAGGAAGTGATCTCTCACTCCCACGGTGGAGCCACGATTTCTGTACCACAACCTTAGGCAGTCTGCCTCAATAGTGGACCAGCCCACTCAGGACCAGCCTGCAATCTGTCGACTTTCCTTTAAGGGCTGACGTGGGCACTTGTGTTTATCTGTGCCCTTTGGGGGCATTCATAATCATGCATGACAGAAACTCCTGGGTCACTCAGACATTGTTGGCTGTTAAAAAAAAAATGAATGAAATAAAGCCCAGCCTAAACCTCTGCCTTTTGCATTAGCTCCAAGAAAGGCAAAAGAGGAACTCCTTCTAGTCATGCTGTTGTGCACAACACCGAGGCTGTGGAGTGGGTGAGGTTTCCCCAGGTGATTTTGATGCTTGTATTTGAGTTCTTTCCTAGGATGGTCCGAGTACTTACAGTGAGTCGGGTACTCCTTGTAGCCATTTGACCTTAGCCTCTTTGCAAGATAGAACATATGGGCCACTGGTTTGGAGCCCCTCTTACAAGACTGTCCTGCCTCAAAGTCAGGCATTTGCCAGTTTTGCAGCCTTTGGTAAACTACTTAACTTCTTTAAGCCTCAGTTTTTCCTTTTGTAAAATGGGAATGGTAATTTTTTTAAATACCTGTTCCGTGGAGCTATTATGCGGACTAATTCAAACAAAGTGATTCAAATGTGGCCTGAGTTGGGTGTGGTGGTACACACCTGTATTCCCAGCTATCTGGGAAGCTGAGGTGAGAGGATCACTTGATCCCAGGAGGTCGAGGCTGCAGTGAGCTACGATCATGCCACTGCATTCAAGTCTGGGCAACAGAACGAGACTCTGTCTCGATTAATTAATTAATTAATTAAAATAAAATAAAATAAAATAGGGCTTGGCTCCCAGTAAGAACTCAATACACCTAATCTCCTAGTCTCCAATTTTACCCTTAAGGATCAAGGAGGAGGCTCAGGGAAGGCAGGCCAGTTTCCCAAGGTCACAGTGCTAGGAAGTGAAAGAATCCACATTCAATCCCAGGCCTGTCTGACTTCAGAAGCCAAGCTCATAACTGCTGCTGCTCCACGGTTCAAAAAATACAAAGGAGTGCTGCTGTGGGTAATTCCAGGTCTACTAGATCAAAAGAGAATGACAGATCTAACATGTCACAGCATTAGACTTGTCTGATGGGACATTTTCTACGTGACTGCTTGCCGGAACCTAATATTCTTTTAAGAGTTTGTCCCTGGATTTTAAAATGTCTCTCTCCAGGTGCTTTTGTTTGTTTTTTTTTGCACTGTGTGGGACTTAAACCTCATATTTCAACCTGCTGTTCTTTTTCAATATAAAGTTATACATCGCATGTTTCCAAAACCTCATTCACCTGGAATCACACACATGTTAGGGCTGGAAGAGACTCAGTCCCACCACCCTTAATTCAAGCATGAGGAAACTGAACCCAGAGAAGACAAAGGACTTGTTTGAGGTCACCCAGCCTCGTAACAGGCAGGGCTGGGGCTAGAACCCAGGATAAGGGTCTGAGTTCACGTGGACTCTCAGTCCTGGGACACCAAGCCACACTTGTCACCTAATTTCATCCAGAAGTTCCCCTGCAGAGCCTGAGGTCACCAGGGATGACAAAGAGAGACAGCCAGGTTTTCCTTCCAGTCAATTATTGCCACAATAATGCCGAGTAACCAGAAACAACCATAACCTGTCAGAGACATCTCACAAGAAGAATATACTTCCCATGTGACTGGCGGGCAGGCGGGGATTGGCTGGTCTTGCTAGGCTTGTTGGGGCAGCCCTGCTTCGAGCCACTGGTCGGGCTCAGATCTGCTGCTCATGTGCTTATTCTGGGCTCACAACAAAGGGGCAGTGACTTCCGGGGGAAGCCTGATCATGGCAAAAGTGTGACAGAGCCAAGGGCAGACACTGAAGACTGGCTTACAATGGCTCACTGCACCCTTATCCCATCCCACTGGCTAAAGCAAGCCACAGGATGAAGGCCAATGTCAAGGGCTGGTGCATTACACCTAAAACAGGAGAAGCTAAAACATCACAAAGGGCATGGGTATAGAGGGGCTGAGGCATTGGGGCCAAGAATTCAATCACAGTGTGCCAGGTCACAGAGTCAAGGTGGCAGGTATATGACAGGGTGAAGGTTACTACAATATCATGCAATCTGGTTACCGCACCATTTCAACTTCAGGATCTACTCGGTGTGGAGGGGCTGTGGCGGGGGGAGCAGGGAGAGAAACTGGGAGATCCAGCTTCCATTTCAGCAGTGCTATTGGTTGTGTGACCCTGGGCAATTTTTTTCCCCTTTTGGTCTGGATTTTTGCCTTTAGAAAATGGGAGACATATCACAAGGTCGGGAGATCGAGACCATCTTGGCTAACATGGTGAAATCGTCTCTCTACTAAAAATACAAAAATTAGTGGGGTGTGGTGGCGGGCACCTGTAGTCCCAGCTACTCAGGAGGCTGAGGCAGGAGAATGGCATGAACCTGGGAGGCAGAGTTTGCAGTGAGCCGAGATCGTGCCACTGCACTCCAGCCTGGGCGATAGAGAGAGACTCCGTCTCCAAAAAAAAACAACAACAACAACAAAAAAAAAAAAAACAAAAAAAAAAAGAAAAGAAAAAAGAAAATGGGAGATATAAATTGTTGCCATTAGCTCTGGGTTTCAGGGCGTAGAGAAGAAAACAGAAGGGGGCCCTTTTCTAGCTTGCATAAAGGGCCAGAGGTCCACTTCGAATGGTTTGGGAAGAATCATAACTAGATGTGGCCAGACAGGGCTTTTGTCCAAAAAACTCATTTGTTCACCGACAAGCACGTATTACATTTCTACTGTGTGCCAGACAATGCACAGGACACCAGGTGAAGTTCCACAGAAACAGTTCTGAAAAGGAGAAACTGTCTTCCTTGGGTATGCAGTCAAGGACATGGTCAGTAATTATAAGTGCTTACATGGCCCTACTATGCATCAGGTCCCCTTTGAGGCACTTTGCATGTATTAACCTCTTGAATCCTCATGACAACCCTGTAACACATATGTGTGTTACTCTTGTTTCCTTATTTTCCAGGTGGAGAATAAGGCACCAAGCATTAAAGTGATTTGCCTAAGGTCATCTAGCTAGAAAGTGACCAAACCTGAATCTGAATCCAGGCAAGTTGGTTTCAAAGTCTGTCCTTGAACTACTCCACCATTCTACTTCTTAGAATGCCAATGTGGAATGAAAGTGTTGATGGCATGTGAGGCTTACAGAGGAATGTGGCTACCTGTGGAGTGGTAGGTCTAGGCAGGCTTCCTATAGGGGCGACTCTAAGCTGTTATTTGAAGTAGAAGTCATCCAGGAGCAGTGAGTGGGAAGAAGGTACAAGGTGGAGGGAAGAGCATGAGCAAAGGCCTGGAGGTAAGGGAGGGCATGAGGCAATTGAGCAACTGAAGGTAGCTTTCAGGGGTGTGTCTGGGTGTGGGTCAGCACCACCTCACACCCAGATCAAGTGCAGAGGGAAAAGGCACACCCTTCTCCATAGTCACAGGCTCAAGAACAATGTCTGGAAGGGACTGCAAGACCTGCTGATAGTTGTCCTTTGGATCAATGACAAAAAACATGAAGAAGCCTCAGTTCACTCAAAGCTGGAACCCAGCCCAGAAGTAAACTGGGAGCATCTGTCTCTGGCACCCCCTGCCTCCTCTTCATAGCAACCACCTCTTCCTCCTCTTCCAACCCAAGGGGAAGAAGAGTAAGGTGCTCATGACCTTGAGTTATGGACTCTTGCAGCCCACATCTCAGCTCTCCAGCTTTTTAGCTCTGTGACCTTGGGCACATTACTTAACCTCTGTTGGCCTCAGTTTTCTTGCATAAAATGAATACTATTATACTAACAATAGTGCCTACTCCCTCAGGTCTTTTTGAGGACAAAATGGGGAAATACATATAAAGTGCTTTAAAGGCCTCCTGATATGCAGTAGGCACTCACCAAAGATTGGTCATTTTTAGTATTCCCAGGGCATCTGGGTTCCCTTTTTTACCCTGTTGACATGCCCACCTCACCCCATCCCAGCCAAGATCATCTGAAACACTAAGATGTTTGTGTCTGAAATAGTCCTTCTTCTAGAGTCATTTGTATAGAAAAGAATTTCAAGGAAAGAGGATATAAACCACCAAGGAACAACTTGCAAATGGCAGCCAAAGCTAAAATGTTGAGGAGTTACTCTGGCTGGATGTGTATGTGTGTTTGTGTGTGTGTGTGTGTGTGTGTGTGTGTGTGTGTGTGTGTGTTGGAATGGAGTACACATGTCCATTTCCTTGCATCTCCAGAACTACAATATATGGGCACACATCTCCTCTGATTGAACATAAACTTGGCTCTTTCCAGAATGGTTAGAGGAAGTCTGGCCCTTCCGGACACGTGGTGAAATGTCCAAGAAACCAGAGTGAGGGAAAGACTGAGATCAGAAACAGCATTCTCCAGGGGTCTCCGCTTTAGGTGAAAGGAAGAGGTGGGCTGGTCCCTGCTACCTGGCTCCATCGAGAACCAGACATGCTTCATCATGTTTAGATGGACTCTGCTAATTCCAGCATTCTCAACTGCTCAGGGGCTGATTAAGCAGAATCCCTCCTACCCCAGATCTGTGCCATCAGAATCTGCACTCTAACAAGATCCCTGGTGACTCACAGACATATCACGGTTTGAGAAGTCCTGTTTTAGAAAGTTGAGCCAGGTAAAATGTGCCATGAGCACTTTAAGAGGAGTCAGTAAGTCAGGTGTGAGGTTGCAAGAAGTTTCAAGAAAGTGTCAGAGATAGGGGTTTAATGAATCAATGGAAGAAAACCAGAAACTCTATGGGGGTCTGTTTCTGGAATGAAGTGAATATGATGGATAGAGGCGAGAGGGCCAGTAGGCTGTGATGCAGCTTTTGCAGGGAAAGAGGTGTCTCTGAGATTCCCAGAAGCCTCACTGCCCAGCTGGCAATGCCAACCTCTGTGGCTCCTTACAAACCTCACTGGGCATAGAGGGTCTTCCTCAAGCAGCAAGGTGGGGCAAGCTTGAGAAATTGCACAGCGAAGATCCCCAGCGAGCTAGTCCAGGGCCACCCAGGGAGCCCTCAGCCCACAGATAAAGCCCGAAGTAGGAGAAAATTCAGCAGAAATTTACCTGCCTCTCCAGCACAAGAGACAGGAAGCCTGCTGGGCTGGTTTCTCTCTGCCACACATGCTACAGCCTCTCTGAGGTGGTTTCCACATCTAGTGATCATGCCCAGAATCCTTATGAAGCTCAAATGAGTAATTTGACAGGAGCTATGAAAACTTTGAAAGCGTAGCCACCCCCACCCCACAATTGAACTTGTAGGAGGAGTCTGACCTTGTAGCCAAGAACACCACTCACTGGAGTTGGCCTGGATGCTCATAAGCAGGGGACTCTGTGCATCGGTGACGGTTTATCGTGGTGCATCACCACAGAAAGCATCATTTATTCATTTGCACCATGGAAAGACAGCCACGATAAATCAGAAGAGAACCCGGAGCAGAGCTCAGAAACAGCATTGTTGCGAAATAACTAGAATTTTTTAAGGATCTGAAAGGACATGCACAGAACCAGGTGTTACTCTGGTTAGTGGGATTAGGACAGTGTTTCCACTTTTTAAAAAAAATTGCCCCTAAATTGCCCCACCCATGAAAATTTAAAACCATAGCTATACTCTATATCTGTTAATATAGTGTATATGTATCTGTGCTTTATGCATATTTTTTTAAAGTTAGATTTTTTTTTGCCTGCTCCAAGAACCAATTTTCACCCCCTTGGCTGTGATATCACCTCTGTTGAGAATGCAGAGATGAGAAGGGACAAATGCCAGGCTTTTCCCTTATTACTATTATTTGCTTCTTGATATCTAAAAAAATAGTAGTGAATACTTATATAGCACTAAGCACATGCCACACACTACTCTAAGCACTCTACATATTTTTAATCATTTAAGCCTAACAATAGCCATGAAGTTAGTGCTGTATTATCTCCATTTTATGGTTGACGAAGCTGAGGTCTAGAGACAGTAAGGAACTTGCCGCAAGTCACACAGCTAGTAAGTGAGGGAACCAAGATTCAAGCCATGGTAACCTGGGTTCAAAGTTGGTGTTTAAATGAAATATGAGTGTATATTGCATTTGCAATTAAAAGTAATAAATAAAAGTTAGAATGAGGGTGGGTTCTCTGTCTGTTAAATGGGTTAATGCAGGTGAAAGTATTTTTAAAGCTTGGTTTGTAAACATAGAACTATATTCATTATTATGATTAATGTATGAATACTACCACTACTATTACACTAATAAAATTAAGTCCAAATAAAACCAGAAATGAGTCACAGCCACACTTGAGGATTTAATATCAAGTCTAGGGGTGAGAGAATTTTGTGAATTTTGTGAATCCACAAAAATCCAGAGGCAGAATGAGAGCTCTCCTTTAATTAAGATGAATCAGAGCATGGGCAGTTGTGGGGAGGAACCTGGAGGCAAAATATTTAGGCAGCTGCAAAGCGTTCAGATGGCAGCCCCTGCTGCTGGAGCGGTTCCCAGCTCATGCCCTCCTCTGCTCAGCCCCCCAGGGTGTGCTGCAGCTGGACGGATCAACCCTCCACAGGGAGGAGTCACCCAGCTGGAGGGTGGGAAAGGGATCCCGAGGGTTCCATGCTTTGCCCATGCATAGAGTAGATACAAGTGAGGTTGCTCTTAGGAAATGAGGAAGGGGGTCCCAGAACCCTACCTGTTCTGCCACATCCTCCTCCCACCTCATACATCATTCTTGAATCTTTGGGGTCCAAACAACACAGTTCAAAGACCACTCATCTAGTCAAAAACCTCATTTTACAGATGAGAAAACAGAGGCTCAGAGAGGGTATGTCAGTTGTCGAGGGCCACACAGCAAGTTGGCAATGAGGTTAGAACTGGAACCCTCCCTCCTGGCTCTCTGGTCACCAAGCCTAACTGCATAATACAATACCTCCGGGTATTGAAAAGATGAGCTAGTTTTCCTCCTCTGGGCAACCTTGGTGGAAAGGAATATCCTTCAAGTTGTGTCAACATTATTTGCTCACTCTAGGGGCTCTGACTACATAGCTGATTTTTTTTTAAGATCTTTAGCTGAATCGGTCTGACCTTGTTAGAACCCTTACTGGAATCTTTTCCCAGTGTCCTATTCACCAGTATTTCTTTTCATTGAGCTAACTTAGAATAACCTAGAACAAAACAGAAAATGAAAACATGCATGGAATTTCCATGCATGCAAAAGACAGTTTGGTATCTTTTTTTTTTTTTTTTCAGACTGGATCTCATTCTGTTGCCTAGGCTGGAGTGCAGTGGAGTGATCACAGCTCACTGGAGCCTTGACTTCCCAGGCTCAAGCAATCCTCCTGCCTCAGCCTCCCTGGAAGCTGGAACCACAGGCATGCGTCACCACGCCTGGCTAATTTTTTAAAATTATTATTGGTAGAGACAGGGTCTCTCTATGTTGCCCAGGCTAGTCTTGAACTCGTGGTCTCAAGCGATCCTCCTGCACTGGCCTCCCAAAGTGCTAGGATTACAGGCATAAGCCACCATACCTGGCCCAGTTTGGTATCTGTGAAGTTAAAACCACTAAACTAAGAATCTTACGAGGGATGGATTCAATGCCACTTGTTCATCTCTGAGGTCACCCTCACAGGACACATTTGCCACTACAGCTCTGAAGCAATCTGCCCTTGATGAGACTCGTAGGTATCAGAGAACACCTGGCATTGCTATGGCAGCTATTGGTGTGCAGGTTCCTTCTCTCCCTTCCTGGGCCTGTGCTATTAATTGGCTGTGGTACTCTTCCCTGCGAGTCCGTGGCCCAACCTGAGAATCCTTCTCAACACAGTGCCCTAAATAGCTGTTTTCATCTATCAGTGTTGGCCCTCCAGACAAAGTCCACTTGTTATTCTTGACCTTATCTAACACCTCCATTTTACAGATGGGGAAACAGAGCCCAGGGAAGCTAATTATACCAGTTGACCCCCAACTCCCCACAGATTAATAAAGTCCAACCATAGGACCCCCACGATTTTGTCCTCCTCTTACTTATTATTGACTTGTATGTCTTATGAGGGTTTAACTCAGACCCCTGTCACCCAGCTCTTGACTCTGCACTACTGATCCTGCCCTGAGCCTTGAAATTAGTATTTGATTCTGCATAAGTTAGGCAAGCTGTAGTAGCAGACCCAAAACATGATGTTTCAAACACCACTGACCTTTACTTATCCTTATGAAACAGGCAGATGTTTCTAATCAGTGGCCGCTTCCCTCCATGTGGTGATTCAGGAACCTCATCTCTTTCAGTTGTGTGGCTCCTCCATCTCCTTGGGTCTTGTCATCTGCCTGCAGCCAGAGGAAAGGGGGAGAGAGCATGGAAGGACATACTATTTCCACACATCCTTGGCCAAAAATACTACACTCAACTTCTACTTTCATTCCATTGATGAGAGTCAGTCACAAAGCCAGAGCTAACAGTAGGGGATGTGGAGGAATGGGGCCCAATTCTGTGACCAGGAAGAAACAGAAGGAATGGGAGAGAGGAGGAAGAAGGTGAAGGAGGAAGAGAGGAGGAGGAGGATGGGGAGAAGAAGATGAAAGAGAAGAAGAAGAAAAGTGGACGGGGACTTTTAAATAGAAAACAATCTCCACCACAGATGATTAGCAACCCCTAATGAGTTCATTTGACTCACTTTTTTTTTTTTAATTGGACACGCCATTCTTGGTTCTAAGTCTCAGAACTGACTCAATCTTCTATCTTTTTTCCTAATTGGACACTCCATTCCTGGTTCCAGTTCTTAGAACCTAATCTGAACTACCAAACCAATGTCCGCCCACAACTTAGAGTGACTTGCCCAAGTTCACACAACAAGATGGGACAGAATCATGACCCCAGGACGATTATGCTTCAAAGATTAATTGAATAAACCTGTTTTTAGCAGTAGTATCTCTAACACTTAGAATATTATAAATAAGGTACAACAACAGCCTGTATTTACATGAGGGAAGAAAAGCCTTTTTATTTTTCCTAATTTTCTTATTACATTTAAATCTGTTTCCCACAGCCATTCAGTCTTTGGGTCTACTCAGGAAGTCTCATTTGTAAGAGGAAAAACAAAGATGAAAACTGGAGAAAGAAGAAAAGCCCAGGTCCAATACTTAGCAGGTCCTCAGTAAAAGTGTATTTATTAATTTGAATTGAGCTGTGCTTGCATCAGTGTAGGACCTGTGACCAGGAGCAAAATAAAGAAGCAAAACTACTGGTGAGTTTTCATTTTTCTTCGTATTTAAAACGTTTTTGTTTTTCTTATTTCTAAAGCCATATTCTTCGGATTTAGAAAATTTAGAAAATATATAAACATAAGAAAGAACATTAAACTCTCTCATTACTCACCACCCAGGAATGGCCACTTTTAACGTATTGGTGGGCATTCAGCCATATTTTATACACATAATACTTAATAAAAACAGGGTTTAGGGCTTTTAAGAGATTTTGCATAATTAAGCAAAAGTGACTGAGTCCCACCCTGCTTCTTGGGAACCCACTGATGTTTTGCAAGCTATGCTTGATGAAATCTTCGAGCACCAGGGCAAACTCGTGACCTACATATATTCTTAATATGCTAATTTTTGTTTTGGTTTCTGAACAAAACTAGTCTTTTAAAGAAAAATTTAACAGATTTGAAACCAGAAACCCTGTCCTCCCTGGAGGCATTAAAAAATGCAAACTGAAGGCTTCCCGTGTGTGGAGGCTATTACTGATTTCCTTCCAAAAACAGGAGAAGTGTTGCCCTGGCTGTAACGCTTGAGGTCCCAGAGCCAGAAACTGTTTGCTTTCTGCGCACTCATTAACCATGGTGTGGGATCCAATGACTGCTCTAATTTCCTACTTTAAATGTTTTTCTTTCCCCCCACTTTTCAAAAATGTCTTTTTATGTTGTACATTTACATACGCATATTCAGCCACTTAACGCTGATAGGCTGGTCGCTGTCAGACACAATAAAAAGAGACAGAAACCACTGCGAATTACAGTAGCATTAGTGTTGAAAATGGAAATTTAATTTCCAGAAATGAACCTCAGCAATAAAAGCTCCCTTTGTTGCTGCTCAGATCAGAAATGAATCGGGTCTGAAAGGAAGCTAACGTGCAATTAAAAACATCTCAAAGAGGTATTTGTTATGTGTGAGAACAGATGCCTTGTAATGGTGTTTGAAACACAGGGGCCCTCAATAAATGTTTCTGATGAGTATGAAGATAATAGTAATGCCTTACATGTGTATAGTCCTTTTTGGTTTACAAAGCACTTTTCGTTTCAGGTCTTATTTGGATTTTCACAGGGAGCCTGGGAGAACCTCAATGCAGGTGTGGAAACTGAGGCTGGAAGAGAGGAAGTCACACAGTCTCCCCAAGGTGACCTGGAAAAACTAGAACTAGAATGAGGCCTTTATACTTCAAACGACACTTGAAATGATGAAAATATCTCAAGCTTCCAACCAGCACTCTGGAGTACCATGTTCACCGACACCGTGGGGTGATGAAGCCATGTTTTGAAATATTGTCCCGAGCCTCCTTGGTCAGTATTTCCTGCCAGCCCTGCTCTTCCTCACACTCTGACAGCAGTGACTGGCATTTTAGGTGACTGCCTTCAGGGTTCAGAAGGGAAAGAGAAAGAAAACATTTTCAAACTCTGAGTTTCGAAATGGATGTTGCAAACTCAAGGCAAAAGCAATAGTTTGAGGGGAATGGTTCTTGAGCCTCCAAAACCTGAAGTTTCGTGGCTTGAATATTAAAAGGTGCAGCCCTAAATGTCATGAACAAGAGGTTTAAAAGCAAACAAGATCAGCCAGGGCCATCCCCCAGTCCAGTGCAAGTTAAGACCTTAGGGGTAGCTACAGAACCCCCAGAGAAGGGAAGGATCCCAGAGAAGAATCTCTGTGGCTCTGTTCCTGGGTTGATACCAGGGAGGCAGCAAGCCACTTATTGTTTTCTGGGGAAAATACGAATTGAATAAATTTATCCTAAGTTGACTAACTGTTGCCACCACATATTAAATCAAAAGAGAAACAATGGATTGTCCAATATACAAAGCTGGAACCACTACACAAGCAATTGAAAGAAAAATATAATAGTCCATAACTCATACCTGGAAAATTAAAACTTGATCAAATATTTAATTTTTTTAAAAAAGTAAGCCATAACAATTCTAGAAGAAAACATTGGAAAATGTCTTTATCATCTTGGAGGGTCAAAGATCTTTCTAATTATGGTTCAAAACTAAGATGTCATTAAAGATTGATACATTTGATGAAATAAACATTTTTAAAAATTTTTGCAAGCCTCTCTCAGAAAAGAAAAGGAAAGGGAAAAATACAACAATTATCTATGGGAGTAGATAAGAAAAAGCCCAGCCGTTCAATAGAAAAATAGACATGGGAAATATAACTGACTTTTATTGAAAGTACATTGAGCTGCTGTTTTTTATCTATAAGATTGGCAAGAATCCAAAAGTTGTCTAAATACATTCTGTTGTCAAGGGTACTGTAATAGGCATCCCTCATTCATTATTAGTATAACAATAAATTGCACAATGCTTATAGAGGGTAAATTGACAATATTTATTGTAATTACAAATGTAGACACCCTTTGACGTAGTAATTATAATACTGGTAACTGATCCTGAATGTATGAACTCATGGAGAGGAGTAACATAAACACATGGTTACCCATTGCAGCATAGTTTATAATATCACAAGAGTGAAAGCAACTCAAATGTTCACAATACAAAGAAAGATTATGTAGTTATAATTTTTTAAACCTAAGAAATTATCCTAAGCACTAATATAGAAAGATTCTCCAAATACTTTGAGTGAAAAAAATCAGTGTGCTATATTTTATTTGGGAGAATAAGAAAACAAACTTATATTCATCTGAATGTACAAAAGACATTTGGAAGGCACACGAGAAACAAATAAAAGTAGATGTCTGGAGGGATGATAAGAACTGAATAGACTGGGGACAGAATTAGGGAAAAAAGTTACTATATTTTAAAAAATAGTTTACTTTGTGAATTTGTCAGTGTATGAACGCAATAATATTTGATGATGCATTAAAAATTGAGTATCTAATGAGAAAGTAGAGAATACAACACTGTCCAAATATATTTGACCAAAAAACCTTTTCTTCTGGAATACTTATGGAATTGCTGCTCTAGATCAATCATGGATCCAAATTTATGCAGTTTTGGACAGAGATGACCTTTTTATTCAAGAACTCAGTGTCATCTGCCTTCAGAAGGAACTATGAGATTTCTACAGCTGATCATGACAGAATAACTGGTTCCAGATTTTACCAGACTTTTCCTCATACCTGGAAAATTAAAATTTGATCAAATATTTAATCTTTTAAAATTAAATATTTTAATTTATTTAAATTTAATTTAAAATTAAATAAATGAGCAGCACTGTTGTCAATGAGAAAACTCGAAGGAAAAACAGTACATGAATCAACTGTTCTCAGACATTGAACAACAGGCAGTGGAGAACTGTGGGATCCCTGAATAGTGTTGCCAAATTTAGCAAATACAAATACAGGAAGCCCACTCAAATATGAATTTTAGATAAACAATGAGTAATTTTTAATATGAGTATCACATGCAATATTTGAGACATAATTATATTAAAAGTTTTCATTGTTTATCAGAAATTCAAATTTAAATGGGTGCCCTGTATTGTATCTGGCAACACTATTCCTGAGAGAAGAGAAATCTGAGAAGTGAGAACCCACCCCAGCTTTCTACCTGGGGGCACTTTCTGGCCACAAAGTAGGAAGGGGGAACAAATCAGTAACAAAATATACCTGACAAAGCTTCAGATGTATGAAAATTAAACATAACCTAAATAACCTATGAATCAAGGAAGATATTAGGAGAAATATTGGAAAAGTAGATTGGATTAAATGATAATGAACATGCAACATATGAAAATATATAGCCTGCAGATAAGGCAGAGTTTAGAGGAAAATGTCTAGCTTTATATGCTAAACTAGAAAAGGAAAAAAGTCTACAGTTTATACCCTAATAAATTAGAGGAATAAGCAAGATATTAATCCCAAAGTAAATAGAAAGAAGGCGAAAAGAATGGACATCAGTGAAATAGAAAATATGCAAACAAAAAAATGATGAAATAAAAAGTTGGCTCTGAAAAGATCAATAAGTGTGATCAATTGCAAGCTAGACTATTCAAAGAGAAGGGGCTAGAGAGAGAATAAAGAGAAAGGGAAAAGAAGAGGGCGAGAAGAAGAAAGAATATAAATTACTAATATTGGGAATGAAAAAGGAGACATCACTATAGTTCCTAGAGACATTTTTTAAGAAATAGGCTGGGTACAGTGGCTCAAGCCTGTAATCCCAGCACTTTGGGAGGCTGAGGCGGGAAGATTGCTTGAAGCCAGGAGTTCAAGACCAGCCTGGGCAACAGAGCAAGATCCAATCTTTACAACAACAACAACAAAAATTTAAATTTTAATTAGCCAGGTGTGGTGGCACACACCTGTAGTCCAAGCTACTTGGGAGGCTGAGTTGGGAGGATCACTTGAGTCCAGGAGGTTGAGGCTTCAGTGAACAGTGATCTCACCACTGCACTCTAGCCTGGGCAACAGAGCTAGATCTTGTCTCAAAAAAAAAAAAAGAAATATTTTAACAACTTTATGTTAATACTTTTGACAGTTTAGATGAAATTGACAAATTCCTTGATAAATTGCACTGAATATTGACACAAGATGAAACAGAATATCTAAATGGTTCTATATCTTTTAAAGAAATTGAAATCTTCCCACAAAATAACTTTAGGCCCAACCGATCCCACCGATAAATTCTCCCAAACATTTAAAAAGAAAATAATACCAATTTCATATGAACTCTTTCAGAAAATAAAAGAGGAGAGAATATTTTCTAACTCATTTTATGAGATCAGTATTACTTTGATAACTAAAGTCACTCAAAAACATTTTTTAAAAAAGAAAATTGTGTAACAATACTCCTATTGAATATGAGGATAGAAATTCTTAACAAAATGTTAGCAATTGAATCCAGCAACATGTAAAAAGGGATTATACAATACCATCAAGTAAAGTTTATCCCAGGAATGCAAGGTTGGTTTAACATTTGAAAATTAGTGTAACTCAGCATTCTAACAAAATAAAGCGGATAAAAACTTACATGTTTATTTCAACAGATTCAGAGAAAACATTTGAGAAGATTCAACACCCATTCATATAAAAATTCTCAAGGCATCTGTGAAAGGACATCTGTGAAAAATCCTCAGCTAACATAATTAATGGTGATATACTAAACACTTTCCCTCTAGAATTGAAAACAAGACAAATTCTCACTTGTATTCAACATTGTACAGGTGATTCTAAACAGTCTACTGGTACAAAGAACTGAAATAAAAACATATGCAGGTCGGAAAGGAAGAAGTAAAAATGCCTTTCTCCATAGCAAACATGATCATGCAAGTGGAAAATCTAAAAGAATTACAAAGAAAAGTACCAGAATTAAGGCTATGAAATGTCACTTGAGGAAGCTACAATCAGTACAGCAGGATTCAAGAGTGGATCCGAATTACTTGGGGGTAAATAGGAACTATAACACAAGTGAAGGACGTCCTTCATGCTCACCCACGTCTCCCAACCCACAGCCTCTGACACAAAGAGCTCAGACTTTAAGAAGCCATTCGGTTCCCTCTAATGTCAGGTTCCCATCCAGCTAGAGCCCAGGCACATTGCTGGAGAAAGCAATCAGCAGTTTTAAACTGACTTTGTACACCTGTGTTAATAATTGCTGAAGCTGTAGATGGACACATAGGGACTCATGATATCATTTCTCTACATCTGAATTTTGTAAAATTTTTCTTAATAAAAAGGCAATTTTTGATTTGATTATTATTTCTGTTTGCCTGGCAAAGCACTGGTTTGAATAGAGCACTAGATTGGTCAGCTGAATTAAGACCTGACTAAACTATTAACGTGCTGCCTGATCTTAGGCAAGTCTGTTTCTCCCTCTGGGCTTCAGCAACTAGAGTTGAAATGAGAATGTGAATTATATTACTGTTTTTAAACTGTCACATGGGGGCTTTTGCTTCCCAGAGATTGTTTTATAGGCAGTGCTAGCACAGGTTAGGGGTGGGGTTGGCATAGGAATGGGGGCATGAATGTGCACCGCTCAACAATCCTGCTTTTATCTGCCTTGTCTGTGTCAGGCTTGCATCAGGGTACTATTTGTTCGTTTTGTTTGATTTCCCTCCCTCAGACTCTGCCATGGGCCATTTTTCAGTCCCCAGTTGATACTAAAGCAGAAAAACATTTCTGGTTGCAGAGTACATTTTTCTGCTCCAAAGACTAAAGAAGGGGGATGAGGGGAAGGAAGAGGAAATCAGTGGGTGACTCAGACAGAGGAGGTTTTTCAGGGAGCAGCATCCTCTAAAATGGGGAGGAGATGAGAGCCCTTCTGACCATGGATTACATACAGCACAGAAAGAAAAGAAATCAGCCTGCCGTCACTGGCCAGTGTAGAACCCCCATCCCCATGTCCATAGTTATTTTCAATGTTTGTCCTAGAATTGAATGGTGGATCCATTTTTCCCAATAATCTGGGATTTGTCAAAAGTGTTGATGTGGGTCCGGGGCTTCTCCCATCAGAGGTCGGCCTATTTCCCCTCACCTTGCCGCTGGGCTGGCCTAGAACTTCTTTGGCCAATAAAGTAGAGTGGAAGTGACACTATGCCAGTTCTGGGTATAGCCTTTAAGAGGACTGGCAATTTCTTTTTGTTTTTCTTCAAGCCTTGAGCCTCCATGTAAGAAGTCTAGCTAATCAGCTCAAGAGACCATGTGGAGAGGCCCTGAAACCACATGGAAAGGGGAATGGGTCTGGTGGACCCAGCCTTCCAACCATACCACCAAGGTGCCAGAGATGTGGGTGAACCATCTTGTCTCCTACAGACCAGCCAGTTGCCAGCTGAACATCACTGAGGGATTCCAGCCAATGGTGAAATGAAGGCGTCTCTCACCTGAACTCATCCAGGGCTAATGGAATACAACAGAGAATGGGGTTGGAAAATACTAGCTCACCGCTACGTCAAATAGCCCTTGAACTCCAGCAACCATGGAGCGTCAAATCATTCCCTGGGAAATCCCCCCCTCAAGAAACTTCTGTGGGTGGCACAGAGCACCTTGGCTGGTACGGACCTCAGTAATGTGGGAAGTGACCAGGCTCATCTGAGACTCTTGCCACAAACCTGGAATGCATGTCTTCATTTATTTTGAAAAGCTTCAGGACATTTTCTCTCCCAGATGTTAAGCATTACATGGCAAAGATGATAGAAACAGGCCTAATGAGCCTTTGATTGTTGTATACGCCATGATGCTGTGCTGGAGGAGGTTGAAGATGGGAGACTGGGTCCTCAAAGAAATACTCACAAGTCCTCCCCATCCTTCCAGGAAGAGCCCACCCCTCTCTCAACCATCAGCAAGCCCAACTGTTTTTAATTCCAACAAGTTGTTTTCTTTTATCATTAATTTTGACAGTAGAAAAAAACCCTTTGATATCAAAGAAGGCAGGACTACTCGAAATTATTATTTTTATTAGATTAGTAATAGTGGTGGTGATAAATTGGACCGAGCAAGAGTTGATGTAATGAACCCTCCTGGCCCCAAGCACAAGGCTGTCATCTCCGTTTACCTTGCTTCTTCATTCTGGCCTGGGTTATAAGTGATTGTGTGTCTGTCTCTCTCCCCTCTGGATTTGTCAGCACCTGGAGGGTACAGCCCTTGTCTCATTCACTTTTCTACCTCCCAACTCCCCATGGCAATAAGCACAGAGAGGTCCTTAATCAACGCACCGGATAGGATATTCAGTAAAACCTCAATTAGTTGGAAACCTCATTGAACTGAGTTTTATAAATGACTGTCCACTGGGAGGAGGACAAAGCGAATGTGAGAAATAAGCTCCAGGATAAGATGGTTTCTGTTGCTTTTTTGCTTTTGTCTTTAAAGCATTTTTTTAAGAGATGGGGTCTCTCTGTGTTGCCCAGGCTGGACCATAGTGGCTGTTCTCAGGTGCAGTCTCATTACTGATCATCACTGGAGTTTTGAGATGCTCCATTTCCAACCAGCTGGTTCATCCCTCCTTGGGCAACCTGGTAGCCCCCCCTCCCTCCTGAGAGGTCACCATATTGATGCTCAATTTAGTGCAGACACCTGATGGACATTACACACCGCAGCCTAGGACTCCAGGGCTCAAGAATCCTCCTGCCTCAGCACCCTGAGTAGCTGAGACTACAGGTGCGCACCACCACACCACTTTTTAAAGCATTCTTAAGGGTAGGCCTGGGGTCTGCACGTGGTTAGCTGAATCATCACAAAATATACTTACCCTCCCCAGGCCTGATTGAAGCGTGTAGTAGTCTCTTTTCATACTGCTGATAAAGACATACCTGAGACTGGGTAATTTATAAAGTAAAAGAAGTTGAACGGACTCACAGTTCCACGCAGCTGGGGAGGCTTCACAATCATGGCAGAAGGCAAAAGGTACATCTTACATGACAGCAGACAAAAGAGAGAGTGAGAGCCAAGAGAAAAGGGAAACCCCTTATAAAATCATCAGGTCTCGTGAGACTTATTCACTACCACGAGAACAGTATGTGGGGAATCCGCCCCCATGATTCAATTATCTCCCCCCGGATCCCTCCCACAACACGTGGGAATAATGGGAGCTGCAATTCCAGATGAGATTTGGGTGGGGAGACAGCCAAACCATATCAAACCTAGTTCCTCTTTCACCCTGCACATGATGGGGGCAAACAGAGAAACAGTTTCAGACATTGAATAAAGGTTATCCTGGGGCCTAGACATTCATTCAGCAAGTGTCCATCCACCACTTACTATGGGCACTTACTGTTCAAGGCAGTGGATATGTAACACTGAGCTCACAGCTTGAGTGGGGAAGGAAGACAGATAATGAACAAGGAAACATACAAACAGGTGCCATGTCAAGTGATCCTAAGGGCTACTCTGAAAAATAAAGCAAATTAAGGGAGTAGCTGGGGAGGGGGGTTGTTCCTGAGAAAAGGGAGCTAGGTAGGCCTCCAGAATGTGAATGAAACACACATATAGCTGAGGGAGGAGAGTTCCAGGAAGAAAGGCAAGTGCACAGGTGGGAGAGTACTTGGGAGTTTGGGAAAGGCATTCTGAGTGTCTGGAGTGAGGTGAGGCAGAGGGAGGATAGGAAGAGATAGACCAGAGAGGGAGGCAGGCTGCCTGCTGCTATAAGGAGTTAGGATTTTCCTCTGAATGAGATGGGTTTTGAGCAGAGGTGTAACATGATCTCATTTGCATCTTAAATGCCTAATTCTGGCTTCTGCCAGAACAACAGACTGAGGGGCCAAGAGGGAGAGAGGAGGTAGGAGGCCAGGTCGGAGGCTGCTGCAGGATCCAAGCAAGGGCATGATGTGACTGTGACCTGCATAGATGGGCATGGGGAAAAGGAGTCATTTTCCAGATCAATTTTGATGGCAAGCAGAGGGAGATGAGAGACACAGTAGTTAAAGATGACTCTGAGGTTTGATCCTGAGCACCTGGAGGGTCAGTGTGGGAGGTGGAGGTGTGAGGTGGGACAGGGGAGTTAACCTGTGAATCTAAACATCTTCCCATGTTTAAATAAAATGAGGTTATTACTCACATTGAGGGGCTGTTGCGATGAGCAAATGATGTGAGTGAAGGCAGATTTAAACCTAGCTGCATTATGTCAAGGTTAATCTTTACTCCCCTGTCATTTTTACTTGGCGTCCATGCCATATTCTTTCAAGCTTTCTTACCTATTGCTTCAGAACCTTGGTTTCTTTCCAGCAGACAAATCAGAGTAACCCTGGGAGAGTTTTCATTTTACAGATGCCAGGTCCACCCCTCACCTGTGAATGGGAGGTCCTGGCAAAGGCTGTGGGCTTGGGCACTCCCAGGTGTGTCTGCCGTGCACTCGGCTCAAGAACTGGAGCTTGGCTGGGCATGGTGGCTCAAGCCAGCACTTTGAGAGGCCAAGGTGGGAGGATCACTTGAGGCCAGGAGTTCAAAACCAGCCTAGGCAATATAGTGAGATACGTCTCCACTAAAAATAAAAAAATAATAGCTGGATGTGGTGGTGTGTGCCTGGAGACCCCGCTACTTAGGAGGCTGAGGTGGTAGGATTGCTTGAGCCCAGGAGTTTGAGGCTGCAGTGAGCTATGATTGTGCCGCTACACTCCAGCCTGAACAATAAAGAAAGACCTTGTCTCAAAGAAAGAAAGAAAGAAAGAAAGAAAGAAACTAGGGCATTAGAGGGAACAGGCAAATATGTGAAGATGAGACACAGATGAAACACAGGGTTCTAGCTTAGAAGGCTCTCTAATCGTGGAGCCCAAAAGACTTCAGTTTAAATAAATAGTATTAGGTTTATTATTAACTTAATAATATAGTAAGATTCACTCTAATAATAGAGGGAAATTTGAAGAAAGGAAAAATTTGAATATTTTTGATATTAAAAGTGAGGTTAAAGTGATTTTATATGAGAAAAAACATTTTATTGTTGTAAAGACAGTAGACTACATATTGGAATCATGTAGAAAGTCTTAATTTCTGAATATTCAGTAAGAATTGACTAACACTTTAAACAGTGTAAAATAACTGCTTTAAAAGTCATTTGTGTGTATATGTATGTATACAATATATATATCAGTGAATATAGAAAATAGCAGAAATTACTCAAACTCTTATCAGTCATATTATATGTGGTTTTTAAATGTTTGCTTTCGAAGAAGCACAAAGTAAAAATTTACCAACCACTATCACTCCCAAAAGGCAATGGCACGCTGACCTTTGCTATGAGTTTTGAATTGCCTAACTCCTCCACTGGGGGGTAGCATCTTACATTATTTCCTCTCTGACTCTTATTTCCACCTGGAATATGGGCACACAGTAATTTTGAAGGAAAGAGGCAGGGAAGTGTCTTACACGCCTGCAAATTTAGTGAGTCCTCATCCATTTGGAAGAAAAAGAAATAGATGCTCAGAAAGGTTAAGTGACTTGCCGGAGGCCACACAGCTGGAACTGCTCAGAACTGGTGCTGGGACCCAATTTTAATTGCAAGGACCAGTTTGGTAACCACAATGCAAAGTTCCTCTCTGAGTCCAAAGAAATTATTTCAATCTACCATCAAAAGAGTCCTAAAAGATCAGAGGGTCTGACTACTTATGCGAGTCTCAAAATGGTTTTGGAAACTACAAAGCACTATACAGATACAAGGAGTTTAATTGGTAATAAAATTGTATCCTGGCTGCTTCCTATGGTCCTACCAACATTGCAAACTCCTGGAAGAGGAGCTATGCCTTTCCCTTTGCTTAGAGCCCTCCTGCTGGTGCCCAGCACCCAGTGAGCCCCCCAAACATGCTCACTGAATTGTGCATCTGAATTTGTCCCCTCTGAAATCAGAGGAGGCAGAATTAATTCGGTGAGGAGGCAGAATTAATTCGGTTGCACTGTATTATTAATGTTGCTGAGACTGATATCAGTGTTGAATGCCAGAGGAGCATTCCAGCTGCCTGTCTTCTTGAATAGGAAAAGAAAGTGAGATGAAACAGTTTCGAGTTTCCCCAGTGAGGCCCTGCCTGGTGCTGATTCACTGACTTCTGTTCAGTCTCTGCACCAGAGCGTCCAGTGAATTCCAGGCCCCGCGTCTCACCAACACCACCTATGCCAACAGCTGACATGATGGGAGCTTACCAGATGCCAGACACTGTGCTGGGCTTTACATGTGTATGCTTATTTAGTCTTGCCCACACCCCAGGTCTCAGGAACTACCAAGAATCATCCTTATTTCACAGCTGAGGTTCAGAGAGGATAAATAACTAGTCTGTGGTTAAACAGTCACAAGACATACATCTGTGTTTTTAAGCCTGAATTATTAACCAGTGTACCCTCTAACCTCTGAATATCATAGATGAATCAGTACCTGACCAGTTCACCAAACTCTGGACACCAAGTAAGAAGCCCAAAATCCAAAAAAATATATAAGCCAGAAACAAAGCCTAGGAAGGAAGAATTAATACCACAATCTCAACCTCTCTGTCTCTCTCTCTCTCTCTCTCTCTCTCTCTCAGCACAAGATATTTCCTCTATATTTCATAGAATTAGTTTTGTGTATTCTGTTTGTGCACCAGGACATTGGAATGGAAAGGCAAGAAATCACTGTTACCTCAACAAATAACTAATGTAAAAAGCAAAGGACGTCATTTGAGTTATTGAAGTTCAGAAGTATTTCAGGACACATTTACCAGTGAGTTAGGCATCCGCACTCTTGGGAAACAATGCCCAGGTAATTATTTTAAATGAGCATTAATTATGTCATTATTAGAAATGGGGAGAAAATGCAATTTCCTTCTGTCACTTCTTGATATCTTAACTAGAGGAATATTTGCCATGCTATTATAACAAGTCACTGTTCGCATAATGGTGCCCAGGCAATAATACAGAGACATGTACATTTTCATATGAATATATCATGCCTAACTAATGAGATTGCTCATTTCATAACTTCAGTTCCATTTTTATTATTTCATAAAACTGGAAGTCCTTATCCATTTTATGAAAAACACCAAACCTTTGTGAAATTCATTAAATAAGCATAAAAAATTCATTAAACAAGTGAATTGCATTCAGGGCTGCTTTGATGCAAATGCCCTTTAAGCAATGTAAAACTCCATATTGATTTAACCTTTCATGTTCTGATATTTCCATGTGGATATAAAAAAAATTCTTTATTCAGGGAATGAAATTAAGTGCTGATCCCTTGATCTCCGGCTGGGCAAGATAGATTGGTCAATTTAAGTAGCTGCTGCTGATCAGCAAACAACTGAATTTAAAAGTATTAAGCCATGTCGATATTTTAAGTATTGTCACCTGCACATCAAGCAAAGAGAAAAAATTATTATTCCAGCTCAATTAAGTTTGTGTTTGCTGTCAAGCTGACCTTGAAAGGGCTACCCCATTGGGCCATGGCTTCATGCCCTTGGAAGTTGACAAGGGCAACAGTGGCAAGATGTAAAACACCAACAATAGCCTGAATATTTTGAATTGTGAGGCCAGAACAGCCACAAAATAATTAGCCTGGAGACACCATCCCCTTGGGCTGTGCTCCCTCATTAGTGGGGGGCAGTCAGTGGAGTAGGCACTAGTTCAGAGGAGGGGAAAAGGGCTTGCCCTTCACCCAAGAAATGCTTCTGGGAACCCTCATTAGGTAAAGAGCACAAGGTGGGTTTCAGAGGACTCTAGAGCTGGATGGGCTCTTTGAGATCATCTAGCCACTCATTCATTCATTCATTCGTTCGTTCATCCAAAGTCTATGTGCTGAGTACTGTGGCTGGTACTGGAGAATAAAGTGTGAGTAACATAGCTATTGACCCAAGCCTCATAGAACTCAAAAATTATGAGCAGTTTTGCAGTGAAGAAGCTGATCTCTTTGAAAAAAAATCTGATCCATAGTGTTATATGCCTGAATCAAATCTCAGTTCTGTCATTTACTAATTGTGTTGTGTGGCCTTAGGCAAGTGATTTCGTCTCTCTGAGTGTCAGCTTCTTCAAATTTCTACTTCATGAAGCTGTTGGACCAACTCAATAAGATGTTATATATAAAAACCTCAGCAGAGCAGATGGCAAGCAGTTAAGTGCCTGATAAGTGGCCATCATGATCATCATCATCACTGCTGTGATTTCAATCTGACCTTCTCGTTTTACAGATAAAGAAACTGAAACTTGAAGACCTGAGGTCGCACCAAGACTGAGTAGCAGACTGGGACTCAGAGGACCCTTTCTCATGCCAACGGTGGCTACCACAGCCTCCCACGCTGCAAGCTTTGGATTTCAATGGACTCCTGACTCAGACTGGCTTGTGTGACTGTAAAGTTTACAAACCTGCCAGACTTCAGGTGAAACATGATCCAGGAGCCCGGTGATGTCATCCGGATTTCGTTACTTGCTGTTGATTTCTCTGCTCCATTTGCTTGGTAATGACTCCAACCTTAGCAAGTTTTTCCTCTTGCAGTCCCAAGACAGCTTTCAGTACTCATATGGTTTGGCTGTGTGACCCCCCAAATCTCATCTTGAATTGTAGCTCCAATAATTCCCCTTGTCAAGGGAGGGACTTGGTGTGAGTAATTGAATCATGGGAGCGTGTGTACTTCCCCTGCTGTTCTTGTGATAGGGAATAAGTCTCACGAGATCTGATGATTTTATAAAAGGCAGTTCCCCTGCACACGCTCTCTTGCCTGCTGCCATGTAAGATGTGCCTTTGCTCCTCCTTTGACTTCTGCTATGATTGTGAGGCCTCCCCAGCAATGTGGAACTGTGAGTCCATTAAACCTCTTTCCTTTATAAGTTACCCAGTCTCTGGTATGTATTTGCAGTATGAGAACAGACTAATATAAGTACCAAGGATACTTCCTGCTTCTTTGTGTGTGACCCAGAGAGCATTTCCAGACAAAGACCTGAAAACCAATATTATCAGGGCAGCTGAAGTCACACACCCACTCCTGAGCCAATAAATGGGGCTGGTACATGGAATGTGCTGATTGACTCAGCCTGGTCTCACTCACATTCCACCTTGGGTGAGTAGTATCATCAGCCTGCCCAGAATCACAAAAATCAGTGGCTACTGGGGAAGTGGGGGATGGTGGGACAATACATGCTTGAGATTTAACCATAAACATCCTCACACAAATTTAAAAGCCACACAACACTGGAGGGTAAGGATTCTATCATATCTGACTAGTATTTATAAAAACAACGACATGAGAAAGAGTTAAGTCAGGACTCTTAACAACATACACCACTGTGAGCTCCAACTGGGTGGAGACTACACTTATCCTATTCACCAGCATCTCCCCAGGGCCTGACACTGTGAATTTGGGGTCATTGGTGGTTATGAGTGTCAGACTACTTGGTAGGAGTCTGAATCCCAGCCCTACCTCTTATATGCATGAATTCTTATGTGAAGGAGGAATAATTCAGGATCTAGCCAAAGGGTGTGTGAGCATCCAATGAAGGAATATCTGTAAAGCACATAAAATAAGTCTAGCAAATAGGAATCATTCAAAGAATGCTATTCATTATTATTATTATCAACTGGTACTTCCCAGTCCCAATCTAAGCCTTCAGTGACATTTCCCATTAAACATATTCATAGAAGGAAAAATTGCTGGCTACAACATATCCCACAGTGTCTTGACTTTTTACCTGTATCATTGATGTCCTTCTTTTTAAGACCCAAAGCAAAAGCTACCTTCTCTGTGAACCCCTTCTTCATCCCCAGAGCTGGAAGCAATCTCCCTTTGCCCTCTATTCTCACAGATCTTTCTTTCCCTTTCTTTTGGAGTCCTTGTCAGATTGTATTGCCATTTCCCTCTTACTTTTCCTGAGACACTCAGATGTTTGTGACAATGTATTAAATTCTGCCTAGAGATCAGCCCCACAGTGGTATTTCAATAGAAGACTCAGAGCAACAAGTAAGGGACTCAATCTCTGGGAATTGGGATTGGCATCTAGATGTATCTAGATTTTGAGGATTCCTTTGGTTACAAGCTAAAACTCTGACTCAAACTAATTAGCAGAATGAGAATAATAGTATGGTTGTTGCAATGAGATGGTGACGTTACTGATGCCTACAGATTCAGAGAATGGTAAGTTATTGTAATATTTGTAATTGCAAAGGACTCAGAAATTTACTAAGATGCAACACTCAGCTGAAGATAACACAGCACAAACCCACTAGGGCCTGAAAGTTCCCCAGCTGTGGAGGATGCCATCTGCATGGAGGAAAGATTCGCCAGGTGTAAGAAGCTCTGTGTGCCTATTTTATGGAGGGTGGGGCCGGTGGTTAATACCCTGCTGGCTCCTGTCTTCCCTGACTCTTCTGCAGCCTCTGGTGACTTCCCTGCTCCCTCATACCAACACATTCGTGATTGAGAGATTGGGTGAGTTGCAGACTGATTTTCAAGGATCAAGACCTAGGAGGCCCAAGCTGCAGCCAAGCCTGAGGACCTTTCCTGAAATTGAGTTCTTACTAAGTGTTCAGCTGGAATAGCTCCATGAGACAGGTGCTATTATCCTCCCCATTCTACAGTAGAAGAAACTAAGACACAAAGGGCAGTGAAGTGAGTTGTTCTAGCACCAGAGTTAGTGACCGTATATATCTATGTGATTCCACAACCCAAACTCTCAATCTCTAACCTGTAGTGTGCCCTGTTGATTGCACATGATTGAAGGAAGGGTGAAACAGTTGAACAACTTGAGAGATCCAGGGGTCTATTCTCTTCACCTCAGACTTCTCATTGGCAGGTGGGGTTCATTTTCTCTCACTGCAAATGAGAAGCCTTCTTGGTAAGGAACATGTCTTAATTACAGCTTCTGCATTGCATATCTTGTGGTTCCATTCAGTGTCTGGTGCTGATAAACTTAGGTCAGGGAGACGGGACTCTGTAAGAACTGGGATGTCCCTGCTGGAGTGGGTGGAAGAGCTGATGGGAGGTATTGGTTGTAGAATGCCCACAGAGATGCCCACACAGTAACTAAAGTCTCAGCTTCTCTATAAAGTCATACAGCAAACTGAAAAGATGAAATATATACAGCAAGCAGCCAGTGTCTTTAAAAAAAAAAAAAGATGGAAATGGTCACCAGGTTTTTTTCATCTTTACGTCTGCTTAATGACAAGTATTCTTGCTCACTGCTAGAAATAATAAAGCAAGAGAAAGGAAAGACAGAATAACAAAGATTTGCACAGTTTCTGAGGCTTGGAAATCATGTTTTGGGCAAGGCATAGCCAACAAAGGTTATCTGCTTTTGAATCTTAATAACTAAAGCATGCAAAGCCCCTGTCTGGCATTACCGGTCCTTCTCTGCCCTTATCAAGCTGTGTGACTTTGGACAAGTCACTTGCCCCCCCTGAGCCTTGGCTTCTTCATCTGTGACTGAGCTGTGAGTGAGGCTAATAGGCAATGGTTTTAAAATTATGTTTTGCTGAGCCCTCAGTCCTTCCACAGACAGCATTGTAAGAGGAGGGTCAGGGGCTCTGTGGGTGGGAATCTGAACCCCCAGCTCCACGTTAACCAGTGCAGTCTGCTTTTATCTCTTTTATAATCACAGTTCTGCATGATATTTTGAGAGAAGAAAGAGTTCTAAGGCTACAAAGAAAATGAAAACCACCCTGCCAACTGATCTCGAAGGCCTTCCAGCCCACATATTCTAGCAACAGAGGGAGATAATCGTCTGTTTTCTAGTCCCTCAACCTCTTGCAAATGATTTAGGAACCAAAAAGAAACCACACCCAGATGCCTGTTTGTTTGTTGCCTTAGGGGGTACCAGGATGGCTCTGTTACCTGATGATGAGAAAATCTCCCCCTCCAAGTGTGAAACTCATCGCAAGGAAAGAACTTTCTCCTCTTTTGCGGGACATTGCCCTGACACTGCCTATGAGGGGACATCTTTCTTTCCGCCTTACTGTTTATATTCCCTTCAGAAAATCCAGAGTTGTTGCGGTAAGAGGGAGATTAATTCTCCCTCTTGACTAAATGGTTTCATGTGTAGTTTCTTGGTGTCCATGAGATTGAAACAGAGCTTTTAGAGGCCTGAGCAAAACCATCTATTCATTTGAGTTAATAACAACTGCTGACAAACACTATCTTTTCCATCTTGCTGATAAATTATGCCTTTCATGATGGACATCTGATTGTAAGGCTCTTGGCAGTACTTGAAGGCATTTAACTTAAAACCATTATTAGATTTTAGTATAGTCCTCCCTTGATACCCCAATCCAAAAATAAGACCTTGAGGTACCTCTGAGATATTTAAGTATACGTTTTCTTAGGAGACCACCCTCGCACCAAAGGCAAATACTTTAAAAGTTGCTTCGTAATATTAAAAAAGAGAGAGAAATCGAGAGAGAGAGAAATCGAGAGAGAGAACTGGGTAGGATTTTCATGATTACTAATTTAGCAGTCTCTCAGTTATGTTTTATTGATAGCTCTAAACATAAATTTGCCTTTGGTATACTTTGCTGCTGATGCCTAAAAGAAGACGTGTAAGAACACATAATCCCATGCCTAGGGCTTTTCAGAATAATGTACAAAGGCTCTTTGTGGCAACCCAAGCAAGAGATATTTAAATGGAGAAGTGCAGGGCTTAGGCAGTTCTTCAAATTTGGGCAAAAAGAGAAGTCGCTTGCTGCTCACTCGTGTATCACGCTAAGTCCCAGTGTTCATGCAGTTTTAAACACGACATTTCTCCTGGTTTATTCTTGAATTAGAAATACTGATCTCAACCACATTTTATTATGTGCAATTGGAGAATCGTGTGTGTGAGGCCCCAAGTTCACAGGAGAAAAATAATACATACTGCACTACTTAAGAAGAAGGGGGTTATTTATGACCAAAGCCTGCCGAGGATACCACTGTAATGTGTTATCAGATGCCTTTACAGGCTCAAAGAAACACAAAACTTCGTGCACGCAGCCCGTAAAAAGCAATCACTTTAAAGGATTTGCTGTCAGTTTTTTTTCTCCCGTCTTCTTCCTTTTTTAAATCATGACATGCCAAGGGATAATCAAATGTATATATTTTCTCTTCCAAATACTAATGGGCTTGAACACAGCGTGAAAGACAGAGAGCTGATTAACGGGGAATGTAATGATGCCATTATAGGCACTATTTTCTTTATAAATAAATGATCTCGATAAAATCTTTTATCCGTGAGGAATGCCACTGTGAAGGATGTGATAGCATTTATAACAGGGGATGGAGACAGTCTCTTCCTCCTGACGGATAACACCCTGTTTTCACAAATGACAGGTTAAAAATCAAACCAGTTTTTCTCCAGCTTGCATGCTGCTGGGGATCCAGGCAGTTTAAGAGACCTCAGCTTATGGTACATCAAGGCCCTTCCCAGAAGGGCGAATGGTCTCTTCTCCTGGCCTCGTTTCTGCAGGCAGCAATATAGGGCAGGAACCGAGAGACATAAAGCCCATCTCTTAGTATTATTTTAAAGGAGACAAAGTATCTAATAGTGTGCTCTAGGCAAACACACTCTCAGAGGCAGATCAGCTTAACTCCCTGGTATCCTGGAGCACAAAGCATTTTAATAAAAAAAAGATTTTGGCTGCTGCACATGCGGGTCTGATTCATGGACCTCTTTCATAGATACACGTCCTCAAAGAGAGGCAGCGGGTAGCACACCTGATGTCAAATTGAGCTCCAGGCTTTCTCAACCAACCCTCCCCCTGCCCTCCCAAATCCTACCCCAGGCCCTAGAGGCCAACTGGGGAGGAAAGAAGAGGCCTCCTTTCTCTCCTCCCTGCCATCCCTGCTGGAGCAGGAAGCCCTCCACCTTCCCCACGTGACTGTCCCACTCTAAAGGCACAGCCTCATCCCTCCTA
Organism: Homo sapiens; assembly: GCF_000001405.40. Lineage (NCBI taxonomy): Eukaryota > Metazoa > Chordata > Mammalia > Primates > Hominidae > Homo > Homo sapiens. The sequence goes on from NC_000016.10 coordinate 55,302,821, forward strand.
GTGGGCGGCGGACTCCAGTTTCAAGCACTAGCCTTTTCTCACCTTGGACTGCTGAGCCATTGTCAACACTTCTTCCGGGGGACGTCTCGAAGCTCCTCCCAGGCTGAGAGTGAGAGTGTGAGTTCCAGGGGCACTGGGTGCTTTGCCTTCTTGTAATAAATGTTTCCTGCACTCCTACTGTGTGCAGAATGTGGTGCTGACAGTCAGTTTCTGCCTTGGGGCTGCTCCAAGAGAGAGCGACGGTGAAACTGGACCCCTAGATGTAAAGGGAGAGGCTCCAGTGGAATCTAAACATAGGGCCAGTCATTCATTTGCCTATTTTTGAAAGCGCTGAGTATGCATCAGTTTCTTTACTACTACACGACGATCGCAAGTGTGATCCCTATTTGCCCAGGGACAGCCCTCTGCAACATAACATAATAAACACAGCAACCAGGTGCTATGAGATCGAAAGCTTTAAAAAAAAAAAAAAAAAAAAAAAAACAAATTAAGCAGATCTCTCTTGTGGAAAGCCCAGTCTTATTCAAAAGGAAATCTTGATAAGTCACTGGGGTACAGGGCATCTCCCTACGAAAGGTCAATAAAAAAAATATTTACAAAAATATGCACTTAAAAGAGGGAGTTCTTTTAACTAAAGGATACTTTATTTGCTAAATGTTGGGATGATTTACAAGTTTATGCCATTTTTCAGGGAGGAATAGACAGGTGGAAGGGAGTAAAGGAAAGCAGAAGAGGGAAGTAGAGTAAAGGCAGGCCACTTTTGTGACCCAGGAATACCTTATGTAAGTTCATCATTTTAATGATTGCTAAAACTTTAACTGATAATTGGAATCACTTCAGGAGCAGAGCCAGGACAAGGGTGAGCTAGTGAAGTATCTAGAATGCAGCATTTAAGGAAGCACTCATTCTCAGGGACATGCAAGCACAGGATCACCTCCTGAGAGTGAGTGCCTCCTTAAATTTTAAAAACTAGGCAGTTTCTTTACCTGGTCCTAGTCCCAACCCTGTTGGGAGCCTTAAAAACTACTAATTTCTGAGCCATCCCGCCCCCCAGCCCACCTCTGATTTAACGTGTCTAGGGATCAACCTGGGCTTTGAGATATTTTAAAGCTCCCCAGATGATTCTAATGTGTAGCCAGTTTTGAGAACCACAGACACAGTGGGTTTCCCCAAGCAGGACACAGTAGCAGGGGCTAGAGCTATTAATTATCAAATATCAGGGCTTGGAACAGGGATGATCAGGTTCTTTGCCTGTAATTGGCTCTTTCTTGGGCAGCCTTGCAAAACTTAGGATTTCCCTCTCCCAATGATACAGCCCTATTCTTGAGTAGCTACTGGGAGAGCTTCTGTAACTAGTTCACTAAATTGTGATGACAACCCCAAAGAGTAGATGTTATTACCTTCATGTTATCAAGAGGAAACTGCAGCCCAGAAAGGTTGAGCCATTTGTCCAATGTACCACACAGAGAGGAAATAGGATGTGTCTTATTCTGTTTGTGTTACTAAAAAGGAATATCGGAGACTGGGTAATGTATAAAGAAGAGAGGTTTATTTGGCTCATGATTCTGCAGGATGTACAGGAAGCATGGTGCTAGCATCTGCTTCAGGGGAGGACTTCAGGCTGCTTCCCCTCAAGTGGAAGGCAAAGGCGAGACAGCGTGTGCAGAAATCGTATGGCAAGAGAGGAAGCAAGAGGTGTTGGGAGGTGCCAGGCTCTTTTTAACAATCAGATCTTATGGGAACTAACAAAGTGAGAACTCACTTATCACCATGAGAAGGCAGCAAGGCAGTTAAGAGGGATCTGCTCCCGTGACCCAAACAGCTCCCACTTCCAACACTGGAGTTCAAATTTCAACATGAGATTTTCGGGACAAACATCCACACTATAGCAGGGCTTACAAGATCCAGCCCTGAGTTTTTCTTTCTTCAAAGCACGTGTTCCTAACCTTCTACTAAGCTACAGTAGGCTCTCCTGAACAAGTGGTCATCTTTAATCAATAGTAATGGTAACTGTGGTTCTGAATTTGTGAGCTGTAAATACCTTGACTTACAAAAATCTCCTTGCCCTTGACCTTGGAGAAAACCAAGCCACTGTGTGCCTTTTTACCTCCAGTCACCAGAGTTAGTGGGTGTAGAGCTCTGCCCCCCAAGTCTGTTTCAGTTTGAATCTGATTGCTTCTGGCTCCAGGAAGGGTCCCATGTTCCCATGCCTAGACCTCCTGCTGATGGCAGGTGAGGCCTCTGGGAATGCGAGGTCCACACTAATTGTCTGCAGTCTCCAGCGCACTCAGCCAATGGCAGTTGTCGTGCAGGGATGCTGGGGTGAACACCTACATGGGTCCTTGGATTGACATGTCCCTTCAGCTTGGAGATACCTATGACTCACAAGTCATGCTGGGAAAGGAGCTCTGAAAGGCTGATGCTTGGTTTTCTGAAAAGCACAGATGATTAAAGGCCTGGAGCAAAGGCGGCCCCAGGAAGATGTCTTTCAAAAGCTGACACCATAACCACAGAGCTTCACAAAGAGAATGCAAAGTCCCAAGACCTATAGTACACTTGCATCAAAAACAGAGTGAGCTGATACTGGAATGATCAAGATTTGCATTCTCCGTGGTGCCATCATTTAGCCATAGAAATATCCCTTACTTCTTTTTCTCCTGATAGTGTCACTCTTGTGCTTAAGATCTTTTTTGGCTCCCCACTGCCTACCAAGCCAAGTGCAAGTCCTGTTTCTTCACTTTCCAGTTATATTTACTTGGGCAAGACACCCAACCTCCTAGAGCCAGAGTTTCTTCATCTAAAGTACGGAGATATTCATAGTACTTACTACTTCTGGTACGTTGATTTCAATGTGATTGTGATTTTGCAGCAGGTTCCATCAAGAGGTGGAACTTATTGCCCCACTCCTTGAATCTGGGCTGGCCATGTGAAGCAAACAGAACCCAACAGAGGTGACTGTGTGCCAATTCTAAGCCTAGACCTCTAGAGGCTTTTCATGTTTCAGAATCCTGCCACTGGAATGTGGACGAGCCCAAGCTACCTGACGAAAAGATGTGAAAACAGTCACCAGCCCAGCTGAGGCCACCTAAGACCAGCCAGGCCTAAGATGATCTATTAGTTGAATCCGGATGCATAAGTGAGCCTCAGACCAGCCAAGCTTGGTCTAGATCTCCAGAACCTCTCTATACCCATGATAAATAATAAATGATTGTTCTTTTAAGCTGCTAAGTTTTGGACTAGGTTGTTATACAGTTATAACTAATTGATACACTACTTCATAGGAGTTTTGTGATTATCAAATGAGATCAGGTATCTAAAGTGCTTAGCACAGTGCTTGAAACAGCACAAATGCACAATAAATATCAGTTAGTACGAGGAGTGGTATAATAGTAGCTGCAGCAGAAGAAAATGTTCTAAACTTCTTATAATGTTCAGTATAGCTTGTTTATCTTACCGTACACCACCTGGATTGAAGCCAGATTAAGCTACTCTCCACACATGTATTTCTCACATCTTAAACTTGGCTATACTCTTCCCTCCCACATGGAGTGTTTTCCTTGCATGTGTACCTCCCAAATTGTCCCTGACTTTGAAGATCTAGCTGAAATATCATCAGCTCCAAGAAGCTTTCAATGATGCCAGTCCATGGAATCAATCTCCCAATTCTCTGTTTATCTGTGGTTCTTTGTTGATTTATCATAAGACTATATACTTCACTTTGTATCAGAGTTCATTGTGTCTATGTGCCATTCTCGGCTTCAAGTTTTCTGAGGACAGACCTGAGGACATGTTAATCTCTGCTCTTCCCCGATGGACCTACCACAGTGCCTAAGTCAGAAAGGACAAATTTGAAATTTTAAGTGCAAGCCAGCTGTAATCAGTTGGTAGTGACTTCCTTGAGTGCTAACTTGGAAATAATCCTGAGGCCGTGTCCGGCTCAATCATCAATGTCTTTCAAGGGCACAAAATGGGAAAGGGCAATATCAGAGTAGATATTTGAATATTTGCTGATTACTTCCAGTTTTAAAATTCCATATTTGAAACAAACAAAATATATGATAGTCTGTCTAATTGTTATGTCATCTCAGCTTCATGACATCCCTGTATTTATTTTTCTCCACTTTATGGGAGAGGTTAAATGGCTTGACTCAAATCACTCAGCCAGCAAGCGTCAGTACTCAAACTTGAATATAGATCACTGCCCCTAAACTCAAGGCTGTTTAGACTGTAGGGTATGAATTGTTCTAATTGACATCATAGCCCTGAGTTTATACTTTCATGCACCATGAAAATTCACTTCATTTATGTCAATTGGAATATTTATTTAAAACACAGTAAAGTACACTATAGTCAAAAGCACATATGCACATTGCCCACATACACACAACAGAGAAGCATGAAATCAAAGAACTTGCTTTTAGTTCTTTCCTTCTATAATTCTCCATGTGGGCAACTGGGCATGTGCCATTGTCATTGCTATAATAGCATCATAAGGCGATAATTTAATGACTGACTTTCCCAGTACTAAATAAAGACAACATTTTTAGTATAGTAGCTTTGGCTGGGGAACAGCGGTATTCTGGAAAACCCAATTTTCTGGTTAACAAAAAGTGACTACATGGAATATTATACAATAGTGAGGAATAATGAACTAGATGTACACAGAGAAGTTTGGACAGGTCACAAAAATAGAATGTTTTATGAAAAAATTAGGAAACAGAGCAAAGTTTTTAGAACAGACAAGTTTACATAAATTAAAAACATGTATGTGAAACCACATTACATATTTTACATATATCACTCATATCCATATCATGGGAAGGGGAATGGGAAAGGAAATGGAAATCATGGAAAAAATTTGAAATAAGTTAGCAAGAAGGGGCCTCACCCATCCAGTGATAATAATTTGCTAAAAAATTAAAAAATATGAGCAGCATAACTCTATGGCACAAAGTGCATAACTCTATGACAGAGGTCCATTATTTTTAATTAAAAACAAATTAACTAAATTCAATTAAAGTTTCTGCATAAACCAAATGTGGATTCAAAATATACAAATACCTCGAATACCATCAAAATTGCTTTCCTCTAAAAGTGCTTTTGTATGAAATATACTTTTCTCTGCCTGTTAGTTCATAAATAAATGGGACACTTTCTATGATCCAAGCATTGGGAATACAAAATAATGTAGAATCTCTGCCCTCAAGAAATTTAAGAACTACTAGTACTTATTGAGCACTTATTAAATGCTAAGATCTGCCCCAAGTATGTTACCTATATTGTAATTATTTCTTATAACATGATAGAGATTATTATGTCCTTTTTAAAGATAAGAAAACTAAGGCTAACAAAAGTCAATGATTTTACCCAAAGACACAGCTAGAAAGAGGCAGAGCTGGAATTCAGACTCAAATCCCCCTTTCCATAAAGCACAAGTTCTTTCTACAGAATGACATTGTATACAATCTGATACTGGGGCAGGTGGGGGTGAAGATATAAAGCATACAGAATCTCAAGTGTAATTATTATAAACATCCTATGGACTCTAAGCTTGTTGAGGGCACAGGCCAGTTTTCATTTATCCCTGCAGGGACAGTGCTCAGCATGCTAGCTGACAACATTCTTATTAAATAAAAAAAGTAGTTAACAGCACTATGAACAGAAGTGTGGATTTATGGTCAAACTTTTTGATTAATATCTTTCCAAATGAAGACAATTTTATTGTATTTATCTTTTTATATATAGACTAGGAAGTTTTACAGACACCTATGGATATTGGCACTTAATTGATACCACATGAAACAATAAACCATGTACCAACATGTGCCAGAGAAGATTCTCAGAGCTGGAGACTGTTTGGGTTCTTCTACTTAAATTTAAATCAGTAATCATATCTAGCTTTTAAGTCATCATCATCATCACCATCACACCACTAACATTATTTTTGTAATATCTGCCACTATCCATCAAACATATTCCATATGACAAACCATGTGCTAAGCATTTTGCATGCATCATCTCATTAACAGCCTTATGAATTATTGCTGTTATTTATACCATTTTACAAATGAACAAAATAAACCTCAGAGAAGTTATTTGCCCAAGATCACATAGGTATTAAGCAATAGAATCATATATTAGTCTGAGTAGGCTAGGATATGCTGCAATAAGAAATATCTCCCAAGTATCACTGTGTTAATTTATGCAAGGTTTGCTGCAAGTCTGAGTCTCAAGACCAACTCTCCTCTCTAGTGGCTTAGAGATCCAGTAGCTCCACCATGTCAACACAAAACCTGCACATTTGCAGAAGCAGGGAAAGAGAGTAATGATCATCTCACACGGAGACTTCCTGCTGCCTCCGCCTAGAAGTGACTCACATTGCTCATATTTCTGTATCCCAGACTAGTAACATGAGTTTTTCTAATGGCAAGGAGGCTTGGAAGTATTGTCTCCAGCATATCCAGGAAGAAAAGAAGTGTATATAGATGAACAGTAGGACTATCTGCACAAATAGGGACTCCAAAAGCCTCTTAATCCATGGAGACACCTGCATCCACCATGAATATTAGGTTTGACTTCTTGAATACTTCCACAGGGCATGGCAAGGGTCGTCACTTGCTGTGCGTTGACCCTGTGCTCAGACCTTTACAAGGCCAGTTATGCACTACTGCTTAGCCCTCACAATAATACCATGAGATAGGCACTATTGTCCCCATTTTATAGATGAGGAAACTGAGGCTCAGAGAGATGAGGTGAATTCCCCCAAGCCAGAGCTGAGGACCAAAGCAAGAGTTTTCTACCTCAAAAACTAAACTACAGCAAGATCACAAAACAATTGTATTCATTCACTTTTGTTATTTTACAAAATGATTCCAAATATGTTATGGATTTAGCATTCATGATAGTTCTATGAAGTTAGTAGGGACACCTCCATTTCACAAGTAAGGACACTGGAGCTCAGCAAGGTCAAGGACATCACCAGAGAGGCAATGAAACCAAGTCCATCTATAGGCAGAGGTGAAGCACACTCAAAATAAAGAGTCCCAGTGCCAGGTCAATGAAAGGTACTAGGCACCCCCCCAAACTTGTCCTGGCAGCCCAATTCCTTTGGAGAGAAGGCAAGAGAAATTCTAACCCCTACAGAGTTCATGCTCTTAAACAGTTATAAAAGCTTTAATATCCAGACAAAATCCAGACCTAAGTGCAAAGGTTACTGGAGTTGGGATTTATTGCCAGATGTAAATCCGTCTTCTCTAAGACCTGCTCCAGTTCCCTGGTGCCTCACTTGAAATATTTCATGTGCACTGAATGGATTTGTTGGCTCCCTGTTGCCTTCATAAATTATAAAGTCCAACTTTCTTAAAGTCTGGATCCAGCAAGGGTAGATCTAACTACCCCACGCCAAGCTTTGAATGGAGGACAGCTTTGCTTCATTCCTGGAGAGTGTCGTTATTGACGCTTTCCAAGAATTAATAAATCATGAACTGCCATTTTGGATTGGGGTTGGGTGGGTGCTGCTGGGCTCACAGCAGATCACCCCAACCTTCAGGGCCCAAGTTTGGGCCACACCCCCACCATTCTGTGGCCACAGTTGATTGGTTCAGCCACAAAAACTCTGAGCCAAAAAAATGGACCAATCAGATTCTCTTTTTTAGGAATATGACACTTATTCCAAGGGACATTCCTGTTGGAGGTCAAGATTTCTTCATGGCGGTCCCCTCGAGAGAAAGTCCTGAGCCTCTTGCTGGGATCTCTGCATCTGGCTTCCTAAGGTGGGGTGTCTTAAGTCACCTTTTCATCCCCCTGCCGTTCAAATGTAGCTTTTTCATTTCACTTAGGTGAATCAGGGTCCATTTTTCGTGCAACCAAAAGAATCTTGACTAGTGTCTATGTTAATCCACTCACTCTCATTACAGACACACATAATTTTCAGCTTCTCACTGCCCATGACCCACTTTTCTGTATTCTTCCCCAAAGCTCATGAACTGCACCTACTTACTTTTGAAGTCCCCAGAGAATCACAGAGCAGGGTGTCGGACAGGGAAGAAAACTAGTGTATGCCTGGGCAAGGAATTCCAGAAGACACTGCATTTCATCAGCACTTTTATGTGTGTCACTCTGCTAGAGCCCAGAGCTGCTGCTGATGAGTTACTCAGAGAGACCAAACATCCTTCTCAATGCACCCTGACTACCTTCTCTGGCTCCATTCCATTCATTCCTTCCCATCTAACCTACCATTAGGATCCCTGAGTAGCTCACTCTATGGGCTTTGTGTATGCCATTCACAATGCTGCTACCTGGAATGCTTCTTTTCTTCTCTGATTAAAAATCCAACTAGTCTGTCTCAGCCAGATCATTTATTGGTTCTTTGCACACATACATAAGACAAGATTAGTTAAGATTAGTTAGTTTCATTGCCCATTATGCACTTAGCATGTCACATTATTATTATTTTCTGATTTATTTAATAATTTGTCTCCCAGTGGACCAGTTGTTATTTAAACATCTCTTCCTTCATAAGATTAATGCTCCAAATTAGCTGTCATATGCCTCTGTTAAAAAAGGACTTCTGGATTATTTGCTTTTTTTGAGTCGACTCTTAAACAGATGTGGCCTCATGGAATAAGACGCTAGAAAGAATCAGTTATTAAATGTTATAAATCAGTTATAAATGCTGCCCTGTAAGCATGCTTGGCCCTACATATAACTAAAGGGAAAAGAGTACAGGGTGGGGTGGGAGAGAGTGGGAGACAGGAAAGTATGTAAAATGAAAGATAACAAAGAAAAAAAAAGGCCAATCTCAGCAGATTCTCTTTTTTGCTGTTGGCTAGCTTCTGCCTGGGCACAAATCCTCTTAGAACGTGGTCATCCATCAAGAGTGCCCATCAAATATCCCATGGTCATTAAGAGAAAAAATACAGTCTCCTCCATACTGAGGAATACTACATAGGTGTCAAAAGAGGGGTATCTCTGTGCATGTTGGAAAGATGAAGAAATAGATTCTTTTTATTTTATTTTAAGTTCCAGAGCACATGTGCAAAATGTGCAGGTTTGTTACATAGGTAAACGTGTGCCATGTTGATTTGCTGCTCCTATCAACCTGTCACCTAAGTATTAATCCCAGCATGCATTAGCTATTTTTCCTGATACTCTCCCTTCCCCCTTTTCCCTACCCACAGGCCCCAGTGTGTGTTGTTCCCCTCCCTGTGTCCATGTGTTCACATTTTACAGCTTCCACTTATAAGTGAGAACATGAGGTGTTTGGTTTTCTGTTCTTGCATTAGTTTAGTGAGGATAATGGCTTCCAGCTCCATCATGTCCCTGCAAAGGACATGATCTCATTCCTTTTTATGGCTGTACAGTATTCCATGGTGTATATGTACCACATTTTCCTTATCCAGTCTATCATTGATGGGCATTTGGGTTGATTCCATGTCTCTGCTATTGTGAATAGTGCTGCAATGAACATTCATACACATGCATGTATCTTTTTAATGGACTGATTTATATTCCTTTGTGTATATACTCAATAGTGGGATTGCTGGGTCAAATGGTATTTCTGGGTCTAGGTCTTTGAGGAATTGCCACACTGTCTTCCCCAATGGTGGAACCAGTTTACATTCCCACCAACAGCGTAAAAGTGTTCCTATCTCTCAGCAGCCTTGTCAGCAGCTGTTGTTTCTTGACTTTTTAATAATCGCCACTCTGACTGGCATGAGATGGTATCTCATTGTGGTTTTGATTTGCATTTCTATAATGATCAGTAATGCTGAGCTTTTTTAATGTTTGCTGGCATCATAAATGTCTTCTTTTGAGAAATGTCTGTTTATATCCTTTACCCATTTTTTAATGGGTTTTTTTTCTTGTAAATTTAAGTTTCTTGTAGACTCTGAATATTAGACCTTTGTCACATAGATTTCAAAAATTTTCTCCCATTCTGTAGGTTGTCTGTTCACTCTGATGATAGTTTCTTTTGCTGTACAGAAGCTCTTTAGTTTAATTAGATCCCACTTGTCAATTTTTACTTTTGTTACAATTGTTTTTGACGTTTTTGTCATGAACTCTTTGCTTGTGCCAATGTCCTGAATGGTATTGACTAGATTTTCTTCTAGGATTTTTATAGTTTTGAGTTTTACATGTAAGTCTTTAATCCATCTTGAGTTAATTTTTGTATAAGGCGTAAGGAAGGGGTTCATTTTCAGTGTTCTGCATGTGGCTAGCCAGTTCTCCCAGCACCATTTATTAAATAGGGAATCCTTTCCCCATTGCTTGTTTTTGTCAGGTTTGTCGAAGATCAGTTGGATGTAGATGTGTAGTCTTATTTGTGAGTTATCTATTCTGTTCCATTCATCTATGTCTCTGTTTTCGTACCAGTATCATGCTGTTTTGGTCACTGTAACCTTGTAGCATAATTTGAAGCCAGGTAATGTGATGCCTCCAACTTTATTCTTTTTGCTAAGGATTGTGTTGGCTATATGGGCTCTTCTTCAGTTCCATATGAATTTTAAAATAGTTTTTTTCTAATTATGTGAAGAACGTCAATGGTAGTTTAATTGGAATAGCATTGAATCTATAAATTACTTTGGACAGTGTGGCCATTTTCATGATATTGATTCTTCCTATCCATGAGCATGGGATGTTTTTCCATTTGTTTGTGTCCTCTCTAATTTCCTTGAGTGGTGATTCATAGTTGTCCTTGAAGAGGTTCTTCAGTTCCCTTCTTAGTTGTTTTCCCAAGCATTTTATTCTCTTTGTAGCAATTGTGAATGGGAGTTCATTCATGATTTGGCTCTCTGCTTGTCTGTTGTTGGTGCATAGGAATGCTTGTGATTTTTGCACATTGATTTTGCATCCTAAGACTTGGCTGAAGTTGCTTATAAGCTTAAGAAGCTATTGGGCTGAAGCAATGGGGATTTCTAGATATAAGATTATGTCATCTGCAAACGAAGACAATTTGACTTCCTTTCTTCCTGTTTGAATACCCTTTATCTCTTTCTCTTGCCTGATACCCCTGGCCAGAACTTCCAATACTGTACTGAATAGGAGTGGTGACAGAGGGCATCCTTGTCTTGCGTCGGTTTTCAAGGGGAATGCTTTCAGCTTTTGCCCATTCAGTATGATATTGGTTGTGGGTTTGTCTTAAATGGTTCTTATTATTTTGAGGTATGTTCCTTCACTACCTAGTTTATTGACAGTTTTTCACATGAAGAGATGTTGAATTTTATCGAAGGCCTTTTCTGCATCTATTGAGATTATCATGTGGTTTTTATCTTTAGTTCTGTTTATGTAATGAATTACGTTTATTGGTTTGCATATGTTGAATGAGACTTGCATCCCAGGGAGGAAGTTGGCTTGATCATGCTGAGTAGGCTTTTTGATGTGCTGCTGGATTCAGTTTGCCCCGATTTTACTGAGGATGTTTGCATCAATGTTCATCAGGGATATTGGCCTGAACTTTTTGTTGTTGTTGTTGTTGTTGTATCACTGCCAGGTTTTGGTATCGGGATGATGCTGGCCTCATAAAATGAGTTAGGGAGGAGTCCCTCCTTTTCAATTGTTTGGAATAGTTTCAGAAGAAATGGTACCAGCTCCTCTTTGTACCTCTGGTAGAATTCAGCTGTAAATCTGTTTGGTCCTGGGCTTTTTTTTTCTTTTTTTTTTTTTTGGTCGGGGGGGTGGGGCGGATTGGTAGGCTATTTATTACTGCCTCAATTTCAGAACTCATTATTAGTCTGTTCAGGGATTCAGCTTCTTTCTGGTTCAGTCTTGGGAGGGTGTATGTGTCCAGGAATTTATCCACTTCTTCTAGATTTTCTAGTTTAACAAATAGATTCTTAAGTGAAAAGGAAAAGCAGTAGAATAGCATTCACTGTATAGAAAATAGCTAACATCTCTGAGTGGTTGCAATGTACAAGGGATAGTTCTATGTGTTTTACATAATAAGTTACTAAATCATCAGAAGAAACCTGTGTGGCAGGCTTATCATCCCCATTTTACTGATGAGGAAATTGAAACACAGAGGCTAAGCAACTTGTTCAAGATAATGTAGCTAGTAAGTGGTGGGGCCACTAATCAGGCTGTCCATATACTATGCTATACTGTATCAGCTGCCTCCATCAGGCTCCCAACCACCAAGCTGCCATTATGTGTGTGTGCGTGTGTGTGTTTGTGTGTGTGTGTGTGTGAGAGAGAGAGAGAGAGAGATTTCCTATGTATAACTTATATTTATGTTATTAACATAGAAAATTCTGGAAGGCAGCCAAGAAACTGTTCGGAGTCCATGCCTCTGGGGAGTGGGGATGAAATAATCAGATGACTTATTTGTCTCTTTGCACCTTCCTACACACGGTCTCAGGAATTCATTCAGCTGTAAGTAAAGAAAAACAAATTAACAGAGACTTAAACAAAACCAGTTTATTTGTCTTAAATAACTAGAAGTCCTGAAGTAGTGGTTTATTGTCTCCTTGGTATCAGGGCTACTTTCCTGCAATTATCTTGGCCTCACTGTCATAGCAACTCTCCTTCTTTGTTTTATTTTTTTCTCCATGGGATTCTTCTTCATCCAACATCCATGTATTTTGCCTGTGTACCTTGTTTATTGTCTATCTTCTGTTCTAGAATGTCAGCTCTGTGCGGATGGGGACTTTGTTTTGTTCTCAGCCATATCCCAGCACCTTAAAACCCTACCAGGTACAGAGTAAGTGCTCAATAAACATTGTTGAACTAATGAATGCTTTAGTTATCATGGCCATATTCAAAAGAAGGTGGAGGTGACACCACTGCCTCTGTCCTCTTCTATTATGAAAACAAATGCTTTTTCAGAATCTCCCACTCAGATTTCCTCCGAGGTTCATGGAGCAGAATTGGGTCACATAGCATGCTTCTCTCCCCTGAGCAGAAGATGCCAGAAACCCAGGAGCAGGAGGCCATGACTGCACTTAGCCATGCCGGACAACATGAAGGTGTTGTTAGCAAGGAAAGACCAGGGAGCAGGTATCAGCTGGACAGCCAGCCACATCTCCCACAGGTTGTTGACTTTTCATCATGTGCATGTTCTACTTTTATTTCCTGTTTTCATTGAATACAGATTTCTGGGTCCCAAGGCAGGCTTGCTCAGAATCTCAGAGGGTGAGACTAGGTATCTGTGCTTTTCAAAGATTCTGATGCACCAACAATAGTAAAAATAACTTTATGGAAAGACTGCATTTAAAGTTAGGAGAAGGGGTTTATGGTCCTGGAAAAGAAAGTGGCCTTTGTAGATCATTGAATTAAACGTCTCCATTTTGCAGATGAGTAAGCTGAGGCTCCCAGAGGGGAAGAGACTTGTCCAAAGCCTGCCAGGCAATCAGAGGCAGAGCCAGGGCAAGATTCCAGAGTTCTGTCTCCCAGACCAGGGCTTTGCTCCCTTCAACCCTTGGCCTTATTCTTCACCATTGCATGTTTACAGCCAGGGGCAGGACCCTCCCATAATTCACATTTAACTTTTACAGAGAAACAACCAAGTATCAGTTTTCCCTTTCTCCCTTTAACTGCATAATCTAGAGTAATAAATTAGTCCCAAAGCAAAAAGATGCCCTTAATCCCCACACTACTTTTTTCATATCCCTGTGGTGTTTATAATGTAAAAAGAGTTTTAGTAGCTAATATCCACTCTCCGCCTTTCCTTTATTTATATGTATAAATTTCTATTTTATAATTATAGTTGCAGGTTTCCCCTCTGCTCTACATCTGCCCTCGAGCCTAAGAGTGACACAGGAAATAGTTTATGTTCTCCGGCCTACACTGACAGTCTAATCCCGCTCCTGTATTTCATGCTGTCTCTGTCAAGTTCATTTTCTCCTGGCCATGAGATAGACATGATTCCCAATGCCTCCATCTCTGCAGACTCAGCGCAGCATGGGCCTGGGAGGAAACCTAGCTACCCACCTCTGAAAGATGTCAGCTTCAGGGCAGAGGGCTTCAGAAATGCAGGCAGAGACTCACACCAAGATCTCATTGGTGAATTTATCCCATTGATTAAATACTTCAGCTTTAGCGTTGTGCCTATGTAATTGTTATGAACATTGCAAACTCTCTTTCTCTTTTGGACCTGTGGTTGGAGCAAACCTGAACAACCAGAAAGCAGAAGTGCATGTGGCATTAAAACTGTGATGGGAAATCCAGTCTCCAAACCAAAATGAAAGAGGCAAGGTGCCCCCTTCCCAGAGGTGGAAAATGCTGCTGGGCTGCCACCCAAAGTCTGTGTCAAACTCCAAGATCAGACTTTTCTTAAGTTCTTTATGCTTTCTTGAAAAAGGTGCTTAAGTCCGTAAGAGGACAGACAGCAATCCAAACACCAAAAGTTTGCTGGGTTTTCTCTTATGCTAATCAGTTATGTGACCTGAGCCAGTGGCTTAACCCTTCTGAACCTCAGCTGCTCATCTGTGAAAAGGGGGTGAGAAAACCTGCCCCATATAACCCCCAGAGTGACAGGGAGAGTAGCAGAGAGCAAGTTATGAAAGTGTTATACATGTAACAGGTAATATGAGAAGATTTCAGGCAACTGAAATGCTGATGTTCCAAAATTCCAACCTGGCTATACTCCCTCCTCCAGCCCCATCATCCAATATTTATGAGAGGTGTATTTGCATGGTCATTTGGACGTTAACTGTGGCACTAGGTGAAGGTAAATGTGTAAAATATCAGCAGAGCGTCCAAAGGCATTGGTGTCAAGAAGACTGTAACATCTATTTGAATGCCCCAACTTTGTCATTTTCTATACAGATATTTGGTATTGCATAGACATAAAAGGGCAGAGAAAGCCAACCATGTGATATAGAAGGATCATGGCAGCTCAGATCAACTACACGTTAGGTGAGGTCATGATTTTTGAAATCACATTATCTTGGCAATTAAGCACTTAATGTGAAACGTGTTATTTTCTGAAGACTTGGAAGCCAGCAGCTTGAGCTCAAAGCCTAGATTGTCAATACTGCTCTATTACACTGGGCAAGCTTCTCTCTCATAGACTAAGTTCTATAAAATGAAACAAATCATAACCACTTTTTAGGTAGAAAATATAGTTAAATTGCAAAGTCCACAGGTGCAAAGATTTTGTCTTGCTGACGCTAAATCTCCAATTGCTAACTCAGTGTTCTTTAATAACAAGCACTCAGTAGATGTTTGGTAAAGGGATGAATGAAGGGTAAATTATACATAATTTAAAAGTGCTCAACCTTGTGGTTAGAACCTTTTGCGTATTCCATCAACATTAAGCCCCTTTCCCAAATTATTATGGTGTTAGATAAGTGATTCCAGGATGATCTGAAAATGTTTAACTCATGAGCTGTAGCCTGCTGAGGGCAGGAACCTGCTTTTATTCAGTGCTAAATCCTCACCTCCCAGAACCAAGCTTGGCATTTAGTAGACACTCAAAAAATGTCTGTTGAATGAATGATACGTGTCTTTCTTTCCAGACAGTCTGTGTGCTACTTGAAGAGAAGGGCTAGCATCCTTGTATTCTCTCATTTTCTTATGACTCCCTCATACTGTACATGCACAAAATATATTCAAGCATTCGTAGTATTCTAGAACCACAGTCTGTCAGGGGTGTGAGATTGCTTTAAACCACCACAATCTGTCAACAGCAAATAAGGATGATGATGACCATATGATAGCTTTGACTCCAAAGTAACAGAAACATCTTCTATTGCCTCTGAAACTCTCTGCAGTCAGAATCTCAACAGAAAATTGCAATAGAAAATACTCACTGTAAAATTCCACAACCTCTGTCACTATGAAAAATGTCATGGAAGAAATTTTTTTTATAAAACAGGAACATGCAAAAGTAATCAGTGCTGGAAAACTCAAAGATAGATGAAGAAAACAAGAGGAGCAGATCCAATAGCTCTGGTTTTATGAATAGACTGTTCTACCGCCCCACTCATCTGTAGGGTCCTCATGAGATCTTTTTTTTACAACAGGTTATGAATTATCCTCATGATGTCTTTAAATGGATGATCAATACTATATTTTCCCATAAAATGTTTGGTTTGAAATCCGATTTTAAGTGCATTAGAGTTTTTGTGCACCGAGTGGGTGAATGCCATCATAAATTGTCATCAAATATGAAAGAAATATAGCATAGATTAATTGCCATATTTATTTATGAGTCTATAAAATACCTTGTGAAAGTCCTGGCACATTTTTGGGATGCCAATTTGAACCTTCAGGAAAGTTAAAAGCATTAAAAGAGACTGCAAGGAGATTTATTATCAGAATGTTTTTAATTGCAGACCTAAGCAGACATGCAGGTATTAGAACAGCTATGCTCTTAATGGGCATGTCTCATGTGTTTCTCTCTCTCTCTCTCTCTCTCTCTCTCTTTTCTTTAAAAATGATATACTTTCCATATTTTTATTGATTTGTGAAGATTTGTTATAAATTACCTATGGCTAGCACGTGACATTACAAATGGTCCCAGCTTCCCTAAAGTAGTGGGCCCCAGGTGGCACAGAGAAGAACGATCCCGGCCAGTTCTAATGCTCAGCTTTAAAAGTAGGAGGAAAGCATGGGGAAGAGAATTCTACGGAAATGCTGCTAATACGATGAAAATGTATAAAGCTGGAAGCTGCTCATGTTTTAATTGAAAGCTTCACGTCTACAGTGGTGAAATCCTTTAGGGGGAAGATGACAAAATATCCTTATAAACTCCATGTTAGCAATGCTTCAGTTAGAGGGCTGTTTGCAACAACATACAGCCCCTCCTGTAGCTGAAGCCAGCAACACCATGGCTCCCTTTCTTGATTGTCTAGGCCATGATTCTATTTCCTAATTGTATACTGAAGGACCATTTCTAGGTCCTATCACATAGGGAGAAAGGGGCATAGCATCTTATCCCGGTGAGTCCCTATGTGTTATTCCTTTAAAGTCTTAATTTCTTACATGCATTTCTTTTCGAAAGACTTAGGCTTCAAAAATTGTTCCCTGGTTTTCAAATCCATACATCTGTTGTTTACTTTAAAGTTTAATTCCTTGAAAACACATCAGATGCCTTGAGCTTTTCATTAGAAAGATGCCGTCATCTACAGGATAAAAATAATCAAGAATTTTTATACATAAAAACTGCTTTGAAAATGAGAAGTTAATGCAGCAAATCTCCCCACCTGCTGATGCCAAAACCAGATTTTTTAAAAATTCCTCTTCCTGAAAATAGTCCGTAACTAATTTCAAGGAGTTGTTTTTAAACCATTGTAGAAATAGAGACATTATCTTTTGGCTGGAATTTTTTTTTTTTGAAGATTTTTTTTTCGGCAGGGGAGTGGTGCTATTTTGGTTTTTTGTATGTTTTTATCAGTCATGGCTGGGTCTGTTTGCTCTTTGCCATTCAATTAATGATTCGCACCAAATTTCTAAAACTCCCAATTACTACATAAGCTCTTTCATAATACACAGTCACATCAAACAGGGGGTATAGACCCTGAACTTAATTTTCTTACAGTGACATCTCTTTAAGATTTTTTCTCTGCTAAATTATACTGCATCATCATGGCACACACTATGTGAATTCACACAGTCCAACTGGAGTTAGCAATATCTCCTGGCTGTGATTGGCTTTCTATATGTTTGAAATATGGTTCTGTGAAAAGACCCAGAATCAGGAGGTCTGAAGTCTGATCCTTCCTCTGCCACTTACTTGGCTGTGTGATCTTAGACTTGCTTCTCACCTCTCCAATATCCTTATCATGAGCCTTAAATAAGATAAAGCAGAGGTGTTTAGGAAAGCTCCCAAGCACTCAACAAATGCTACAGAATTTTACTATTATTAACACACTTTATTAATTTTAACTCTAAACTGAAGTACAATGCTGTCAAACCAAGACCTCTTCATTCAGTCTTATTTTTTACTTTATCCCGAAGAAGTTAATTCTTTCTTTCTATTTGGCACCTTTTTGACAAGAGGCTTCAACACTCTCATCTGGGAATTATTGTCTTTTTATTTTCCCCTCCTGATGCCAGAGTTGCTGTTGACAATATGTATTCAGGCAAGGCAGGGACTCACTGCATTTCACAATCAGATGCCATGCACACTACTTCCGTCAAAACAATTAGTGTTCATTTCGGCTTTACTCCATGAGACCTGCGGTGACTGATCAGTATAAATTATAGATGCATCTGTCCAGATGCACTTGTTCATTCATGCATAGATTTGAGGAAATTTCATTCTTCTCAGTTCAAAAACAGTCACTAAAAAATCCATACTTAAAAAATATAATTTAGCACATCTTCAACTCTGTTATTATGTTCGTGTACTCGCTCATTCCATCTGGGATTTGAGGCATTTGAAGTTGATTTGGGGCATTTCCAGGTTGTTATATTTCCCCCTGTAAAATCTGCTGTCTTTATAAATCATTAGAAAATCATAGACTTTTTTAACCCAAAATAATGAAATACAGTTTGTTTTTCCTCTTTTATTGTTTGTTTGTTTTTTGTGGTACCTGCATGCAAGCTTATTGTGAAACATACATACTTTACTCCGCCTGCTCAGGAACTTCAGTGCATTTGAAGCAAAGCAATAAGAGCTTCAAATAAACAATGTGGATTAGTACTCTCTGGTACACATAGGCTTTTGATTGTTTAATTTGTTTCACATTTGTTTTAATGAGCAGCTAGAGGAACTATCAGGCATGTTGCACAGTACAACAAAAGAATCTCTATCATTTGTTTAAAATACTTTAGGTGGAATGACTCCCTTAAATATAACTGGGAGGGTCTATATTTGATGGATTTATTTACTTGCTTCAATAAAATTCTATGTGTACACATATACAATTGGGGCTTTTTCTCCGAAACTAAATTAATCAGTGCTGAACAAAGCAATGAAAAGCTGCCGGGGTGGAGAAGCCCAAGGCTGCTGAAGTGGGAGTCTGTGAACCGTCAGGAGGACAAAAGCAAATTCCACTGCAGCTTCCCCTCAATCAGATTTTCCAAGAAACAGACATCTTCTCACCTGAGGTTTCTGCCAGACAGAGGTTGATATTGGCTTAACCCACTGGCATTGTTTTGTTACGAGGGTCCCAAAATAACAAGAAGAGTAGGCACATTTCATAAAAACCATTTTTAGGAAACCCCATTAAATGCTCAAGGTGGTAACAATCAAATGTCAGCAAAACAGGGGAGGTTTACCGTGGGTGCAGCCTCTCCCTGGGAAGGAAATGTTAAATCAAGGTCTTGCAAGGCTGGGAAGCCGGAGGAGACATGGCAGGCCTTCCTCCCTGGGAAGTATTCTGATAGAAGCTGCAAAAAACCATCAAGCAACTTTGAGGACAATAGAAAAGGTGTCTTAACATAAAACCTGCTCTTTTGTTTGTTCGCTTGTCTTTCCAGAAGAAGAAAAATGCCAAGATATCTTCATAGTCCTACTTCCCAATTTTCTTCCCCACTGTTCCTCAACATCCTCTTTTCTTTTTAAAAAATTGTGTTGCTTTTCTCAAATCCTAGAGAGCAAAGACAAGAAGTAGGCCTGGAGGCCCTGCACACAGCATTGATAAAACAGAGGTCTTATAAATCAGCTAAAAATCAATAATTCCTATATGGTAGTTTCTCCTTTGCAACCATATCGCCAAGGGACAGGGCTAATGCTTTTTCTCCACCACCAGCCCCATTTTTCTGTCATAAAATTTTTAAAAAAAATTCTGCTTAGGAACAAATGGGCAATCGAAGTTGCTGAGTCAGTATTTCTACTATCTAATTTTATTACTTTACAATTGACATACCTTCCCTCTGGAAATGTTTGCAATTAATTAATTAGCAGTAATCTTCCCCAAGGGATGAATTTAATGAATACTCTCCAATTCTTACTTTAAAAAAATAGCATAGATGTATCCAAGCTGCAAATGTGTGGATAGTTCCAAAGTGCATTTTGAAAAATCAAGGGATCTATCTATTACTGTGAATTTTTATCACTAAGTCAATCTGGTGAGGACTATAATTCTTTTTCTAACTAGGAGTTTCCCTGGATGAACGCAAGGTTTCTCCAAGGTAACAGCAGCAGCAGCAGCAGCAGTAGCTGTGTTTGTTAGTATTTAGAATGGAGCTTGTCCTCATGTTAACAATCTCTTAAGCAGAGGAGTCTCTGGTTTGTGGCTTAAGCTCCTTGAGCATTCTGCAGAATGTGTTTTTAAAACGGGGTGTGGGGACCTAGAGATGTCATGCTAAAGAGATCAGTGTAAGGTGCTAGTGGCAAACTTGGAGTTGAGGTACGCCCCGTCCAGGACCCCAGACCTTGCCCCGCCTCATACAAGAACCCAGAGCCGTTGCTATCTTCTGGGCCACAGGCTCTCGCGTTTCAACTAGAAAATAAAACTGGGCCCTTGAACCAACCCCTATGGCTCCTTGGAGGAGTTGCAGCAAGAGCCTGGTGCAACTTTAAAAGTATAAAGCGCTTTTAAAAGTATAAAGCGCGGTGACCCCGGTAAGTGAAAGGCAAGGCTTTCTGAGGTTTCTGGCCTGCAAATCCCACTGGATTCCTGCAGTGCCCACCGAAGACCTTCCCCTACCAGACCGACAGTCCCTTTTCACCCCTAGACGTCGCGGGTTGGAGGCTCTCAGAAGGGCAGCTGGGGCCAGAGTACTGAGCCTTCAGATGTGCAGTCTACCGTGCTCGCAAATTGGAGGTTCCATGTCTCGGGGCCAGGCCTAGAGGAGGCAGCCCCTTCCTGGGTACCAACGAGCCTCCCCCACCCCTGCCGCCGCCCACCCATCAGTGCCCCTTTGAAGACCCCTGGGATGGAGTGAGGGGGTGGTCAGACCGCTGGGCCCAGCCGGGCGTCCAGGAGGAGCGCAGGGAATGGGCCGCCCTCCCGGAGCGCTCCACTGCGGCTCTCCAGCGCCACCCCCAGCGGAGCGCAGGGGCTGCAGCCCGGACCGGGAGCCTTCTTCAGGCTCCCTGGCTGCCCCGCGGCCACTGCGGGAGGCGCGCGCGCGAGGCAGCCAAGCCTTGCCTTCGGAGGAGATGCCCAGGGATCTTAGCAAGCAGCCTGCGGCTGCCAGGGATCGGACCTGGCGAGTTTCCCGACGGAATCTGAGGGATCCCGAACCTCGGCCTCGAGGGGGCGCTATCCGGCCTACTCGAGGACCAGGCAGCTGCAGAGAAGCTCCAAGGTCAAGGCCCTGGGCCAGGCCAGGGCTTGGAGAGCCGGAATCTAGCCCGAGTCCTGGGGAGGCTGAGGCGGGGAACCAGATCCCCGAGGACAAAGATGGGCGGGCCAGTGGGATCCACCGACGCTGCCCGGAGCTGCTCCAACGAGAGCCGGGCCTGTGGCGTGAACAAACTTTACTTCAGCGCAGGGGCGGAGGAACCGGGCTGGAGGCTTCTCCCCCGGGCCTCTGCTCTCCTCCACCTGCCAGTGCTCAGCCTCCGCCCAGCCTTCGCCCACCCCAGCTCCCTCCCCCTCCCCCACGCGCCTCTGTTCACTCAGACTCCTGTCTCCCCTCTCCCCTCCTCCTTCTCCCTCTTGCCTTTCTCCCCCACTTTTCTCCTGTCTCTTCTTTTGTATTCTCTCCTCCCTCGCCGCCCCGGTTGCCTCTCGCCTCCTCCGGGCCGCAGGGGAGGAGGTGAGCGCGCTGCGCCCGGGGCCTGCGCGGCTCAGAGGGAGGCGTTTCTCCTACTTCTCCCGGGTAATTTGGAGAGGTTGTGTGTGTGTGCGCGCGCGCGTGAGCTCCAGGCGAAAAGGGGTAGGATTCAGCGCCGAGCAGAGAGGGTCAGGGTTTTTGACGTTCCTCGCCAGCTGCACAAACCTCCCGGAGCAAGTGTGAGTGTGGGTGAGAGTGCGCGCGCGCGCACGGGCTGGCTGCGCTTGGCACGCTTGGTGGCCCAGGGTCCCGGGGCCCGGGGTCCCGTCTGGCGGCCCGGGATTACCGTGACGTCACATTGAGCCTCTGGCCACCTTGGACTGGGACACCTCCGGAGCCTCACAGCCCCGCGCCGCGCCGCGCCTCACCTCGCCACCACGCGCCTTTGGGAACCCGCATCTTCTTCCTTCCCCTGCCCATCCATGGGCCCTTCTGTCTTCCGGACCCCACGGGCCGGAGGGGCGCCTTCCGGAGCGCAGGGCTCGGCAGCCGGGCTGCCCTCGGCTCTGCCTCCACTGGGGCCAACCAGGCGAAGGAACCGGCGCTGGGCATCCGCAGCGGTGTAAGGAACTGAGACACCTCACTGCTGGGGGCGCGGAACAGCTGGGCTGAGACGGGAACTCGACAGGGAAGAGAGAGACGGGCCAGGGACAGCCACCATGTCCTTCCCACACTTTGGACACCCGTACCGCGGCGCTTCCCAGGTAAGAGGCGCCTCTATGGGGGATAGGGGACAGACTGGGTGGAGGGAGTGCCTAGTGCACGGCGCCTGCCTCTGATCATCCTCCTCTTGTGTTCTGGGGGAAGCCAGAAGGAGCAAGGACCAGGGTAATGTGTCACAGCCTCCTCTGACATCCCCAGTCCCTAAATGAGAACGTTTCACCCCGGAGTGCACGCTGGAAAATCTTGTGACCTGAAACATGAGCACTCTGACCACGCGCTCAGTGAGGTGGGTGGGATCACAGGGATCTCCCAGTCAGGCCTCCTCCTATACAGAAGTCTGAGGTGGCCGGGAGAGAAAGAAAGAAAGAAAAGAAAGAAAGAAATAAGGAAGGAAGGAAGGAAGGAAGGAAGGAAGGAAGGAAGGAAGGAAGGAAGGAGAGAGAGAGAGAGAGAGAGAGAGAGAGAGAAAGAAAGAGAAAGAAAGAAAGAAGGAAAGAAAGAAAGAAAAAGAAAGAGAAAGAAAGAACTTGTAGGCTACAACGCTGTCCATCTCACCATATTGTTGTTGATTTGTTGACCTCGGCTATTCTCCTACCCCTTCCTTGGGCGGGCCCAAGCTCTCCGGTTCCCTCGATTTTCCAAACCAAAGTGGATGTTGTGCAATGACAAGGGTTTCCTGGGAAAGTTCTGCGGACACCCCCTCCACTGTTCTCCAGCTTTTCTCTAGAGTTCTGAGTGTATTTTCCTGTTGTCTAGTGCCGGCTCGACCTTTGACCTGCTGTGTGATCTTAGACAAGTCTCACACTCTCTCTGATTATCCACTCCCAATCTATAGAATGGGAGCAGGAATGAGACGTTAATAATGGTCTCTAAGGCCACCTTCTAGCTCCGCCTTTGCAGGATCCTGGGAGGAGGGTAGGGAAGGGAGCAGAGGGTTTGGTGTCTTTAATTCCGGTTTCAAAATGTTCACATTTTCCCGGCCTCCTGGGGCTCTGGGGCCTTAGCAATGGAGTAGGAGCATCTATAAGGGCAGTTTGGTTAATTTATAATTCCCGTCCCAGCACCTAACAGAATGCTCAGCCCAGGTGGCATTTAGTTAATGCATAATGAAGGAATGAATGAAGGAGCAATCTGATTATCTGATTTTCTCTTCTTTGTTTCTAGCTCCCTTCAGCGGGAGCGGGGGCGGGGGTGGGGGGGGGGTCTCTGACCTCCAGTGCCCTCTTTCTTGCCCCTATAGTTTCTGGCGTCGGCAAGTTCCAGCACCACATGCTGCGAATCTACCCAACGCTCTGTCTCAGATGTGGCATCAGGCTCCACCCCAGCGCCCGCTCTCTGCTGCGCACCCTACGATAGTCGACTGCTGGGCAGTGCGCGACCGGAGCTGGGCGCCGCCTTGGGCATCTATGGAGCACCCTATGCGGCCGCTGCAGCTGCCCAGAGCTACCCTGGCTACCTGCCCTATAGCCCAGAGCCCCCCTCACTGTATGGGGCACTGGTGAGTACAGGGGTGGAGTCCCAGGGGAGTGAGCAGTAGAGACAGGTGAAATCCAGAGAAAGTCAAGGAAAGACCCACACCTCCCGAGGAAAGGAAATGGTTAGGACTGTGTATAAGGAGGACAAAAAAATACAGTACCTTACAGTTTGCAGAACTTCATACTGTTTAGAAAACATTTATACTTCTATTAATTCTGTGAGGTAGGCAAGTAATCATTAATCTCAATTTAAGAATGAGGAAATAGAGGTGCACAGGAGTTCAAATACTTTGCCCAATGTCACAGAGATACAAAGGGTCAGAGAAAAGCTCCTGAAGAAGATTAAAGCAGGAAGTGCCCCAGCTGGTGTGTGTTGTGGGGCAGGGGGCGGGGGGTGGGGGGCAGTAAGGGGGGAAAGGAGGGAGGGACAAGTGGTACAGTAATAACAGCAGCTAATATTTAACTACTGCTTATTCTGCACCAGGGATTCTGCCAAGCATTCTGCCAGCATGGTCTTCTTCAATAACCTATAAGTACTATTATCCCCATTTTACCAAGGAAGAAATTGAGGCACAGAGTGGTTAAGCCACTGGTTAAGCAACTGTGCCCAAGGTCACACGGCCAGTACCAGTGGCCATACTGGGATTTGAACCAGACCCTTAGCTACCACCCCATGTGCCCCCTCCCCAACTGTACTCCTGAATTCTCTTTTCCTCTCCCTCTAGAATCCACAGTATGAATTTAAGGAGGCTGCAGGGAGTTTTACATCCAGCCTGGCACAACCAGGAGCCTATTATCCCTATGAGCGGACTCTGGGGCAGTACCAATATGAACGGTAAGGAGTGAAGGGCCTTGGTGACTGGCACTGTGAGTCTTTCCTCCCCCACTGCCAAGGTAGGGTGGATGGCGGCAGGGGAGAGGGAGGGAGCTGAACCACACTTCCACGCCACAGACTGTCCTCTGCCTGCAGTTCCTTGTTCCTCTTCTATAATGTGAGCCAGGTTCTCCCCCACAGGTATGGCGCAGTGGAATTGAGTGGCGCCGGTCGCCGAAAGAACGCGACCCGGGAGACCACCAGTACACTCAAGGCCTGGCTCAACGAGCACCGCAAAAACCCCTACCCCACTAAGGGTGAGAAGATCATGCTGGCCATCATCACCAAGATGACCCTCACCCAGGTGTCCACCTGGTTCGCCAACGCACGCCGGCGCCTCAAGAAAGAGAACAAAATGACATGGGCGCCCAAGAACAAAGGTGGGGAGGAGAGGAAGGCAGAGGGAGGAGAGGAGGACTCACTAGGCTGCCTAACTGCTGACACCAAAGGTACTGAAAACGTTCACCACCCCACCTTAAGGGTTTTACAAGTCATCAAGCAGTTTGGTCTTTCAAAAGCTGCCCTGTAGGGTAGATTTTCTGGAAGGTCCTCAGACTTACCCTTGCACTTCCCTGCCTGTCTCAGAGCATTAGCCTGTGCACTGCCTTCTACCTGTAATTCTCTACACAACCGGCTTCTTCTTGACATCAAAGTGTTACCTCCTAAAGTTCTTCCTGCCTCACCCAAGCCAAAATAGCCTCCCAGTTATTTTCTGTTCTGCCAGCCTGTTTGGATTTCCTTTGCCATACTTGTCACTGTGAGAAAGTTTACATACCCAACTTCCCTCTCTAGAATGGCAGCTCCACCAGAAGCCTTACTTGCTGCCATATGCCCTACACACCTAATACCTAAATGATGGCTGGTGCTCAGTAAATATTTGCTGAATTAAATGATATAACAGCAGCCACTTGTAGATGTTGAAATCGAGTAAAAACTGCCCCCTGGTTTTTCACAATTGAGAAACTGAGATCCAGAACTCAGGCAGCGCCAAGTGGCATTTCCTTGGCTTGGCACTGCTCGCTAGAGGAGGAGTCCGCTAAAGGGTGGTTGCAGGGCTGGGGCAGAAATTCTTTCCCAAGGACAGGTGGCCAACAACCCTGGGCAAATGCAAGGGGTGGTACGGCAGGTCTGGTGAATTACACTGAGGATGCCCTGAGTGCAGGGCGCTTCTTGCTAAAAGCTTCTCGGGGATGGACATTCCTCGGATTTCCCTTGGGCCCTGGGGCTTTTCTCACTCGCTCTTGATTTCCTGCAGAAGTTACTGCTAGCCAGGAGGCCCGGGGGCTCCGGCTGAGTGACCTGGAAGACCTGGAGGAAGAGGAGGAGGAGGAGGAGGAAGCTGAAGACGAGGAGGTAGTGGCCACAGCTGGGGACAGGCTGACGGAGTTCCGAAAGGGCGCGCAGTCACTGCCTGGGCCGTGCGCTGCAGCTCGAGAGGGCCGATTGGAGCGCAGGGAGTGCGGCCTGGCTGCGCCCCGCTTCTCCTTCAATGACCCTTCCGGATCGGAAGAAGCTGACTTCCTCTCGGCGGAGACAGGCAGCCCTAGGTTGACCATGCACTACCCATGCTTGGAGAAACCGCGCATCTGGTCTCTGGCGCACACCGCGACAGCCAGCGCTGTTGAAGGTGCACCCCCAGCCCGGCCTAGGCCACGAAGTCCTGAGTGCCGTATGATTCCTGGACAGCCTCCTGCCTCTGCCCGGCGACTCTCAGTCCCCAGAGACTCCGCGTGCGACGAGTCTTCCTGCATACCCAAAGCCTTTGGAAACCCCAAGTTTGCCCTGCAGGGACTACCGCTGAACTGTGCGCCGTGCCCGCGGAGGAGCGAGCCTGTAGTGCAGTGCCAGTACCCGTCTGGAGCAGAAGGTAGTGGGCCCCCAGCGGCGCTGGGAGTATCTATGCAAAAGACACCCACCTACCGCCCCGCCCGGCAATTGCACACCCTCTGCCATTCCAGTCTGCCCAGGTCTCCCACAGAACTGACGGGAGATTGCTTTACAGCGCTCTTTCAGACGGAAGCGTAGAGATAGGTTCTAGTACTCCCTTATTTAAAAGTCAAATAATAATAAACTCACAGGCAGACTGTAATTTACCTAGAATCACTTAGAAAGCCGTTCGAGAGATGGACAACCAGGATCTCTGCATTCGTGTGGTCCAGTGTACTGCCAAATCCACCAGGTGTGCATCACCATGCTCCTCTAGCACAAACGCCCTTGTCCCCTGCCTGCCTTTCAGAGGAGACTCGCTGGTCCCTGCTGTGCTGCTCAGAGAGTTTACTAGGGTTGGGCAGGCACCAGGGCTTTTAGAGAAGTCTAAGACTGTGGGCCAGACGCACACCACAGATTTAAGGTCAGTGCTTAAGTCCAGCTTGCAGCCCTGTCTGTGTCCCACCAAAACCCCTGGAAAGTTGTAGACATGCCCCTGCGGTCAGCAGCTTCAGGCCCCAGATTGGTACTGTCCTTAGAGAGCACTCTACCCAGGGCTCATCCCCAGGCAGGCCAGTGACTGCCAATCAGTGTCCCCTGATGCTGGCTGGTTCTTTCACTGTGTTAAGGACCTGGTGGAAGGGAATTTCATCCCACAAAGGGACATTCCCCAAGCATGAGGCAGCCTCCAGCAATTACTGTCAGATTCTGCTCTTTGTAGTAATTTCTCTCAGGATTAGCTGCTGGCTTAGAAAAGTGGGTTACACTGTTATTTGAATTTACGCAACGGATCCAAACATTACCTCTGGCAAGCTAATTGCCTCTAGACCATTTGCTTGCCTTCAGAAGAGACATGGCTGACCCAGAGGTTTCCTAAGAATTGCCACTAAACAGCCTTTGGGTTTTAATCAACCTTTCCTCTCTCAGCAGGTTAGCGCAATGGCTGCGATTTGCGAAAGAATCTTGGAAATGGGCCCCACGTTTCGAATTCATCTCCAGGTTAAGAAGCTGCCAGACCTTGCCAGGGACCAGGAGCTCTCACTTTGCCTAAGAGACAGACACACAGAAACCCTCCTAGCAGCTGTCCTTGCACGCAGAGCTGGGGTGGTGGGCCGACTTGAACCTTAGCAGTCCCCACGGGAGATGGCAGGGCACCTTGGGGAAGGCCAAGTGGGAGGCTGGGAGGCTGCCCCACCCACCGACTCTACCAAGTCTCTCTTCCTCCTGTGGATTCAGCAAGGCTTCCTCTCCTGCTCACCCCTGTCTCTCACCTCCACCAACCCCACTCACTTTGTAACTTCATCACTGACCCGGCCAATAAGGACCCTGTGCGTCTTCTCCCCCTCCTAAGCCCTTGTGTCCTTAAAAATAATCAGTCCGAACCCATGTAGTGTGGCCTATCTTTGCCAGAGGTGCTTGAGAGGTCGGTGTGCAGGCAAAGATGCATTGCGGCCAGGGATTCTTGCGACAGCGCGGCGTGGGCTGCATACCTCAGTTCCTTTAGTAGCTGGGAAAGAAACTGACAAGGTAACAGACAAGGCCGTGGCGCCTGCAGCTCAGCGGACTAACCGCTGCGTAACCAATCCGTGGAGCCAAGCTGACCACCTCGCGGGTCCTGCGCATGGGAAGTGGTGGGACTTGTCAGGATGTTTATCTGGAAACTGCATCTGTTTCCGGGTTCGTATTTGGGTTGTAAGTTTACTGGGGGAGGGGTGACGAGGACCGCGCTCCTCCGATCGAACTGAACCTAATGGGGAGGTCAGGCAGCTTTCAGGGTCGGTGTGAGGCGAGAGGGGGCATTCTTCCCGTTTTATCAAAAGTGTCAGCAAACACTTCCGGTACAGGCCAACCAATGGGAACTGACGGGCAGGGAAGGGGTCTTTGTCCCCCTTGCTAGGAGTGTCGAGCGACCGGGTTGGGGGTAAGAGATTTAAAGACGCCCGCGCAATGGTGGGTGGGGGAGGCTGCCTGCGTTCGTGTCCCGCGTCTAGTGGCTTTGGCTTTAGCCAGGGAGTGAGCGCACCGCTGCTCGCAGGGAAGCAGGGACCCGGGGCAGTGCCCTAGAGGGGAGCTCCGAAGAGCAAATGAGGCGGGAAGGCAGGACGAAAGGCAGCTGGGGTGTGCGCCCAAGGCCTGGATTCCTGGGGAGCTGCGTTTCCAACGCCGGGTCCCGGCCAGGCCAGGCCTTCCAGGCCAGCGCGGAGGCCAGACTATCAGTCACTGAAATCCAGGCGAGCATAGTCCGCCTCCTGGGCAGGATGATTGAAAACCTTTGGAGGACGATGAGGGGAAATGTGGAGGTTGGAAGTGCTAGGGAAGCCGAAGCAGCGCGCCACCTCCTAGCTCCTCTCTATGGAAAAGACAGCTTTGCTGTCGGAAGGGACTTTAGAGATCATGACTTACAAAAACTGCAAACCTCCTCTTCAGATGAGAAGGTTAAGCCCAAACGGGAGGGCAGGTGAACAGCTCAGGGTCACAGCGGTCCGTGGTGGAGACCAACTCCAGCTTTCCATCGTGGTCAATGTCCCTTTTCGGTTCCCGCTCGCCCGCCCGAACACTCGCCCGCGCTTCCTCTGGGAGACCCCTCTTTGCTTTCGTTTTGTTCCTGGGCAACAGCTGCTCCCAACCCCAACCTCCCCAGGGACCCTCCAGTCGCCCTCGCTGACCCGCGGCTTAGGGTCCGGAAAATTAAACTGCGAAAAGATAAACATTATTTCCAGTCGGCTTTGCGGGATTAACGCTTGTAATAAAGAGCATTAGCTGGAGGTTTCTTTCAAGGCACTCTCGACCCCACCCCCTACTAGGGGGCCAGGTAGACCCCTCCGGAGACCGCAGAGGTGGCAGAGGCGTCCTAGGGCTTCCAGTTGAGAGTAGGGCCCTAGAGAGCCATTTCCTGGAGGGGAGAGGGATCCTTAGAATCAGAGAGTCAACACTTGGAGATGGGAAGCTGAAGATCAGATTGGAGAAGGGACCCCACTAAACTCAGTTCATGTGGCTGAGCAGGGTCTGGGATCCAGAGGGTGGGGGTTAGGGGGAATCTCACCTTCACACGACCTCCTGCAGTTCAGCTCTAACCTGGGAAAGGAGGCCTTCCCGAGTTGCCCTACTTCACCACCCAGGACCCCAGGAAGTTGTCTCTCCAGCTGCAAGAAACATCTCTTGCCTGGGTGGCCTAGCCTTTCCCTGCCTTCCCCAGCCCAAAGCAGGAGCCTGCAGCCTAGGGTTATCTCAAAGGTCTGATCCTAGTTGGCTGGAGACAGTGGGGCGTGAGAGGGGCTGAAGGGCAGCCTGGCATCCCAGAAACCTGCTTTACCTTCTCAATTGTGTTACCACCTTGTTTTGTGGCTTGGACAAGCCCCTTCCCCTCCTAGTTCTGCCACTGTAAAATACAGGGATGATCTAGTTCTCCATCCTGCTGCTCAGTATCTCCTCCAGAGCTGATGGTGAGCTCCAGGGGTCTAGGAGAAGGGCCTGAGAATGGCACGTCTGAGCCTGTGATTATCCCAGCCTCAAGCCCCCAGTGGCAGTCTGTTCCCCCCATCTCTGCCCCCCCGAGAGCCTCCTGCAAATCTCCCAATATAATCTCCCAGAATCATATTTTGAATACTGTCTTGATTAAACACCAGAGCAAGGGGAGGGAGGATGCAGCCCTGCTCTCTTTGGCTGAGCCTGCTGGTGCCCACAGACAGCTGGACTGTGAACTCTGCAAAGTAAATGTTGGTAAATGCAGAAAGTTGAGGTTCTCAGGTTTGTAGGATGTATACAAGCTGGACCTCCAAACTCCTTCTATGGCTAAAGTGGCCCTTCCCTCAGCTGCACAGCAACCAGGGGCTAGGCCCTCTGGAGGTGAGGAGAAGCCACCCAGGGGAGCTCCCCCCCACCCCCAGCACACCCAGTGTCTTCCTTATCTCTTTCCTGCCAGTGTCACTAGATGGACACTGGATTCACTAGATGATCTCTGTGATCACTTCTAGTTTTAAGATTCTATGATCCTGTTAATGATAATAAGAACTTCTAGAGCCCTTACCATGTGTCAGACTCAATGCCATGTGTCTTAGTCTGTTTGGACTGCTATTTTACAGAGTACCATAAATTGAGTGTCTCATAAAAAACAGAAAGGTGTTGCTTACATTTCTGGAGGCTGAGAAGTCCACGGTGCCAGCACGTTCAGCATCTGGTGAGGGTCTGCTTCCCGGTTCATAGACAGCATCTTACTGCATCATCATGCCATAGAAGGGGCAAGAGAACCCTCTGAAGTCTTTTTTATAAGGTCACTAATCCCATTCACGAAGGCTTCAAGTTCATGACCTAATTATCTCCCAAAGTCCTCAGCTCCAGATACCATCACACTGCAGATTAGATTTCAACATATACATTTTGGGAGGACACACACATTTAGTCTCTTGCACCAGCTCTTTTAAATGTGCTGACTCATATGTCACAATAGTCCAAAGACATATTATATTACACCTAACAGTATGCCCCACTAATGAATGAGGAAATAGGCTCAGAGAGGTTAAGTAACTATATTACACCTAACAGTATGCCCCACTAACGAATGAGGAAATAGGCTCAGAGAAGTTAAGTAACTTGACGTCAGTTATCCAGCTACTAAGTAAAGAGGCAGGCTCTATGCAAGACTGATTCTTTAACCACTAAGTTCTACTACAATGTATTCTATTATTTTATGATTTCTTTATTTAATTATTAACAAGACCATCTATTTCTGAGACTCTAAATGTCTAGAGTCTATTATTTCATGCCCTGGACTCCTAGGTTGACCTCCTTCCGTCTCCGAAATGTCCAATGGGAAAAAACTTGTGGTATCTCCTGGACCCACCCCCTGCATCCTGGCCAAGAACATCTCTACCTATCCCATTGCCCACATTTCCTGGGTACACACTGTCTGAGACACCCCTGGTCAGTGTTTGGCAAAATGTAGCCCATGGATTCTACCATCAAAATCAGCTAAAGATTAAAGAATCACACTAGGATGTGGGCTGAGAGTTCTGTCTTGTTAACAAGCACCCCAGGTGGCCCGATGGGCCTCTGATCTGCATAGTGGTGGATGAACCTCGAGTGGCCAGACTCTAAGCTCAACAGGAGGGCTTAGGACACCTGCTGTTGGCCAAGAGTAAATCACATCCCAGTAACAGGTGCACACATTTCCTGCAAGATTTAATCTGGATTCCCATTCAATCTCCTCATCTAGTTCAGCTCTTTTTTCCCCATCCAGAAGCTCAAAGATGTGTACTTATTGGAGGGCGAGTAGGAGAACTAGGAGGCTAACTTGCATGTCCCAGCTGCCTGAAGATGATTTAGAAGTTCAGGTTTGGAAGCACCTGAGTAGTAGCATGTACCGTGGTGTGCAAGAGAATTCTGTCCCCAAACATGAGCATGCAGTCAAGAATCTGTACACATTGGAGAAATGTGTACAGAAGGAAAGAAAGACTATCTTAAGTGAAAGAAAGAACCGTTGAGGGCTGGGCCTTTCCACCGTGGCTGTCTCCTGGCGCAGCCACTTGCAACCTTGGTATTAGAAAATTCTTTCTTTTTTGAACCCATTTCCTTCTGCAAGTAACTTTTGAAAGTTGCCTTCTAAACTAAAAGGTCTTAATCTTCTCCATAATTCATTCTTTCTCCTCCTTTCCATGCCTCCTCTCCCCACCCTCAGTGGGACTTGTTTTGTCTTTACTCTGGGATCAGAGTAAGAAATGAGCCAGGCACAGTGGCTCACACCTATAGTCCCAGCACTTTGGGAGGCAGAGCCTGGCAGTCGCTTGAGCTCAGGAGTTTGAGACCAGCTTGGGCAACATGATGAAGCCCTGTATCTATAAAAAATACAAAAATTGGGTGTGATGGCATGCATCTGTGGTCCCAGCTACTCAGGAAGCTGAGGTAGGAGGTTTGCTTGAGCCCAGGATGTTGAAGCTGCAGTGAGCCATGATCGTGTCACTGCACTCCAGCCTGAGCAACATAGTGAGTCCCTTTCTCAAAAAAAAAAAAAAAAAAAAAAAGGAATGGAGTCTAATGGGCCTCTACTGATTATATGGCAGAGGTCCCCTCTATTGGCATAATTTTCTTCATTAAATGTTAAGTTGGGGCAGGGGGAAAAGGAGGACCAATGGCCTGAGTCCTTGGGCAAGTCACCAAATGTCTCTGAGACTCAGCATTCTCCTGGTAGGTTGCAATGTGCCTCTTTTATAAATTCTATGGTTTTCTCACCTGGCTGCTGTGGGGATGTGTTAGCCCATTCTTGCAGCACTATAAAGAAATACCTGAGACTGGGTAATTTATAAAGAAAAGATGTTTAAACGGCTCATGGTTCTGCAGGCTTTATAGGAAGCATGGTGCTGGCATCTATCTACTCAGCTTCTAGGGAGGCCTCAGGAAG
The DNA here is from genome assembly GCF_000001405.40 of Homo sapiens. Lineage (NCBI taxonomy): Eukaryota > Metazoa > Chordata > Mammalia > Primates > Hominidae > Homo > Homo sapiens. Next base: position 55,335,765 of record NC_000016.10, read on the forward strand.
CTTACAATCATGTTGGAAGGCAAAGGGGCAGCAGGCACGTCACATGGCAAAAGCAGGAGCAAGAGAGAATGAATGAAGGAGAAGGTGCCCACACACTCATGTGAACTCAGAGCAAGAGCCCACTCCTCACCAAGGAGATGGCCCAAGCTGTTCATGAGAGATTTGTCCCCATGATCCAATCACCTCCCACCAGGCCCCACCTCAAAATTGGGGATTACATGTCAACAAGAGACTTGGGTGCAGACAAATATCCAAAAATCCAAATTTTGGTTGATAGCAAGAGTTGGAGAGTTGTTAAAGACAAGTTAGCACCAAACAGAGACTTCTTTTTTGTAATCAGAGGATTGGAGGAGACTTGAAAAGGGAATAATTTAGGTTATTCTGAGATTCAGCATTATTTAATGTCAAGACCAGCTCACATTGTCAGTGGCAAATTGTTAGTAGACCAACTAAACCCCATCTTTAGGCATGGGCCCAGCAGTATTTTTTAAAGCTCCCAAGTGATTCTGATGTGCACCTAAGGTTGAGAACCAGTGAACTACAACCAGGCTGTTTCTCTTTCCAGGCTCAGCATTTTCAAGAAGCTGTGGATGGGCAGAGGGGTGGAGAGGAAATTGGAAGACTGAAAGTCTAAAAGCCTGTGGCTTCTCCCTTAGCCCTATGCATTCCATGTTCCCCCCATGGTAAAATGGGGTCTAATATTCACAATTTACAACATGGCTTGTGAGGAGCTCAAAACTGAACGTAACCCTGGACATTCAAGGCCTGTGTTTAGCCAGGAGAGGCATTTTTCAGCTCTGTCACCTATCTCAGGTGATGGGAGGAGACTCCCCCACACAGGAGATCCTCAGCACATAAGCCAACAAATTCAGCCCTGGGGCTATTCAGAGGTGGCTTTGAGCAGAGGTAGAGGTGTTCTGGAAGTATTTCTTGAAGTTCCAGTTATTTATTGCAATGGAAAATCACCCCTAAGCATAATGGCTGAAAGAACCTACAATAATCATTGGCATTTCTAAAGAATCTGTAATTTGGGTAGGGCTCAGTAGGAGGGATTTGTTTCTGCTCCATGTGCTATTAGAAGAGGTGGCTCTATTGGAGCTAGAGGATCCATTTCCAAGGAGGATCCTGGTTTCACCCCCTACAAGGCTTTCCTTGGATTACTTGAGTTTTCTCATGTGATGGCAGGCTGTGTTTCAACAGCAAGTATCCCCAAAGGTCGAGATGAAAGTTGCAAGGCTTCTTCTGACGCATCCTCAGAAGTCCCAGAACACCACTTCTATGGTATTCTTTTGGTCAAACAAGTCACTAGAGCCTATCCAGATTCAAGACGAGGGGAATTTGACTCTATTGCTCCACGGCGGGAGTAGCAAAGAATTTATAGCCATCTTTACCAGATTTGGATTACTGGTGAAAGTCAAGTTTTGAATGCACTTCCAGACTTTACTCTCCCATTCAACATGGGATCACAATACAATGTCTCAACTCAGGCTGTCATAATAAAGCACCACAGGCTGGGTGGCTTAAACAACAAACATTTATTTTCTCACAGTTCTGGAGCCTGGGAAGTCCCAGATCAAGGTACTAGCTGATTCAGTTCCTGGTAAGGGCTTTCTTCCTGGCTTGTGGACAGCCACTTTGTGGACTGTGGACAGCTTGTGACAGCTACGTGCTCACATGGAGGAGACACAGAGCCCTGGTGTCTCTGGCTCTTCTTCTAAGGGAGCTGGCTCTATTAGATCACAGCCCTACCTTGATTACTTCATTTAACCGTTGTCATCTCTTAATAGGCTCTTTCTCCAAATACAGTCACATTAGGGGTTAGGGCTTCAACATACGAATTTTAGGCAGACACAAATATCCAGTCCATATTAGACTGATCTAGAACCCAAATGGAAGAGGCCAGTTAGGAAGCAGGTGACAGGGAAGAGGGCACTGTCTTTCTGGCCAGTGGTCTAAGCTGGCCCCTCGCCATGGAGGTTGTGGTTGAGGCAGCATCCTTCTGTCCATCCACTTTCCCCCTTCAGTGTCCTGGCCTGGCAAGTGCAGGATCTGTACCTTCAGTGTGGAAGAAGAGGGCAGTGATATGTGTTCAAGCACTGTTAATTGCCCGACACTTCACATAATTTCATAAAAACTCTCCTCTCTACAAATGTAGAAAAATGTAGAAACTGAGTCTTTTTTTTTTTTTTTTTTGAGACAGAGTCTCGCTCTGTCACCAGGCTGGAATGCAGTGGCATGATTTCGGCTCACTGTGATCTCTGCCTCCCGGGTTCAAGCAATTCTCCTGCCTCAGCCTCCCAAGTAGCTGGGACTACAGGCACACACCACCACGTCCAGCTAATTTTTGTATTTTTAGTAGAGACGAGGTTTCATCATGTTGGCCAGGATGGTCTGGATATCTTGACCTTGTGATCCACCCGCCTCAGCCTCCCAAAGTGCTGGGATTACAGGCGTGAGCCACTGCGCCCAGCTGAAACTGAGTTTTAAGTAAGCGAGGTCACTTGTCAAAGGTCCAACAACTGGGAAGTGGCAGAGTTGGGGTTCAAATACGGATCTGTGTAAGCCCAAAGCCCATGTGAAGGCAGAAGAAGCACACCCACTCCAAGATGCTGTATAGCAAAGTAGTAAACACACAGTCCCTGAATCCAAACCACCTGGGTTCGAATCCCAGCTCTGCCATTTACTAGCTGTGCATCCTCAGGCAAGTGGCATATCCTCTCTAGACCTCAGTTTTCTCATCTCTAAAATGGGAATAATCATAGTACCTACCTCACAGCACTGCTGTGAAGATTAAACAGTTCATATCTAAAGCACGAGAACTATGTCTGGCCGACAGTAAGGATTACATAAAATGTCAGCTGTAACTGCCTTCCTACTCCTATACTCCAGCCAGTCTTGCCACAGGCCTGCCTCTCCAGCAAGGCCTGAAGTCACTACTGGGTCCCCACCACTCATGCCAAGTTGAGGTCACAGCTCACACGTGTCCCTCTTACCTAGAGCAAAGACATGGGGTCGTTCACTCCAGTGTCCATTTAGGGAACTACCTCACCAAGCAAATTTTATGAATTGTTCACACTTCCCCTTATCAAGATTAATGGCACAATTGCCCACCGTCAGTCCTTCTGTGGTCACAGCTAATGACTTCAACCCTCAACACGTTTCCTCTGCATTTGCTTCAGAAAATCATTCTGAACAGCAAGACTGCTTTAATAGCCACTTGGTACTAATGATGCCTTTTAAGTGCATAAAGAGAATCTCTAAGTACCAAACGGAAGGCCCATCCACTGGTGACAACAGCTATTGACATTGGCAAGCAACACAAGGTCAGAATAGCTGCGGTACATGGGGACGCTTACTCGGTCTAACAGTAGGGAATTGTTTTAATATGCTAGAAACTCCTCATTATTCTCTGTTGCTCCTTAAACATACCCAATAGCACTGTTTCCTGAGGCCTGCTATGTGCAATTTCAGAGCTTACCAGCCTCTGGTAGTTTTCACTTCACCTTCAAGATTTAGGCCAATCCAAACTTGTATTATTTTTACCTCATATTTTTCTTTAAATAGATCCCCCTTTACATTTTTTAAATAAATGTTCATGAACACCCACTATTTACATCTGTCCTTTTCTTACTGCTTAGCCACCATGACACACTCAAATGGTCAGGAGCTTGGTAGTGTGATTAGGGATGTGGATAAAGTCAGACCAAGCTGGGACCATGTTCTGGCTTCACCACTTAGTACTTGGGTGGCAGTGAGCAAGTTCCCTAATCTCTCTGAGCCTCAGTGTCTTCCTATATAAGATACGATAAAACTAGAACTTAGCTCATGGGGTGGTGGTGAAGATGAAATCAGCTGGTCAATGTTAAGTGTTCATCTCAGGGACTGACACACATACTCAATAAATGTTGGTTAGGAGTGTATTAACTTCCTCAACTGAGGTGGGGCTCCTTGGAGAAGTGAAAAACAGCCTCAGCTTGCCATCTACTTTCTTGCTAAGGTCATGACATAGACTATAGTCCCAAGTATCTCCTGTGTCACCTCACTGTGAGGTCCCAATTTTGTCAGCAAAGGGCTACTCCCCAGATGCTGGAATCTGGGCATGCGGTGTCACTTTCTGACCAAACCATTGTTTTGCTAAGACAATTTTCTCTTTCTTGAGAAATGTCCTCCTCCCTCACCAAGAATCTGTTCCTTTTCATTATCATCTATTATCTCAATATCAAACTCTCATTGCCCATGGATCCAGATCTATTACATGGCGTCCACCATCTTGCCTAGTCCTTGATCATTCATCTAATTAGTTCCCAGAGAGATTCCAACCTTCCATTTCTGAAACACATCGATTCTTGGTCTCACTTGATGCTCAACTTTGTGTTGATGGTAGTTTGTGTTTGGGTCCCATCTGTGAGGTTAGGGCAGAGCAAAGGTGGGGCTTCCCTCTGGAAGAGGGTTCCTGAGTGCTGGTTAGAGCCAGGAAGAGCATTGCTGAATGGTGATCTGTAAACTTTCAAGGAGAAGAGGACAGGGGAAAGAACAAGTGGGAGAGAAGCAGAAGTGGGACCTGGATTGGGGTGAGGAAGTGAAATGAGGACATGAGGATGGATGGGCATTGAGGGAATCAGCTCAGAGCCAACAAAGGGTAAGTTTAAGGAGCAAGTTATAGAGTAAGCAAGGCTGAAAAGTTCAACTTTTAGTTGCTAATGCTGGGAATTCATTAGACTTTTCTTAATGTACAGCATTTAAGTATTGAACACATGAGGCAGAAGGAGTAGGGCACCATTACATATTTTACAAAACTGAATGCTCAAACATACATTCAAACCGAAGCCCACATACTTCTAATTTGGGGTGTCTAATTTGACTAGGGGCAAAGGAGAAGCAGCCCCCTGGGAATGGGTGTAGAAGTTTCATTTGCAGTTCCCCACACATTCTCTTCATTGAATTCTTAGCTACTGTTCAGCCCCATCATGTAACTGTGACATTTGACATATGACACCCATGAGATTCACTTGACCCTTTTGTGAGGTGCCATTAAATGGCCCAAAGTTAAAATGTTAATTATCATTAATCATTTTTTATGAAATGGCTTTGCCAATCCATAAATTCAGCAGAGAGAGGCTTCTTTCATGGATCTGATGGTTTATGGAATACTGACTGTCAGAGAAGCCACCTGCATTTGGGGATGTTTCTAGAGGTGTAAGTTACAAAGAAAAAAATAAATGCCTGCAAGTGTATGTTAACAAGACAGAGCAACTGGGACAAAAAATAAAAAGAAAAGAAATAGAAAAAGGGTAAGTTAGGAGTGAGGTTGAGTCTGTTTTCCTGCAGCAAGCTCAGTGACTGATGCAAAGTGGTTACCCAAGAAACGTATGTTGAAAAAGTGAATGGATGCGGGAGAGGAGGCGAGGTCAGAAAAGGAAAAGAGGAAAAGGACCTTCAAGGGAAGAGGAGTTTTACAGAAAATTGGAGAATAACTGAAAGGATGTGAATAAGAAAGGGCCCAAATTTCTGCCTTGAGTTCAAGATCCTGGGAACCTCAATATTTATGTATTTGTTTATTTTTGGCTAGATATACTAAAACACAATTATCTGTCTCGTTCTTGTTCAAGAAAAAATCTTTTTTAAAAAAATCAATAAGGGAGCTGGAATTATTTTTTTAAAACGCAAGCAGGGATATTTTAGGGTAAACTCAGAAGATGGACCTCCTTTTAATCAACAATAAAAATAATCCTTCCATAGGTGCAAAGATGCATAGGAGAGTGGATTTCAAAGTCTTTTGCCAAAATGAAAACAGTGGTTATCTCTGGAAGGTAAGAGTATGGGTATTTTAATTGTTCTGGTTCATACATTTCTAACCTTCCAAATTTTCTGCAAGATTTAGCTTTATAATAAAAATACATAATAAATCTGCATGTGTGTGTGTGTGTGTGTGTGTGTGTGTGTGTACAAATATGAATAATGGGGGATGAATAAAAAGGATTTCTGCACCCACTGGGGCTGTCCTGTTGGGTGGGTGATAGGAGATGGCCGATTATTTTGGGTCCAGCACTTTTGGCTCAGGAAGGCACCAGATAGAAGGAACATAAGATGCCCTTCATGCTGACTGCCAGGTTCCGTAACTGAGGTCCTTGCTGGGTGAACAGACGCTGGAGTGCCCTAAAGATATGCTAGAATAATCCCTGAGTGAGGACACTTGAAAACAAGCACTCTTTCCCTGACATTCAGAGAAATCTCAGAGAAATCTTCAGTGTCCCCTAAAATGGTTTGCAGAACCTTCCATATGTGTGCAGTATTCTCGAGAGAGTATATCCTTAGTTTTCGTCAAATTCTTAAAGAGGGCATCAGTGATCCCCTAAAAGGTCCTATTCTTTAAACCAGAAATATCTATTACTATAAAATTTTTTTTCAAAGGGGCACCCCAAACATGGGTGTGTGTTTATTTATAAATTAAAGGCATATACTATAACATAATATATATACAATATAAATACATACAAAATATTCATTTTTAAAAAAAGATAGAAAATAAGAAGTTCTAATATTTTTGTCTCATATTCCAAAGGATCATATCCAAGTCCCCTGGAAAGCACTGGTCTCTTTTTGGGGAAAGTTGCCTCTAGAATCAATGAGGTAGCCGGGAGTGGTGGCTCACACCTGTAATCACTTTGGAACACTTTGGAACTCTGTGGAAAGCCAAGGTGGGAGGATCGCTTGAGGCCGGGAGTTCAAGACCAGCCTGGTCAACATAGAACCTGTCACCATTTTTGTAATAAAAAAACTAATTAGTCAATTAATTAGTAGTGGAACCAATAAGCAGCTTCTTATCACCCCACTCCCCAGCTAAAGTAATCCTTTCTGTAAGTTGCCAAGTTCCATGAGCAAGACATAAAAACATATGGGCCAAACTCAACATTTATAAAATACTGCAAGTCTACGAAACACTTCACAGAATCGTGAAGACATAGATATACTTCCTCCAGCCTAGCGTTTCTAGAACCTGCGGCTTGGTGGCTAAAGTACTCAGATCCCTAACGATGCACCACAGCTTCAGCTTTGAATTCAAACAGCAGTGATTTCACTCTTAGGGTTCAACACAATCAAACAGATGGGGGTCACAGCATGAACGATCATCTGGAGTCCATTTCCCTTAACTTCACCCTGAAATGACCCTGGCCCTCACCTTTCTGACATATGCCAGGTCTCTGTTAATTTCAGACCATCAGAGGAGGCACTAACAATTTAGCACCATCCTTCCATTCATCACTACTAAATGGACACACACAGAGAAAATGCCGGATCAGGCGGATTTGAACCCACCTCTGCTTCGGGACCCCTCTGTACTTAGTGGTTTGGGGTTTCATTTCCCCTGGGAGGTACTCACACCCCTTCAAGGGCAAGAAAAAGAAAATCCACCTGACCTTCCTCTATTTGTATTTCTGTATAGCTTTTCTTCCCCCATATCTTTCATATAAAAGCCCCACACAGACTTTACAAGAAAGGAAAATTATAGGAAAATCTTCCTTGTAAACACTGATGCAAAAGCCCTACATCAATATTAGGAAATTGAATTCAGTGATATACATGAACCAGAGAGAGAGAGGGAAGGAGGGGAGAGAATCATGTAGAATATTAATAACAGTATTATTCTTTTTGATATATACATATACATATATAAAAGCATTTTTTAAAACTTTAAAAAATTATTTACTTTTAATTGACAAATAATAATTTGATATATTTATGGGGTACAACATACAACCCCATAAACACACTATTTGTTTTGGTGAGTGTCTGATATATGTTTAAATCATCTCATATAAGGAAGATCTTTTTAATAGACAAAGCTCTTTCAAATTCAAGGTCTTAGTTGGTTTTCTCCCCAGCCTTGGGATGTAGGAATTGGTGTATGTGGTGAAAGCTGGGGTGCATTGTCCAGATGCCCTCCTCAGGACTAAGGCACCCCTCTCCACAGTTGCTGGGAGTGTTGACTGCAGATAGCTCTCTCAGGGTCAAGTCCCTCCCCAGGGAAGCCTGCATCCAAAACCTGGTCTATTTGGGAGCAATTACAAAGGCTTGCCTGCCTTGCCCCAATTAGAGACAACTCTACAAGTCCATCCCAGCTCCCTGTGGAATCAGCTGAGGTCTTTGTTCCAACTGTGCCCCAAATTCAACTTTTCCCTCTGCAAAGTTCTGCTTCCTTCACCCCTCACAGGTCAGGAGCGCTCACCTGACACACCTCGGAGTCTCAGAGTCTGCTTCCCGGGGAACCTGTCCTAAACAGTTTGCCTTTTTTACAGGTGAGGAAGCTGAGGCCCATGGAAGTAAAGCGATTTGCTCAAGCTTCCATAGGTGGTGGAATCAGGAGTTAGGATTGCTATTCAGACCTTTTGACTCTATTCTCATGCTCTTCTACAAGAAGGGAGGGTGCATTTCTCTGAGTGGTGCATAGCAGGACCCCACCCAGAGCTTCAGATACCCAGAATAGGCATCCACTGTCACTCACATAGAATTTTGAGCACTTTGCTGTCTTAAGATAGGGTTTGGGCTCAGGGCTCACTCGATCTTTCTTTGTAAATTTTTATTTAATTGCATGTGATACATGAATGCATTCTCCTTATTAAAAAAGTAAAAACACCTCAATCAACACTTAAATTCCAGTGTTCGTTTGGGCAAAGCTAGTTCCTAGCACAGAGACAACACAGTCTCAGTGATTTAACAGCATAGAAGTCTATTTCTTGATCATATGAAGCCCATTCCAGTGTTTCTGGTCCATAGGCAGCTTCTCTCTCCAGGAATCTTCCATCTGTTCTGTGACTTCACCATTTTCAGCACATAACTTCCAAAGTCACCCAGGAAGGAAAAGGCCCAGAGGGTTGCATGTGCAAGGTTATTATGAGCCAGGCCTGCAACTGGCTCACATGACCACAACTTACCTGCAAGAGAAGCTGGGAAATGCTGCCTAGCTTGGTTACCAGAAAGAAGAGGAAGCACATGTGGGGACCAGCCAGCCAGCCTCTACCAAAATCCTTCTTTGACCCCTTTTCCCCTCAAAAAGAATTCTGGTCTCTTCTTCCACAGAGGTAAGCACTTTTATCAGTTTGGTGTGTTGCTTTCTAACTCCTTTCTTTGCATTACAAAAATATATATAAATCGGCCTGGCATGGTGGCTCATGCCTGTCATCCCAGCACTTTGGGAGGCTGAGGTGGGTGGATCACTTGAGGTCAGGAGTTCAAAACCACCCTGTCCAACACGGCAAAACCCCGTCTCTACCAAAAATACAAAAATTAGCCAGGAGTGGTGGCAGATGCCTGTAGTCCCAGTTACTCAGGAGGCTGGGCAGGAGAATCCCTTGAACCCTGGAGGCAGAAGTTACAGTGAGCCAAGATCGTGCCACTGCACTCCAGCCTGGGCAACAGAGTGAGACTCCATCTCAAAAAAAAAAAAAATATATATATATATATATATCCATACAAATATGTAGAGATAGCATTATTCTTTGTGTATTTCTTTCATAAATGATGTCAACCTCCTGGGATAATTAAATCTGTTGGTAAACAGAAATGTAACTCATCCCTCTCCAGTGCCGTTTGTGATCCAAAGCATGAGTTTCTCATGGTATATTTAGACCCCTCTGTATTGATGTGTATATATTATTCATGTATTTTTAGAGTTGTTTATTTATTATATTATATACATTTATATATTTATATACTTGTTTTCAATGTATACTCATTACAATTTTTCCCTTCAAATTTAATTTTTATAAGCACTGCAAAATTGAACATCTTAGTATATGCCTTCTTGGGCATACAGGCAAATGTGTTTACTTAGGGTAGATTTGAAAAGTAGGGACATAGGAATGCACTTTCAAACATTTAATAAGTTACAGTGCTCCTAAAGTGTCCCGATCTAGCTACATTCTCTCCAGCAATATATGAGACTACATATTTTCCCCTGTCTGCTGGTACTTGATATTCGCTGGTGTTAGATGGGCCAGAAAATGAGTATGCAGGGGTGTCTCAATTTTGTTTTGGTTCCAGTTTCCTCATTCCTAGTGACATTGAATATGTTTTCCTCTTTCATGAATTACCTGTCCCTATGTCCTTTGCCCATTATTTTTAAACTGGGTACTTGTTTCTCTCATTAATTGGTAGAATCTTTTTTGTAGTCTTAATAGGAATCCTCTGCTCTATGTTCTAAATATTTTCTCCCATGCTGTAAGTTGTCTTTTTTTTTTTTTTTTTTTTTTTTTGAGATAGGGTCTCTCTCTGTCATGTGATCCTGGCTCACTGCAACCTCTGCCTCCTGGGCTCAAGCTATCCTCCCGCCTCAGCCTCCCAAGTAGCTGGGACTACAGGCATATGCCACCACGTCCAACCAATTTTTGTGTTTTTTGTAGAGATGGGGTCTCACCACATTTCCCAGGCTGGTCTCAAACTCCTGGGCTCAAGAGATCCACCTGCCTTGGCCTCCCAAAGTGTTGGGATTAAAGGCGTGAGCCACCACACCTGGCCAGGTTGTCTCTTAACTGTTTTTTATAATGTTACATTCCTCAGAGAGTGGGTAAGACTGGCCAGATGCTCTAAAACATGGATTTAAGTATAAGCATCTGTTCTTTGTACATACAGTTATTCATCACCTCCTGGAAGCTCCACACTGTGCCAGGCACCATGGGCAAAAGAAGAATGAACCAGATGTGGAGCTTGTCCTCAAAGAGCTTGGAATCTGGTGAGAAAGAGGAGCGGAGAGTTGTAAACAGAGATGATCCACAGTAGAATGTAAAGGAGTGAGGAGAAGGAGAGCCATCCATATAGTTACTGAATGGAAAAAAATGTCCCTGAGGGCTCATAGTGTGAAAATGGATAACTAACCATGGATAACCTATATTCATGCTGGAATCGGTTTATGGGTTTACGCAGTGACGTCACATCATAACGAGACCTTGGGGACATAAAGATGACATTTAAGCCAACTTATGCTCAAAAATCCCCTATGAAGCCAGCTGCCACCTTGGAAGTGATGTGTTCTAATACATTCCAATAATGCCAAAAATATTTTTAATAAAGAAACGGATTGCCATTTCTTTGGTTGAGTACTGGATGATGTGGTTGGTTGGGGGCCGATAGTAAGAGAAATAGGTATTTTTAAACTCAACAGTCCTACTCAGACAGATTGATGAAACCACAAGAGACACAGATAACTCAGGGCAACTGAAAGAAGGGCAGATCCATATCTGCCTGTATCATTTACCCCAGGGAACACTCACACGGAGTGGAACAGTTGACGGAATCACATCATCTATGGGTGATGTTCTCGCAAGCTAAAAACTCATATTGGTGCATTTGCATAAATTAAATATGTATGACTCTACCTGAATTACAGCTCTGCAAACATATTCTATCCTCATACTCTGCGCCAACTCAAGTAGGCCATAAACTCCTCAGTGTGGGATCCATAGCAGGTTTGTCCCGGGATCCCCCACTGAATCCAGCGCTGTGCTTGTGCAGGGGGCTGATACAAGACATTGATTAATGGACTGAGTGCGTGGCCAGTGACCCATGGGTCAGCTTCTGTTCTGAACTCTAGGGCAGGAGTGGGAGACGTGCTGAGCACTGGATGTTGGCACAAGTCCACACCTCTTTCCGACTGCTGGAGAAAGGCTTCATGAAAGGGGGCAATGCAGAAAAAGTAACTGTTGTGAGTCAGGAGAATTGGATTCTAATCCCTGATCTGTCACCTCTAACCCCTAGGAGAATCTGGCCAAGTGCTTTCCTCTTCAAGCCTTCATACATGGAAGGGTGTATTAGCTTCCTGGGGCTGCTGTAACAAATTATCACAAACTTGGTGTCTTAGATTTACTGTCTCACCATCATGGTGGCCAGAAGTCCAAAATCAAGGTGCTGGCAGGGGCACACTCCTGCAGGACAATCTTCCTCGCCTCCTCCAGCTTCCTTGGCTTGTGGTAGCATCATTCCAGTCACTGCTTCTGTCTTCAGTAGTCTTCTCCTCCTTCTTCTCTTCTGTCTCTTATAAAAATATCAGTCATTGGATTTATGACCCAACCTAAATCAGGATTATTTCATCTTGAGATCCTTAACCTAACCACATCTGCAAAGACCTCATTTCCAAATAATGTCACATACACATGTACTGGGGATTAGGATTTGGGCATGTTTCAGGGAGACAAAATTCACCCCACTATAATATATATATATATATATATAAAATTATATATATATATAAAATTATATATATATGTTACATATAAAATATATATTACATATATATTTGTAATATGCATATATATTATGTATAGGGGGTTGAATTTTATCTCCCTGAAACATGCCCAAATCCTAATATATTATACACACACACACACACCATGGAACACTACTCAGTCATAAAAAGGAACAAAATAATGGCATTCCAGCAACCTGGAAGGAATTGGAGACCATTATTCTAAGTGAAGTAACTGAGGAATGGAAAATCAAACATCATATGTTCTCATTCATTAGTGGGAGCTAAGCTATGTGGATGCAAAGGCATTAGAATGATAAATGGACTTTGGGAACTTGGGGAAAGGGTGGGAGGGGTGAGGAATAAAAGACTATACATTCGGTACAGTATACATTGCTCAGGTGACAGGTGCACCAAAATCTCAGAAATCACCACTAAATAATTTATTCATGTAAAAAAAAGCTTAAAAATAATAATAAAATAAATAAAATTCAACCCTCTACAGTGGGGATGGATGAAATGGTCTGTAAACTTCCTTCCAGGCCCAACACCCTTTTAACTATGACCTTGGTTTCTAAGGAAGGCATTCTGTGAGGAAGCAGAAAGAGAAAGAAGGGTGATCCCAAAGAGATGGTGGGTCAGTTTAATTAAGTATGTATCAACCAGTTCCATAGGGAGGACTGGAAGCCGGCTCCTCGTCTTCATGTGCACTTTACACAAAGAACACAAGTGTGAAAAACACAAGTAAAACAAAAGTCACCTCTCCCAAGACCCAGTGGAAAGGAAAGGGAGGTCCCTGAGCAAAGAGGAACTATAAGGAGTTATAGCTCTGCACCACTCGAGTCAAGGGTCAGTCTGAATAGCTGTGGGGGTAGGGTGGGGGGTGGGGTGTTGTTCCAACAACTGGAGAATTTCCTAAAGAAAATAAATTATTGTTCAGCTGGTCATGGGAGAAGCTGTGACCTATTTACCTTCTGTTGTCTCAAGCTGCTGTGGGTAGAGGCTTTCAGTCCTTATTATTTATGGGGTCATGCAGGTATCATTGAGCTGCTTATTAGAAAGCTGCCAACACCAGACTGGGCTGCCTCCAATATTTTAAAACTATATTTCTGAAGGCCAATCGCACACTTACATTTTAAACATAACATTTGTGTCTACATTCAAACCATGTCATGACAATAACATTTCCTCGGGGCAAGATTTATATGTAAGGACTACAGGTTTCAACTAATTTAGGGCACAGACTCCCTCGTTATTGTTTGGCATTGGTTGGTAGGACTCAGGTCTTTGGTCCTGAATGCATAAACAAGAACCACAGTTAAAGACTAGCAATTGCAAAAAGAGGAGATCCTGTAATCCCAGCACTCTGGGAGGCTGAGGCAGGTGGATCACAAGGTCAAAAGATCGAGACCATCCAGGCCAACATGGTGAAACCCCGTCTCTACTAAAAAATACAAAAATTAGCTGGGCATGGTGGCACATGCCTGTAGTCCCAGCTACTCGGGAGACTGAGGCAGGAGAATTGCTTGAACCTGGGAGGCGGAGGTTGCAGTGAGCCGAGATCATGCCACTGCACTCCAGCCTGGTGACAGAGTGAGACTCCATCTCAAAAAAAGAAAAAAAAAAGGGTCGGGGGGAGATCCCTGAAAATTATCAGGAAAAGCCACTGTCATATGATGTGGGTGCACATGAGAATAGCAGGATGGAAGCTGTCAAAAGTAGCAACTATTAATACTAAGTGCAATAATTAAAGTCCAGCAAAAGGATCAAGAAACAAGGGTAGGGCCTCTGGGTGAATCCATGTGGATGATTGGGGAAGGCAATTTCTGGAAGAGCTGCTTGGGACGTAGATCAGTGAAGATTATCTGGTAGTAAGCAACAGAAATCTACACCAGCTCACTAGAGAAAAAAAAAAAAAGAAAGAAAGAAATTGATTGGATGGTTCCAGAGAGGCTCAGAGGATGGAGAGGAATGCTGCCTCCATCAGGATCAGGCCTGGAAAACCACTGACCACAGCAGCTCTGGATTTCTGAGTAATAAGAGCTTCTCATCAGCCTCTCTGGTTTTGCTGCCAGAAAACTGAGCTTCAGCTGTGCTCAGATTTGTGACTGCTCTGCTCTTGGTTTGAATTCCAGAAACAGAGCATCTGGCTGGACTTGCTTAAGCCACATGTTCCTACACAACATCCTCATCTTGGCTGAAGAAAGGCAGGATCCCTCGATGTCCCACTAGCTCTATCTAGATGGAGAAAGGTAACTTCTTAGAAGGAAATTGGTATGCTTTCTGAGACAGTAGAGTGCAGAAGGCACCCTTGAAGGGGTGACTGGGGAGAGTTCAATATAGTGCTGTTACAGAAGTGTGGTCTAAGGGAGCCAACCAGGAGTGGGGAAGCACCCAGAGACCAGCAACAATGGGAAGCCGTTACTTCCCCAGGGCCTGAAGGAGCCAGGAGAGGGAATATTAGTAGAATATGAGACAGAAGTAGATAGGTTGCCTGGACAGGAGCTGGGGTAGTAAGTAGAGGAAGAGGCCACTGCCAATAGCAACTCAGCCCCAAAGGTATCAGGGTTCTGAATACCCATACCTCTCTCATGCCCTCCAAACCCCTGCCAGCACCTTCCAATAGAAATCCAGAGATCAAGGGAGCTGGTGATGCAGTCTATAGAGATCAATCTTCAGGGACACAGGGAAGGACAAAGAATGGCAGAGAATGGATCTGAAGGGGCAGATAAAAAATATCTAACACAGGTGCTACTATCAGAAACAGCTAGACTAGATACAGCCAGCCTGAATATAGCACAGGCCAACTTAGGAGATCAGAAGAAAAGCACTGAGAAAACTCTAGGAGTTAAAAGAAGACAGCCCATAGCTTCCCAGTTTGGAGGTCAAGAAAACACACACACACACACACACACACACACACACACACACACGAAACCTCAAGCCATATGAGAAGAAAGTTTCAACAGCATGGAAATAGATGGCTTTGCTTCTTATTTTTAAAAGCCTGGCTTCATTAAAGTGATTGTATCCAATATATCAAAGTACTTGTATTTTCCTGGGGAGAAAATGAAACCAGGGGTAAAGTTTTGAGGCAACCCCAAGAGATTTCCAGTTGAGTAACTTGACAGAGAATTAGCTGTTTATCTTGGTCAATACACTGAATATTATAAACTGTAATGCAAGAGTGCAGACTATTTCATCACCACCCCCCATCTCTAAAGAATAATAGCTA
Source organism: Homo sapiens (assembly GCF_000001405.40). Classification (NCBI taxonomy): domain Eukaryota; kingdom Metazoa; phylum Chordata; class Mammalia; order Primates; family Hominidae; genus Homo; species Homo sapiens. The sequence continues at coordinate 55,351,238 of NC_000016.10, forward strand.
ATTTGAATCCTAGTGCAGTAACAGGCATAAAAGCAAGGCTCTTAGTGGACATTGAGAGAAAGTACCACTTTAGCAATCAAACCTCCTTTACCTGTCAGAAGAAGGAGTCTCTGCCCAAAGACTCAGTCCTTGACAAATATTGGTGAAATTACATCAGTGGAATCTAAACTGATGGCCTGAGTGAAAAAGCACATTGTTTTCCAGCTCACATTATTCCTGCGTCCATTTCATGCTTTGCAATTTGCAATGTATTTTTACATATGTTTTGTCATTGACTCTCATAACTGGCCTACCTGGGTAGGATTATCTCTCTTCCACAATTAGAAGAACTGAAGGTAAAGAGGTTCACATATCTAGTATCTTGGGCTGAATGTCTCCTGGAAGCTGAACCTTAAGACAAGACTTGAACACAAGTGGTTTATTGGGAAGATGATCTCAGTAAATACTGGTGTGGGGTGAAGAAACAAGAGACAGAAGATGAGAAAGCTAATTCAGAGGACCATGTGACCCCTAAGGGCAATTGGGGCTCCTTCCCACTGAAAACTACCAGGAAACAGGTGAAATATTCCTTGGAGTTGCCCCACTCAAGGGTAAGGAAGCTGGGGTATGTCCTCCATCTACAATTTGTCGATGACTTGGGGCTGCTCCCAGGGGTGTAACTTCTCAGCATTAAGGGCCTGCCTACTTGTGCCAAGAGAAAGTCCCCAGTCTCTCCCAGTAGAACCCAGTTTATGTATACTGGGATGGTGAGTGTCAAGGGACCGGGGCCAGGCATTCTGCTAGCAGATCCAGCATGTCACAACTGGTTGCCAGTCAGCAGCACACCCAAGCCCCTTTTTCCCCAGTGGCGTCCCAGCATAAAGGCTTTCTCAGCCTCCTCTACATTAAAGGTTGGCTTTGTGGTGGCAAATGAGATGTAACAGAACACCCCCTGAGGCTCCTGAGAATGATTTCTCTTTCCTGATAAAAGGAAAGAGATGCATACAGAGTCCTCTTGCCTCTGGCTTCCTGTGTTTCTGGCCTTTGGACAGGCCATGTGAGGTCATGAGGCCTGGGGCAGTGGCGCCAACAGGGACCAAGAGGGTAAGCCTGACATCATTTATATTCTAAACAATTACTGAAACTGCATACATCCAGACTCACTGTAAAGTTAATAATTGTCCGTATGATTTAAGCCACTATTAGTTGAGTTTTCTGTTACTTGCAGCTAAATGCATTCCTAACAGAAAATTTGATTTCGTCTCTCAATAGAAAGTTTGTATCACTGTCAAATTAACTATTCTTCTTTACTCTGCTAGATGTTGTAAAATATAAAGGAAGTCTTTGCCTTAAGCTTTTTAATGATCAATGTAAAAGTAGTGGTTTCATCATATGTAAACATATGTCAAAACTTAAATTGTGCAATTGAAATAATCAAAATAGGAGACTAGTTATTATTTTATTTTTTGTGTGTGGTTTTATAACTTTATTCGATAAAACGTGGTTAGTTCTCATCCACATTGACTGTCTGTAGATTTTTAAGTGATGACAGGTACATAGGTAACCAATGTACAGAGCTTGTTTGGTGAATTTTCATCCTCATTAATTTTTCTCGACAACCACACATGGATGTGGTATGGGATGTTCCTTATTCCTTTAGCCCCAATAGCTTTGTTGAGCTCAGTATCAGTGCACATATTTAGAGTTCCTATCTTCTTCATGGAAAATTTCCATACCTTTTTAAAGTGCCCAAGAGGCTCACTTCTTGAAGCCCACTCCCTGGGTGCACCTGTGAATATTGATGTTCTCTGATCACCAACCCACTGATGGCAGAACAGTCCTTCTTCTCGCCACTGGTCCAGTCTTCCAGGCACCAGGTTGGACTATGTTATAATTTTAATAAATTAATTGATGTTGTTTTTTTCTCAAAGCTCTTTTTAGGTTTTCTATCTTAGAATTTATTCAGGATATTATAGAATTTCTCCCGTTAGCACACCATCTCTCTCTATCCCTTCTCGGAAAACAGTTCAAGAATCAGATACGATACAGGCCAGCTCAACCATAATGAGAAGATGGAACACAGGGTGGCATTGGCAGAAATCAAGTCCAAGATGAATTGGAAACAGGCAGAAATATAAACAAACCCTTAACAACAGACACTAAAGAGTTCGTTATCCTAAGGCAAGCAAGCCTTAGGATATAAAAGGGGGATAGCAAACACAATAGGGAGTTGCTGTAGGTTGAATGTTTTGAATCCCCCTGAATCCATATGCTGAAGTCCTAAACTACCTAATGTGATGGTATTTCGAGATGGGGCCTTAGGGAGATACTTAGGATTCGATGAGGCTGTGAGGGTGGTGCCTTCTTGATGGGGTCAGTGCCCTTATAAGAAGAGACATTAGAAAGCTTGCCCTCTTTCTCTCTTTCTGTCTCCCTGCCTCCATCCACCATGTGAGGAGAAAGTAGCTGTCTACAAGCCAGGAAGAGGGCCCTCACCAGAAACCAACCATGCTGGCACCTTGATCTTGGACTTCCCATCCTCAAGAACTGTGAGAAAATAAATTTCACTCTATGGTATTTTCTCATGACATCCATGCTGACAAATACAAGAGTCCTAGGTTTGACTAGAAGCTCAGCCAAGTATAGACACTAGTCTCTTGGGTAAAACATTTGTTCACTCTAAACCCCAGTCCTCTCCCCAGTAAAATGAGAGATTTACAGAAGTCCCACTTTATCCATGGTTTTGTTTTCCATGGTTTCAGTTACCCTCAATCAATGGTGGTCCAAATATATTCAGTGGAAAATTCCAGAAATAAGCCACTCATATGTTTTAAGTTGCAAGCAATTCTGAGTAACATAATGGAATCTTCTAGCACCCTGCTCTTTTCTGCCCAGGGTGTAGAAATCATCCCTTTTTCTAGCATATCTATGCTGTAACCACTCCCAGCCTGTTAGTTGCTAAATTGTCTGGGTTATCAAATTGACTATGGACTTTTGAGGTATCACGGTGGAGTTTATACTTAAGTAACCCTTATTTTACTTAATAATGGCCCCAAAGCACAAAAGTAGTGATGCTGGCAATTTGGATATGCAAAAGAGAAGCCATAAAGTGCTTTCTTTAAGTGAAAAGGTGAAAGTTCTCAACCTAATAATGATACAATATTCTGTATATAAGGTTCAGTATAATCTGCAGTTTCAGCCATCCACTGGGGGTCTTGGAACATACCCCCCCACCAAGGATAAGGAGGTACTACTGTGTAAATAATACCTCTGATACCCTGGGATTCTAACCATGCCCTGATTTCTCTTATTTTCTGGTTAGATTTTTATATATCTGTCTTCCCCAAAACTGAGCACATCTGTAATTAGAAGTTACAACCAAAGACACCACATACCACTTTCAAATCTTTATTCCAAATGTTAGTTGGAAAAAGGTTCTAGAGACAAAAAGTACGCCAACCATGCCAGAAATGGAACCCACACATTTAAAAGTCTTCGAGTGCTATAAAGGCAAGCAGCATGTTCATATGACATTTACAAGTCACCCCCAACCACTCTCTAATTAACTTATTGTGTGCCTTCTCTAAACTAACATACACAGAATTAGAAAGGAAACACTTATCTGTTCTGTTGCTAAGGAACCAGTATAATTTGCATAGTGAAAAAAATCATTAGTATATTTAAGCTGAAATTCTATCTATTTATAATGGCCAGATTTAAAACATGAGATCAAAGTCTCAACATTTTTTTTCACCATCTTTAGTAAGTAGCTCAAAGCAGTAGTGTGGTTGCACCTAACACATAATATTAATATGAAGTCCTATGCCACTTTGTGTTACAAATTGCTCCATAGTCATTCATGGGGACTAAGCTGAGGAAGTTCAAGATTGTACAATGCAGGTAGACAGGCGGTTTCATTTGACAAGATGTGTTGCACAACTCAGCATACACCTGGATTCTGAATGAGTTCAGATTGATTAGTTCTTTTTTAGGCTCTCTACAGAGATGAATATATTTTCCTCCTCGCTTCTCAGAATGATTCCTCGTTTGTATTTCTCTGGGGGTGATGAAAAGGGCACTAGATTGGAGCCAGAAAACCTGGGTTTGATCTTACGACTTGGCACCCATGTTACCTGGGTGACTATGGGCCAATGTCATCACTTCTCAGAGCCTCAGGTCCTTCCCCTGTAAAGGCAGCTTGGCATGGCTAGCATTATTATGAGGAATAAAAGAGAAGGTGGGTCAGAAAGAGCCTTTCCAAGAAGGAGGTTATCACTAGTTAAAATTTTGATAGAGTTTTTTTGAAGCAACTTGACATAAGGATATCAAAATTTGCATGGAAAAACAATCATATAAGAGAGCCAGGAAAATTCTGAAAATGAAATTAATGAAGGCACTAGTACTACTATATTTTAAAATGTATTATAAAGCTGCAGTATTTAAAACAGTATGGTGCTACTGCAGAGCTCAGGAGGCAGAACAATGAAAGAGAATTAGGAAGAGTTAAGCTAAATAACGTGTGAGGATCTTATAAAAAATAAAAGTGGCATTTCAAGTTGATGGAGAAACTATGGCTTATTCAATAAATGATGCTGAGAAAGCTGACTCAATATTTGGAAAAAATGAAATTAATCATTAATGCACTTCTAACTACTTACAGATGTCTCAAATATTTAGATATAAAATATGAAACCATAAAAGTACTAAAAGGAAATCTAAATACATTTGTTTTAATAAAAGCACAGTGGAAGGCCTTTTTGAAGTGTTACATAACACCCAGAAACTATCAAAAGATTGGTAAATCTGACCACAGAAAAATAAAACTATTCTCTGTCATGAAAAAATAAATCAGAAGACAATCTGCAAAAATGCAAATAAATGGGCAAAGTATATAGATATTTTATGTTTCCTTCAAAAGAAGTAGTAATAGATAATAAAATATGATTAGATGGTTAAACTTGTTAGTAATTTGGAAAATGTAAACAATAAGTTATCATTTTTAAAAATTACTGTATTGGTAAAGATGGAAAGATTGGATAGTGTCCAGAGGTATTGCCTTTGAAATGCAATAGATGTTCTCAAATTCTATTTGGAAAACATATATTTGTTGCAAACTTATTTAGTGTAAATTTGGTAATATCTATCAAATGTTAAAATATACACAGCTTTGATCAGGCATGGTGGCTAACGCCTGTAATCCCAGCACTTTGGGAGGCTGAGGCAGACAGATCACGAGGTCAGGAGATCGAGACCATCCTGGCCAACAGGGTGAAATCCAGTATCTACTAAAATACAAAAAAATTAGCCAGGCGTGGTGGCATGCACCTGTAGTCCCAGCTACTCAGGAGGCTGAGGCAGGGGAATAGCTTGAACCTGGGAGGTGGAGGTTGCAGTGAGCTGAGATCACGTCACTGCACTCCAGCCTAGCGACAGAGCAAGACTCCGTCTCAAAAAAAAAAAAAAAAAAATTAGCTGTGTGTGGTGGCACATACTCGTAATCCCAGCTACTGAGAATAGCTGAGGCAGGAGAATTACTTGAACCCAGGAGGCAGATGCTGCAGTGAGCCAAGATCGCACCACTGCACTCCAGCCTGGGTGACAGAGCAAGACTCTGTTTAAAAAAAGAAGAAAAAAAACCATATATACATATATATATATATATATATATATATATATATATATATATATATAGAGAGAGAGAGAGAGAGAGAGAGAGAGAGAGAGAGAGAGAGAAATAGATATAGATAATACACAATACCTTTGATCTGGTAGTTTCATTTCTGGGAATTTTTTTCTTATGCATGAACTCACACAATTACACAAATATATTTGCATAAGAACATACTGCAGTACTGTTTGTGTTTGTAGTAGCAAAAACTGGAAAACAACCTGCATGTCTATTAAAAGGAGGCTACTTAAATCTACTTTAGCACATTCATAAAATAGAATGGTAAATGACGTAAAAATTAAAGTGAGATAAATTATCCGCCATAGAAAGGTAACACATGTCAGCTCCAATTTAATGCTTAACATGTATTAATTAATAGAATTCTCACAAAGCCCTGTGAGAGAGACACTTTTACTCTGTTCTCATTTTATACATTAGGAAACTGAGTCATAAAAAGGAGAATACTTTGTCTAGGGTTATACTTCTGGTAGGTCGATGGGCTAACGCTGTCTAGAGCCAGAACCATTCTCTAACCACAAGATTGCACTGCCTAGCTACAAAGCCTAGCTGCATCCTTAAGTGGAAATAAAAGTAAGTTATGAAATAACGCATTGAGAGTTGGCAGAAGGCAGAAGGTAGGGAGAGAAAGAAAGAAGACATCTGCATGAAAATATCTGAAAACAACAGCTAGGGAGTGGGACAGAAGGAGGTGACTACTTTTCATTTCTTATAAATCCTGCTGCTTGTATAACAATTCTAACCATTATCTTGAATTACTATAATATCTTTTTTGAAAATCATGGTTAATAAACTTCCCCTGGGTGAGATTGCCATAAACCTCTTCTTGTATCTTTCCTCCTCAGCGACTGCCCACTTTCTTCCTTTTTGTCTCTCACCTATTGGCCTCTACATTTTTTTCCAGCACAGAGTAAATGTCAGCTCACTCATTGGCCTCTGTTGCAGGGCCACCCACCGTCCAGCAAACTGCCCAGTGATGCCAGCCTCAACCAAGTCAGAAGGCCACTTCTGAAATCCCCTGAGAGCATGGTAATATCTCAATCCTGTTCTCTTCCCTACTGGGGTCAAGCTCCATCTTCCAAATGTGACTGAAGGTGATTGTGCATTCCTCCAGGACTGGGCTGCGACCCCTCTTCTTGGTTTTCCCCATGGCAGTTCACTGACTTGACCTAATAACTCAATGGCCAACTGGAGTGAGTGGCCCTAAAGAACACCTCCAGGCAATGGTGATTTAACAATGGACTGGTTCTTGTAAGAATGGCTATAATTAAAACGTCAAAAAAATAATAGATAATGGGGAGGATGCAGAGAAAAATGAACACTGATACACTGTTGGGAGTGTAAATTAGTTCAGCCATTGTGGAAGACAATGTGGCAATTCCTCAAAGACCTAAAGACAGAAATTCCATTTGACCCAGTAATCCCATTATTGGATATATACCAAAAGGACAATACATTCCTCTGTTATAAAGACACGCGCATGTGTATGTTCATTGCAGCACTATTCACAACAGCAAAGACATGGAATCAATCTAAATGCCCATCAATGATAGATTGGATGAAGAAAGTGTGGTCCATATATACCATGGAATACTATGCAGCCATAAAAAGAACTAAATCATGTCCTTTACAGGGACGTAGATGGAGCTGGAGGCTATTATCCTCAGCAAACTAACACAGGAACAGAAAACAAAATACCTCATGTGCTCACTTATAAGTGGGAGCTAAATGATGAGAACACATGGACACACACAGGGAAACAACATACACTGGGGCCCATCAGAGGGTGGAGGGTAGGAGGAGGAAGATGATCAGGAAAAATAACTATTGGGTAATAGGCTTGATACCTTGGTGATGAAATAATCTGTACAACAAACCCCCGTGACACACGGTTACTTATGTAATAAACCTGTACATGTACTCCTGAACTTAAAATAAAAGTTAAAAAAAACCTGACTGGTTCTCTGGGGTGCAGAAAAGGCAAGTCCTGATTTCTAGTGTTTGCTGAATTTGTGGTGTAAATATTCCTACCACAGCCGAATGCTGGCTACAAACAGGACATCACTGATCGTGTAGTTGGGAAGAGGTGCACAGCAGAAAGAATACACACATATATGGCTTTCCCACCTTACAGATGCAATAGCTGTAAATAATCTCAAAAGCATCAATATGGTAAAAATAGAAAGTGATGAGTTTTGAATCTAGATTATCTTTATTTTTAATATGACTTACTTAATTGAAACGTTATGTATTTTAATTTTTAATAGTGACCATGTCTAAAATGTCAAGAACCAACAGATGCTGGCGAGGCTGTGGAGAGATAGGAATGCTTTTACACTGTTGGTGGGAATGTAAATTAGTTCAACCACTGCGGAAGGCAGTGTGGCGATTCCTCAAAGACCTAGAACCAGAAATACCATTTGATCCAGCAGTCCCGTTACTGGGTATATACCCAAGGAATATAAATCATTCTATTATAAAGATATATGCACACATATGTTCACTGCAGCACTATACACAATAGCAAAGACATAGAATCAACCCAAATGCCTGTCAGTGATAGACTGGATAAAGAAAATGTATGTATACACCATGGAATACTATTCAGCCATAAAAAGGAATGAGGTCATGTCCTTTGCAGGGACATGGATGGAGCTGGAAGCCATTATCCTCAGCAAACAAAATACCACATGTCACTCATAAGTGGGAGCTGAACAATGAGAACACATAGACACAGGGAGGGGAACAACACACACTGGAGTCTGTCAGTGGGTTGTTGAGGCAGGAAGGAGAGCATCAGGAAAAATAGCTCATGCATGCTGGGATTAATACTTAGGTGATGGGTTGGTAGGTGCAGCAAACCACTATGGCACATGTTTACCTATGTAACAAACCTGCACATCCTGCACATATACCCCAGAATTTAAAATAAAAATTAGTAATAATAATAATGATAATGGCCATGTCTAACAACAGCTCGCACACTTCCTGAAAAGTTAGCAATCAGTTCTTGTGAGATGCGAGCTGTGTGCAACACCCAGCTGCTCAGATTTCTGAGACCTGAATGATCAAGCTACACGTACAGAGTCATAATCTGGAATTGGAAGAAGTTTACTGATTATAAACAAAGAGTATTTTTATTTTGAATTATTTTTCTTCTGGATTTTCCACTCATTTAAAATCAAATTTGACTATCATGTCCTAAAGCATAATGAGCCATAAACTGCTAGTTCTCTTTCCATTTTCAGCTCCATCATCACCTCCTCCAGGAAGCCTTCCCGACTTACAAGCTCATGGCACCAAACCCCTCTGTCTCATGGCACTTGCCCCTCTTCCAGTATTGTACTGATTTTTGTGATTCATTAATTGTCTTTTTCTCCCACTAGACTGTAGACACTTTGAGGTCAGATTATTTTGTTTTCTTTTAGTGGAATTCTCTGGAGGGCTCATCACTTGATCCCCAACTCCTGTGCCAATTGCCTGGCACAGAAAAGAAGCTCAAAGAACATGTGTTAAATATCTTCTCAGAAAACCGTATGAGCACTGATGAACTGGTTAGAGCAGTCATAAGCTTTTGTTTTGCTTCGTTGATTTTATTTGTTTATATTTGTTTTATTTTGTTTGTTTAATTTGTGATAGCCAGAGATAGCAGTGGCCTTAGAGAAGATTGTGTCCAACTACCTCCCATTTCACAGGCTGGAAAACTGAGACCCAGGCATGAGGAGCACTTTCCTGAAGGACACATAGACATTTAGCAGGAATATCCAGATGTCCTGAGTCTCAGCTTAGGACTTGTTTATCACAATGTGTTGTCTAAAATAAGTTATTTAACATAATCCTGGTAATCAGATGAGAATCAAAAAAAAAAAAAAAGACGGCAGTAACAATAACACCTTCTCCCATAAGACATTAGGGCTAAGGAATATTCTGAAACTTTGATATATTTGAGTAGAACTTTAATGATTCCCAGTGGCAATTATGAATCTAAGGTTTTATTTGGGTTTTTTTGTTTGTTTCTTCACATGTGTTCTCAAAAATGCCCAATCACAGAGTATTTTTGACCTACCATTTCTTCCTTAGGGAATACAGCAGCCACACATTTTCCCAGCTATGCTGAGTTTAGCTGACCACATTTTAAAAGCACAGCCTGAATTCAGGTGCAGGAAAGAGAAAATAAGACAGAAATAGAGGTTTGTGCTTGCTGGGCAGCCTCTGGGTTTGGTATCTTAAAATAAGACAGTGTAGCTATATAATCATGAGAATCACCCGATGCATTTGTTAAAAATCCAAATTACTGGGCTTCACTCTGGATCATAATTGATAGAGGAGAGAGCTTGGAATCTATATATTCTTACATGACTACCTGGGTTCCTGATAATCATATATGTTTGGGAAATCCTGGAATAGTGGTCAAGGGTGTAGACTTAGGAGTTGACAGTGCTGGATTTTACTAAGTAGGTGACCCTGGGAGATTTACTTAACCTCTCTGGGCCTCAGCTTCCTCATCTGTACAATAGGAATAATAATAGCTATCTTAGGCTGGTCGCAGTGGCTTGCGCCTGTGATTCCAGCACTTTGGGAGGCTGAGACAGGTGGATCACCTGCAGTCAGGAGTTCGAGACCAGCCTGGCCAACATGGCGAAACCCCGTCTCTACTAAAAATATAAAAATTAGCTGGGCATGGTGGCACGTGCCTGTAATCCCAGGTACTCCGGAGGCTGAAGCAGGAGAATCGCTTGAACCCGGGAGGCAGAGTTTGCAGTGAGCCGAGATTACGCCATTGCACTCCAGCCTGGGTGACAAGAGCAAAACTCTGTCTCAAAAAAAATAATAATAATAACAGCTATCTTACAGAGCTTCTAATACTCCGTCTCTGCTCCAGGTTTTGAAAAAAAGTATTTTAAAAGAGCTTTCCTGGTGAGTTCCTTAGCCAACACAGCTAAACATGTTGCTACTAAGAAAAGCATATCATTATGGAGATAAAGAGACAGGGATACAGGAAAGGTCCTATCACTCAGCCAGTATGATGGGACTACAGGGCAGATTTTTGTAGTTGCCACAAAGCATGCTGTGCTGTTGGGTAAAACTGAAGAGAATGACAGAGTCAATGAAGAGCAAATATAATCGCCAACATAAACCAACCAGGCAGAGGAGGCTGTAAAAGAGCACTGGCGGAGGAGTTCAGAAATCTTAGTGTAAATTTCATCTCCAACACTTACTAGAAGGGCTAAGTTTTAAAAAAAATCTCTGAGCCCCAGTTGCATTGTTTATATAATTGGGCATGATAAAGTGTGCTTTATCTGAAACTGCAGTGATCAAATGAGATAATAAAGGTGGTATGATTTTATTTTGAAATAAGAGGTTGACTCTATTATAAACACTCATTAAACAAGAACAGCCCCCAAACACAGTTTTTAAAAACGCTTACCCACAATCTACCCACTCTAAAACAACCAATATTTTTTCTTCTAGCTTTTTAACATATGTGATTTGGGATTAGAATTTTTGAAAAAAAAAATTTTTTTTGTATTTTCATGTTGACATCAAGGGTGCATATAGTTTTATATCTTACTTTGTATTTAATTTTATCACATAAGTGTTTTTGCATCATTGAAATGCCTATGCATAACCACCATTTACTAAAACAATCTCTATTGTTGGACCTTTGCTTTGTTACAAGCTTTGTGCTATTATGAAAATCACTGTCATGAACATCCTTGTGTTTTAATATTTTAAAATGTATATTTACTATTTTGTGTCATTTGAAGTCATTCTAAAGGAATGCGGAATTACTGAGTCTATGGCACACAATTTCAGTTATAAAATGCTTTTTAAACCCGCAAAGTGCAGTGCAAATGTAAGGACAAGTTGCAGTTCACATTTATCAAGTCCTTCCTGCTGTAGGCACAGGGACTGTGCTGAGTACCTTGGGAGTAACTCACAGAGCAGCTGGGAATCCTTGTGTCAGTTCTAAAGACACTAATAAGTTAATAGAGATGGCAGAGATGAAATCAGCAGAAAGTCAGCCATCCAGGAGCTCTCCCTATGGAAAGAAGAACAGTATCTCCACAAATAACAACTAAATCAAGCCTCTGCCCAACCACTCATAAGCTGTGCTACCTTGGGCAAGACACTGTATCTCTCTGGGCTTCTTTCCACACCTGAAAGTGAGAAACTGAGATAATCTCTTAGGTCTTTCCAGTTCTGAAAGTTTTCTGATTCTGCCCTGACATGTGGTCCCTGTCTTCTGTCTTCTGGCAGGGGTTCTAAATAGCTTCAATGCTACAAGACCGACTGCTCACAGCTTGAGCAGTAAGATGGTATTGATTGTGCAGGTGCCAGAGGATGCAAATGTCCTGGCTGCATCATCTGGACTGGCGACAAGCCGCTATATACCAGGGAGGGTTTGTCTGGGGAGAGGACACACTCGATCTTCAGGCCCTGGGTCCAAGGTCTTTCTCTGCCAAAGCAGGCCTCAATACCTGGGGGAGACTCATGTCTCCCTGTCGACATGCTGTTTCCTTTTCTAGCTTTACAAGGGGTGAATCTTGAGTAATTCATGTAAATAAATTCACCTAAATAAAGTGAAATTAACTATTTTATCAATGAAAGAAACATAAAATACTACCAAGGCCTAAAATGAAAAAGTTTTCATGTTCCAAGTGTAAATAAAACTGGCATATTTTATTGCAGGGATTAAAATATAGTGAGTCACAGAAATGGTGCAGGGTTTTTTTTTTCTAGCTTTTTCACATTTATGATTTGGTGTTGGACTTTGGAAATTTTGTTTGCATTTTCATGTTGTGATTAAGGATGCATATAGTTTTATACCTTATTTTTTATTTAATTTTATCACAAGTATTTTTGCATTGTTGAAATGGTTATATATAACCATCACTTACTTAAATGGTCCGTATTGTTAGACCTTTGCTTTGCTATACATTTTTGCTGTTATAGAAATCACTATTATATGTGCTATTATATAAATGGATTTACTAATATTTTTACTTTTAAAGTAGTTTAAAGTAGTACAAATGAATCTCAGAAAGTATTCGCTTAGATGTGAGCCTGGGTTCACGTGCAACATCTAATTACAATCTAGTTACAACAGAGGGAGGAATCCAAAATATCTTTACAGTAATTTCTGTAAACATTTTTATGATGCTGCTCTTTTAACTCAAATAAGACATCTTGTTCCTCTGAGGAGTTCAATAAGTCCCTTGTTTTGTTAAAGAAAAATTCACTGGTTCTGATCTTACTGAATTTGTAGAGTGGAAGACAGGCTAGACAGAGGCTGAAAGACTCGAGTCTGCCCCACTCTCTGCCGACACCCTGGGAAAGGCATTTTCTCTCCTTGAACTTCAGTTTCCTTGTAATGGAAACAAAGACAACTCCTTTAGATACTTAGTAACTACAGGAGTCTCCCTTATCCTGGTTTTGCTTTCCATGGTTTCAGTTACCTTGGGTACAATACAATAAGATATTTTGAGGGAGAGAGAGGCCATATTCACATAACTTTCATGACAGCATATTGTTATAGTTGATCTATCTTATTATTAGTTATTTTTGTTAATGTCTTACTGTGCCTAATTTATAAATGAAACTTTATCGTAAGTATGTATGTTTAGGAAAAAGCGCAGTATATATAGAATTTTGTACTATATATATTCAGGCATCCACTGAAGGTCTTGGAATGTATCCCCATGAATAACGGGGACTACTGTATAGCATTCAGTAGTACAGTATTGTAGCTTTCTGTAGTGCAATATTCTAGCTATTGAACTGGGGTTGGGTTGCGATATTCCTTGCATCTAAGATAAACAAGTTGCCAATAAAGTGACAGGGAGAATTAAAAAGAAGGAGACTGCCTCGCTGGCCCTGATGCATCACCTCTCCCTGCGTCTGTGCCCTTTGTCACGCATTTGTTGTCTCTTCTGCTAAAGGTGAAGCATATTGTCTTGTCTTTGATTTTGGGCTCAGCCCTGTGAGTTGCTTTGGCCAATGGGATGTTCACAGCCATGATGCCACCAGCAGCTTGTAATGCGCTTGCATGGCTGTGGTTGTAAAGTTAGGCATCTTCTTTTGCTTCTCTGACGTCACCCTAGGAAGGTCTTACCCTGGCTAGCCTGCTGGTCCCAGGAGGAGGATGAGAGGCATGCGGTGCAGAGCCGGCTCAGCTGCTGAGCCTTTCACTAAATCTCTCCAGTTGGCTTACAGATCTGTGAGCAATAAGAAATGTTTGCTGTTTTAAGCCACTGAGTTTTGGCATGGTGTGTTATGCAGCACTGTTGTGGTGATAGCTAACCAATACAGAGGGCAAGATCTTTTCTAAAAGGAAGCATATATTTTCCTAGAAACAAAATATCAACATAAATGAGCTTTATCTGTGGTACGATGTAGATATTAAGACTTCCTGGCTGGGCATGGTGGCTCACGCCTATAATCCCAGAACTTTGGGAGGCCGAGATGAGAGGATTGCTTAAGCCCAGAAGTTCAAGACCAGCCTGGGCAATGTAATGAGGCCCCATCTCTACAAAAACATTAAAAAATTAGCCAGGTGTGGTGGTATACGCTTGCAGTCCCAATTACTTGGAAGGCTGAGGCAGGAGGATTTCTTAAGCCCGGGAGTTTGAGGCTGCTATAAGCTATGATCACCCCACTGCATTCCAGCCTGGGTGACAGAGTAAGATGCTGTCTCAAAAAAAAAAAAAAAAAAAAAAAAGAGAAGACTTCCTACACTGTTGTTAGCCTGCATTGGGTTGTCATCTGTGTGACTTTGGCTCAGTCAACTTCTCTTAGCCTCAGTTTCCACATCTGTAAAGTGGGATACCTGTGTAATTAGATTTAGTGTGAGGATTAAATAGGAGCCCACATGAGAAACGTACAACACAGTGCCCTCACATAAGCACTCGATAAACGGGAGCTGTTAGCCTACCATTTTCTAAATTCTTACAGAACTTAGAGTGCATGCCCCAAAATTTAGCACATATCTGAAAAACAACATAGAAATATATTCTCAAATCTGATGGGCAAGTATTTTCTCACCCAATAGACATAAGCACTTTGAGGGTAAGGTTGATTTTTGTTTGGTTCCAGCTGAGGAAGCAGCCACTGTGAGCACTTTGAGTAAAGTCAAATCCTTTAGTCTTTTTTCACTGTTCTTTTCATCCTCTGATTATCAAAGAGATATTCTCCACTGGTACTACCACAGCTTTAACACCTTTCTGATACAGAATAACCTCCCTTTTCATGAAGAATGAAAATGCCTAAGGTTCAGGGAGCCTTAGATAAGCAACCATTATTTCGATGGTTACTTCGTATTGGTGGTACTTGTTTCTTGACTGTTTGTTTCCTTTTATAAAAGTGATATAAACTTTCTTCTTAAAATACATTTATTTTATTTTTAAAAATTAAGTCTGCTTAAAAAAACAGGTAAATGATGGTACAAATAGTACTTAGACATGGCCAAAAATATCATAAAGGTGGTACTCAAATGAGTGATGTTGGGAAAATGCTGAGTTAATAAGTACTGAACTGATTAAAGCAGGAGTTCAGTTTACAAATGGAAATCAGAAATTATATGTACTGCGTTAAAGCATTCACTAATTCCAACCTGATACCAGTATTGATTGACTCTACTTCCTCACCCCTACACTTAGCCTAGATAACAGAGTGTAGTGAAATTATGGGTCTATAAGCATAAGGAACACTTCTAAAAAATCAGCATAATATTTTTCATTTCAACACCCAGGACACTGACAACCAGCCCCTTTCAATTGTCTGGAAAAAAAAAATAGAGATTTTGTGTTTTCTGATTTTATTGAAGCCGCCAGAAACCATCTGCACATATACCAGACATACAGGGTGACACTCATGACTCCAAATAGGCTGGCAAATTAGGCCAAGTGTATCTCTGTGTCTATAATTATCAATTGCAAATCCCAGAAAGATGTCTACAGAACTGAATCAGGAAGAAATGGGGTGCTCTCTCTCATCTCTCAGCGCAAACAAGCCTTGTTCAAGACCAATTAGCATGACTGGTGGTTCCTTCTTCCCGAAGGTTACACTTCCAGGCTGAGAGCATCTGCTGTACATCTCTTCATTTCTTTCCCATTTTGAGCAATTTGGTTCCTAAGCTCAGTTTCCTCGTGGCTTCCTGGAGCTCTGATGACAAACTGCCATACTTTGTTCCTGTCCTTTAAGGCCCTGAAGGGCACTAGAGAACACACAAAATTTGTTTCTAATTTTGCATCTGCCAAAACATTCCTATAACAATACAAGGCTATAAAAATAGGATGCAACATCCCTCTAATTCCACAAAATAAACAAATCCAAAAGGAAATTAAACACAGTCCTTGAAAATGCAGCATAAATATTTTTACACTCATTCCTCCTTTCCTTCGCTGGCGAAAACTTGTCCCTGAATTATGATTTCAGATTGTATATTTATCCTTTTATGTTTACAACAGATAATCATGACATAAGCCAATGAAAAGAAACACTAGGGCTTTCTTCTTCTTCTTGGTTTCATGTTTTGTAAAATGAATGTCCCTTGGGACAGTTTAAGAGAATGTGGAATCCAATTTCCTCACTGGTGTTAGGAGTTTTATTTTTAACTCAACTACTCAAAATAATAGACATTCTCTACGTACCCTTATCCACAGTTGGAGTACACCAGACATGAAGCAGAATTATCTTTCCATTTTCGTTTTTAGATAGTTCAGGGTAACTTAGAGTTCTGAATTCCTGAATGTTGGCCAAGGTGATGTCATTAAATCTATAATGAAAACAGTGTCACTGAGAGAATTAATTCATTATGGTGGAATTAAGTTAAATCCTTTATGATATGCTATTAAGCACCCACACTAACTTGCTTGCATCAACCTAAATGAAGCACATTCAAATGCAAAAAAGAAAAACAAGTTCCAATCTCAAACCTCATTGGATATTAGGTAACTTTCGAAGTTAAATTTAACTATTAAAAATATTTATAAATCTCATGGTATTTAAGACATCTTACATGTGTTGCAGTGGCCAAATACCTTGTGGTTTATGTAACATCTTTGCCTGAGGGAGTATAACTTACTGTATAAATCATTATTTTGTATTTTATAAATGTTTTTGCCTTATGACTCAGTTCCTGCAACAGCCAAATAGCACAAGAGCTGCCCAACATTTCATTAATCTTTAAAATATTATTACACTCAGTCCAGATATGATAAAAGTGTTGCCAGAGTTCGAAGTAACTTGATCAAGATTTTAAGGACATTTCTAATCCCCAAATTTACCATGTAATCAACAAATACTTATTTCATTAGGTCCTGGAGAGAGAAATAAACAAATAGGTTCTATTCCCTGTCCTCTAGAATTTTACAGTTCAGTCCGGAGCCATGACATATTCGTGTAAAAATCTATCCCCTTGAACCCATGCAGAAAAGGAAGAGCTATGTAACCATTAGCCATGTGCTTACAAGGGGCTATTTCTGCTTCTGACACCAAATTTCTGCTGAGTCCAGGGAAACTTCCCACTTCCTCTCTATATCCTGGCTCACCACATACTTATCTAGCATAATGACTGCCTTGAAGGGGATTGGGTTTCTTAGAGGAAAAAAACTTACGATGGTATTAAATATGAAAACTTGAATGTTAATTGTTTTTTTTTTTAATAAAGGTTACCACTTCAAAAATTAGGTCATTTCACGCTAGTGGAAAGAACATGCATTCTCATAAGATAACTGAAAGAAATCACAATTCATGTTCAAAGCATCTTGCTTCTGACACATGGCTGTTAAGTGACAAATGGAAATTTCCTGAGCTCAGTAAAACGAGTTGACAATAGGCTGCTTATAGTTTCTGTCGGAAAGCAGACTGTCAAAAAAAGTTGTAGCAATCATGCACCATCGTTAATGATGACCAGCCAAGCTCTTTGTCTGCAAAGACCATGGACCAAATATTGTCACAGTCAGTCATCGACTGTGCAAGACTCTTTTTGTACCAACCTCATGAAAAGAAATTTTATTTTTAAAGATTGCCTCTCATTACAACAAGTATTACCCCAAACGGTCGAAATAACAAAAAAGAATTTGAAGCCTAGCCAATGACCTGACTGCTTTATACAATATTGATAGGACAACCCCCTGGGCAACAAAGGAATCTGATGGTGCCTCGGTTTTCTTTGTAATGAGATTTGGCCAGGATCAGGAAAATCATGTATTTATTTAAAATGGATACCCTGACTGCTTCTCAAAAGGTTTGAAGTGGCTTGCAAAAACCAACCAACCAAACAAACAAAAAAAGCCAAGATGTTTTAAGACTTAAAAAACGTTAAGAGTACAAAAAAAGAGAAAAGAAATAATCAAATGCATTAGCAGCCCGGGCGAATGCAGCTCCTTTAATTGAGCATTAAACAAACTTAAACGTAGCATTTCCTGTTCCAGAAGCAAGCAGGGCTGAAAACTTGGCTGGTGCACCACTAAAGCTTACCAGTTGTGTTTTCGGCTGGCATCCACTCCAACTGGATGATGCTCATGCTGTATTATATGTTAAATATTGTTATCATTATTCCAGGAGCCAGGCAGAGAATAGGCACTCAATAAATGGCAGCAGTTTTCAGTATTTTTCTCCTGCATTCCCAGCTGCCATATCACCTGCAGCATTCAGTTAATATCTATTTCAAATGCACATAAAATATATTCATGTTTTCCCTTTAAGCATCTGACTGTTAAGTGCCCTCTACCAGCAAAAGGAGGCAAGGACGTGATCTTTCTTGGGGCTCTATTTTCCTCTATAGGAGAAATGAGTACAAGAGGCCACAGCTTAATCGATGTTTACCAAAAATCTGACTTTTTGTTCCTAGCTGGGATTTTGCAACCACATTATAAATAACTTGAGTAACACACGAGGAGGATGCACCAATTCTAGTCCATTGCTGAATAATGTGTAAACACTATATGGAGTTTCTTTCATGTCTGCAAAAAAGGCGGGGGGGGGGCACGTTTCTCTCCTTTTCTCTAATTTTCTTTATATTTAAGTTTCTCACCTCTGGAGGAGTGCATGGAGCTAATTGTGCATTTCCCTTGTGTGAATAAAGGACGGAGTGTCTGCTTTCACTTCAAATTGCTTGGCCCTCAATCAACATCACCATAAATGTGACATATGAATATTAAATCCAAATATTTTATTGGTGCAGATAAATATGATTTGTAAAAAGAGTCAAATTAACAATCCATTACATACTAATGGGCTCTAATCAATAAGTTTAATTTGACTAAAAGGAGAGGGGCGGGGATGGAGGGGGAGAAAAGAGACTCAATTACACCCAAATGGTGCCATTTAAAATTATAAAGGTGACTGACTTCTACAACTTTTCAGCTGTATTCTGACTTGGGGGCTTATGGACCCAACACCGGAGCTGTGTTGAAAGTGAGCATCTGTCTGTGGTTTACACTCATATTTCCAATTATTTTTCTTTAAAATTAACCACTGTAAATACAAAAAGTACTGAGAACAATGCAAACGAACAAGATCCCACAAAACAGAAAGAAAAACGTGTCTTTTAAAAGCCGTATTTGCTCCAGATTAGTTTAGTAAAAATGAAACAATGCACATAAATCCGAAGTTTCTTTTGTCCCGTCTCTATCTTAGCCTTCTCTTTCCCTTCCTCCTTCTCCAGCGGCTGGACTAAATGTTGTATGTTTCCTTCTTGCCTTCATTTCTGTACTTTCACTACATCTAGAGGAATCCAGAAGCCATGGGGAGTAGCACTTGGTGTCTTTGTGAAATTCTACAACTTGCTTTTTCCAACTGTCAACCTAGTTCGTTCCTTTTAACTGTGATGTAGTATTCCACTATGTGATTCTGTCACTTCCTTTATTCTTTTATTTCTCTCTCATTCTCTTACTGATGGATGGTTAGGTTGGATCACCTTACTATAGTTATTCCGACATCAATTAGGGGAAAGGTGCCCAGGTCCCTGATTATTGAAGTAGATTTTAGATCCTTGGACAGATCGCAGCCTCACCTACGGGAAGATCTACATCCCCTCCTCCAGGGCTCTACCGAGGGAGAACCAAGGTAGAAAAGCATGCCTTTCCGGCTGCTGCTTTTGCATCTTATACGGATAGCCGGCTCATGGCAATGTGACTCAAGCTGGCAGGGGTCTTTGAGCATCAAACGTGTCCTCCTTCCCTCTACCTACTTCGGCTCCGGTTTCTCTCCCGAAGCCTAAATAAAGAAGGTAACAGACAACACCTCTATTGGCAGAGGCTTCTGCCTTTTCCGTCAGGCTGGCTGCAGCACATCCGTAATCCTTATGTCAGCCTGCACTCTAGCGTTGCCGGCCCGGTCCAGCATCTGACAGCCGCGAATCCAAAGCTGCCGGCCTCTCGTTTCTAAGCAGCAGCTCACAGCGCCAGCCGCCCTCCCGCAGAAGGGGAACAAAGCCCGGCGGACTAGCTCACTATCTTCTGGGTGGCAAGGAAATCTCAATTATACACCCAAGGGATGTGGTTTGTGAAAAACTAGAAAGAATGTTTAAATTGTGTACGTAAATTGTTTTGTTTTACAAGCTGGGGTAAATCAGCACATTTGCAGCCCATATTTATCTGATCCACTCCATAAGACTCTTTTTGAATGCCTGCCCTTGATGTGGGGTAGATGCCTATGCAAAACATAACCGACCCCTAAATTCAATTAGGGCATTGGGGGGAAAATGGAAATCTTGCTTTGGGGTTAGTCATGACTGCTGAGAACTTCTCAGAATAGTTTCTTGGCTGTAACCGAAGATTGAAATCGAAGGATACGATTTCCAACGGATGCTGAGTAGTCAGAATGTTGGTTCGAGCTAGCCCTTTTAAGAAAAAGATGGTAAGTGAAAGGCCTTCCTCTAATCTGATTTCTGGCTCATTAAAAAAAATTCTTTGTGTCACCCCCAGCATAGGATAGTCAACATTTATTGAGCTGGATATAGTATAATTAATGTTCTCTGTCCCAATAACAATACATGATGGAAGATGGGAATGTATCATTCCATGGGACAAACTTTAAATTGCAAAAAAAAAAAAAAAAAACACCCCAAGGAAAACAATATTTGAAAAGAGAGTGTTTTATTTTTATTCACCTTTTAGCAGGAGAGCACACCCCAGGGATGTGGTTGATGAAGAAGTAGGAGTGTTTAAATTGTATATACAAACTGTTGTGTTTCACGAGCTGGGATAAATCACAGACAGAGGTCATGGTGATCAGAAAAGTTTGAGGTGGTGTGGAACCTAAGCAGGAATAATCTTCTGGCTTTGACCACGGGCTGCTGAACCCTAATCGCTGATAACAGCCGTCGAGCAGCAGAGAAACTCCACTTCATATCGATGTGGCATTTACTTTTTCAGAAAGCCCCCCACTCTGGCCGGCACTTATGGCAAGATAATTAATAGTCCCCTGAGTTATAGATTCCGAGCTAAAGGTAACAGTACATAATGGAAGTCAAGGTCACCCATAATACAGTAGCTTCTATAACAAAGGGGATTATTACTGCAATTACCGTCCTGTTGGAAAGATTTTATAAGTTTTCATCATTTTAATTCTTAAATCTTCCTCTTGCCAGTGAAGTTTAAACTCTCCGATTTATGATGGAGGAATAAAAGCCTCTCTCCTCCCACCACAAAAGCTTTCTCTTTCGGAGCAACCTAGGTGGTTTCTAGTGAGGTCGATGAGAGAAAGACAGCCCTGTTTACCCACGAGGCCTTCAGAAAATCTCCCCAGGCGGGGCATGTCCGCTTCGTGTTGTCCTGTCCTGTGCCGTGTCAGAATACTAAAATACACTCATACCCCTTATGAAGCATAATATTTTCAGCTTAAAATGAGAATGTTTTCTAGTTTTGTTGATAACATTATTATTCATTTGCAGTTGATGGTACTTTTCTTCTCCTCTTGGAGCCAATGATTTTCTCCCCACTCATCCTCACCTGGTCTCAAATATGCTCAGAGGGCCTTGAAAAGTTTGTCTCTGGCCTTTTGCCTGTTGTGTCCAATGAAGATAACAGCTCTGTTTGCCAAGGCCTAAACTCAGGCCGAATGCCCGAGCACATTTTCCACCCAAACTGTTTAGTGGCTAAATTTGCTCCTGGCTGGAAAAACTCCAGCTCCCGTCATACACACGCACGCGCGCACACACATACACACACACAAGCTGTTTTAAAAGTGCTTCTAAAAAAAGAGCTTAGGTCTGAAAATTGTAATTAATTTAATAAGACATCCTGCCCGGAGCAGATCAGAAGCTATATGAGCTTTTTGGGTGAGCCCATGAGTGTGGTGACAGACAACATCACTCCAGTGCTTTCCAAAATGGATTTGAGCTAACACAGCACGCATTTTTATGATCTGGACCATCTTGCTGTCTTTCTGCTCTGGACAAAAGACCGAGCAGACACAATCATCTTTTGAGAATGATGGCATCGTCATTGTCTGCATAGCAGGACTGTAATTAAGCACCAGAAATAGGACAGCTGAGAAGAGACAAAGAGCAGGGAAGGCAGGGGACTGCGAGACAGCATCCTGGGGAGAGACTGCACCAAGATAGTAGCTGAAATCCAGTATCTGCATGGATGAGGTCATCCTGGGAAAAAGTATGTGTCCAGATGAAAAAACAAAAAACAAAACAAAACAAAAAACCTGAAGTAGGCCAGAGAAGGAGAGGCCCAGAGAGCTGCTTAGTGTCTAGGGCCTAGCTTACATGCCCCCTCCTCCAGGCAGACCTCAGGGATGTCTCCTAGGAAAAATTATTCATGTATCAAATATTCACTAAGGGCCTACTATGTACTAAGCATTGTTTTAGGTGCTGGGGATTCTCAGCAGTGAGTGAGACAAACCAGGTCACTGCCTTTGAGTTGATCCCAGAAGGAGCCAGGTAGGTAATGATCTGGGAGGAGAGCCTTCCAGGCAGAAGGGACACCAAGGACTGTCTAAAGAAGGCCAGGGTGCTGGAACTGAGAATGCTGGAGAGGAGAACAGGAGCTGGCATCAAAGAGGTGGGCAGGGCTTCCTCAGGTAAGATCTGTGACCCCCAGGGGAGGAGCTGGAATTTTAGTTTAAATTCAAGAGCCTGCTGATGGAGGATTTTCAGCATGGGGCCCACAGGATCTTTCACTTGCATGGAGTCCTGTGAATTCACAGGGGCCCTTCCTTCCAGGCCGCTCTCCTCCCACCCGACACTTACACACAGTGACACCTGTAGCAGCCACCTCATCCACGTGCAGGGACATGGCTGATTTGAACCGGTAGACTGTGAATGTCAGCTTACTCTGTGCTGCTAAACAGACCTCACTTAATGCTCAGCGGGTTCCCTAAAAGGCTGTTGGATGATGACAAATAAAGTAAGGGCTAATTCTGGGATTAAATGTGTTGGGAGGGTTCGAAAAGAGGGACACCAATAATATCTTAATTCTCTTTGATTTTTCTGCTTTCATGGCTGATGAAGCTACAAAAATGTATTTCTCTCCAGAAATCAAAAAGTCATTTAATACCCACCCAACAGATCCCTTGTGGGGATTGAATAAGAACATTTAGATAAAAGTGGAACACAGGAGTTCGTCGCAAAAATTAGTGAAGGAATGAATGGATTTCATCATTGGTACATCAGAGGGCTCCAAGGGTTTTGAAGTGGGCGTAGATATCTTGATTTGGGACCTGAAGAAAGAGCACTAGCTTATTCTAGCCCCAGTAATGCCCCTGAGTTATTACAGATCCTCTTTCAGGAGTGAGTGGAATCATGGAGTCCAGCCCCAGCAGGAAACTGACACACAGAGGGAGGAAGGGACTGGCTCAAGGTCACATTGGCAAACCAGGCCTGGAATTCTACACAGTGCTCTTTCCAGTGTGCTCAGCTGCCTCCTTTTAGGATAAAGAAGGGAAGAAAAAATTGGCCCAGAACACACACCATTTGAACCCCTTAAATATTGAAGGAGGACTGGAAGGCAAGCAGACATCTCTTCCACTCTCTTTCCTGGTCCTGCGCTACAGGTCACACATAACAAGGCCCTTTCAGTGGGACACACTGGGCTCTGGGGTATCAGGGCATCGTCTACAAGAAGAGCGAGGGCCTTGGTTGGACACAACCCTTAGTTTACTCATCTGTAAAGTGGGCATAATTTTATATAATTTATAATCTGGTAAATTAACCTACTGTCTTATCTCCTGATAAATATAAAGAGTTATCACAGTGTCTGGCACATGATAAACCCTCCATAAATAGTAGCCATCACTAACATTTCTTATGATAGAAAATATAGAAAAATACACAAAAAATCACCCATTACCCTGAAACTAGAGAGAACAAAAATTAATATTCTACAGATTATCCTTCCAGCCCTTCTTCCCCCAGCCTATATAATATATACATATACATATATAAACACATACATATACACATATATTTACACATGCACATCCATATGTATGTGTGTATGTATTTTATCGTACACATTTTTCATAATTTCACATTATCTCATAATTTGTTAATAATACTCAAATTAATATTTTGAGTACATGTTAACCATTTCCTATGTCACAAAAATCTTCCAAAATATGATTTTTTCATGGTTCTTTTAACAAATCCCATTACTGGAGACTTCAGCTTGTCGACTTTTTGCTATTACAATAAATCATTAGTAGTTATTTCTACAATAAACCTTTGTAAATAATTCTGATAATTTCTTCAGGATAATTCCTTATTATGGATTTCCTGGGACAAAGGGCATGCATAGTTTTGAAGATTTTGATATAAATTTCCAAATTGTTCTCCAAAATATTAAATCACCTCATTTCCTCCCAAGCAGCATAAAGGTGTGTGTGCTCACATCTTCACCAACCCTGGGGATCATCACTTTAAATGCCTTTGCCTTTTTGGATAGGCCCAAAAGATTGCATCTTGTTGCTTAATATTGCATCCTTGATTGCAGTGAAGGTTGACTCTTCATCTGTATTTATTACCTTATGAACTGCCTGGTTAAGTCTATTTTTCTACTGGGGTGCTTGTCTAAGTTCAACTAATATGTCCCAGATGAACAAATGTATAAGAGGGTGCTGTATAATTGGAATGCTAATGTTTTGTCACTGTTATCTACTGAAATATTTTTCCCATATTGTCCTTTTGGTATCTTTTAGTATCTTAATCAAAATCTTGGAAGAGTATGATCTAGGCATGATGTCCCTCTGGTCCTGAAATTCTGTCATTGATGACTAAGCAATCTCATTCATGTTCATTCCTGTTCTTAAGACTGTTTTTCCATGCAGGGCAAAAGCCACTCCAGTAGGGCTCCAGTTTCCTGACCATGAGGGCTCTTCTCACATCACACCAGAGTACTTCTCGGGGCCCCAGTGCCAACCACTGTTTAATAACAAAGTTCTTCGGGGCCTGTCCCTGTTGCAGCTTGGACTCTCCATTTTCTAAGCGCAACATCTACATTCAGTACCCAAAAGCTCTGGTGGGTCACAGACCAGGAATATTGCCTTTGAATAAAGTGGGGGCATGGGGCAAAGGGGAGAGAAAAGAAAGAGCAGCTGGGTTTTTTTTTTTTTTCAAAGCAACCTAATTTAAGTGTAAAAATCAACTTTTCTCTAAACAATGCGTCAACAACCTGAGAGCTGTGAATGATGGTGCTAAAGCTGGGCAACATGTGAGGAAAAGCTTTTATCAAAAGCCCAGGGGGAAGCTGGCTCCATGCTTGCAGAGGACATTCCTGAACTGGATGGTTCACCCACCATGCTATGCCTTACATTCTTCCAGATCTTCATTGTCCCATCTGCAGTCCCTGAACAGGAGCCACGTGCCTTCAGCCAGTGTCACAGACTCTGGCTCATTGTGCCTGACCCCGTGCTCCCCAGCTTCCATTCTTCCTCCTTCTAGTAATGGGGCTGCCAGTTCCCTCTGGCAATTTCCCATTCTTGGTTCACGTGTGTTTTGGGAGACGTTGATTCTCAGGTGGGGATTTGACGCACGCCTGGCCAATCAGAGCTTGTGGTCTCAGCTGTCCTTGCAGGGAGGGGCGAATGATGCAATTCAGGCTAATAAGAGTCAAGAATCTTTGACCTAAACTGTCTTTGACCCAAACTATCAGGGACAAGAGCCCTCCCTTCCACTATGCCAGTATGGTGAATGTGGAGGTCTGGAGCATGGAGGTCTGGAGGTCTGATTATCTTGCCACCCTAGGATCCAACAGACAGAAGCAAAGTGGAGACAATGGGACTGAGTCCTGAGGACAGTATTGGGCCCCAGATCAAGCCATGTCTGAGGCCCATGGTGGACTTTTTAGTGATGTGGGTCAATCAACTCCCTATTTTGGCAAAAGCCCTTTTGAGTTGTTTTCTGCTGTTATCGTGGAAGGAGTCACGATTAACACAATCTATTCCAAATGTTAGATCTCTGCCTTGAACAGATGAATTGTGGATATCCAAATCCAGCCAGGGTTCCAGGCTTCACAGCTAAGGGGGGCATTGGCACTGCAATGAGCTCTTAAGACAGAGACCTGGAAACACGCATGCATGGAACAGTTGATGAAACACAGGGGGTGACTTCAGGAAGAAGTGACAGCCTGTTGTCACACAGACCTGGCAGCATAGACTATTGGATGAAGACCTTTTAGAGTTAGATTTTATAATTCAGTGTAAGGAAAAGTTACTGACTCTCAGATGTAAGAAGGTAATGAGCTCCCTGCCCGTGGAAGCATTTAAGTGGAAAGTACCTAAAGGGTTAGGTCATTCAAAAGATTGAAGCATCGGGTGCAGCTGGGACCAGATGCCCCGTACATCCCTGCCATCCCTGAGTTTACAAAGAGTCTGTTTTCAGGATGAAGATGTTAGTGTTTGAATCAAGTCTTCCTTATTTGTGACCCAGCTTCTCCAGTGGGGAAATCATGTTTATGAGGGTCAAGTTGCCATGGAGATGACTGAACATGGTAGAGGCAATGTTTAAAGCAAAGCAACAGAGAAATTGCTTTTCGAGTGTGGACCGTGAACCCCCACCTGAAACCTTAACCACGTCTCCTGTTACCTGCCACTTACATACACATTGAGGGCCTCCTCTAGAGGGAACTTGGCTGCCAGAGACCAGTCACAGGCTGGGTAGGGCGGGGAGAAGAGTTGACCTCTGGACATTGCTGAAGATTGGCCTTTGTGAGGGTCAGGGGCCCCGGCTGGGGGTTCTGCTTAAGGGTTCTTCTCTTGGTTCATTCCTACTAAACAGGGAATCCTCCATTCCGCAGCTATTCTGTGTCCACCTCCTTGTAACCCAGAACCACCTGCTTATTTCTAAAAGGGAAACTGAGTCACGGAGTGGCCCATATTCTTTACAGAAATGTTCTTGCTGTGTCTCTTTTAAGATGTTGCTATATATTTTTTTGAAATGTTAAAAACCACCATTGCGTTCATATTTAGGTAATTATTTTGAGAATCATTTAATATTAAAAACAATTTTTCTAGTTAATGGTGTTTGTTTTTTCTAGATTGTTGCTTTTAAAGTGTATGTGTGTATGTGCTTCATTGCTGTGGCTGAAATTCAGTTCAAGTTCATGGAAAAACAGTTTCTAAAATACAGATTAGCTGTTTACAGCCTTTTTAAAGGGATATATCCAGTGCACCACACCAGCCATACCTGAACTACAGGGGTTTTTATGACATTTTTGTGGGCCCGATAGAGCCATTGGGAGGAAGCCGTCTTTTTAACTAAATTTCCTTAAAAACAGAAATTATGAGTTTTCCTCTTATCTCAACATCTTCCACTTCTCCCTTTTCTGTTAGTAATTTCCCCCTTCTCCCCTCATTTGGGTAAATATTTCTTGTGCCTGGAACTCTTATGATCCATAATCCACCAAGAATAAACCGTGCAGATGTTTTTTAAATGGGCCAAAATGGACACTTTCAACATCTCATTCCCCAGGGTATTTTATTGTTGATTTTTATTTAGGGAAAAAGAAGTATCATCACTTTTGGCAATGAAACCAAGGCTATTGCCTGCCTATAAAAGCAATGTCCTGGTAACACAGACATGAACACCTTGTGTGAGTGAACGTGGTAATTAGGAAAGTTTCCCTAAGATAAAATGCCAACATATTAACAGCGTCACCTCTAGCGTGAGAGAAATATGATTAATTTCTATTTTTGTTTTTTACACTTTTCTGGGCTTTGGATTATCTATAGTGATTGTGCACTAGTTTAAAAAATAATTTTAATTCAAGAACAAATGCATGACTACGCATTCCTAGAAAAACATTATAGCATGAGGTTAAAGTGTCCTTTGACCCTGCTCCCTTCCACAGTGGGTCCCTCTCCAGAAAGAACTGCTATTATCAATTTGATCTGTACCCTTCCAGACCTTTCTTTTATTAATTTAGACACATACACACACATCTGTACATATGCATTTATGTATTTCTTAAAAATCGAGGGAAAAAACAAAGAATTTGGTGAAAGTATAGTCTACAGTACTTACAAATGTTTTTCATAAAACAAGAAAGAGTTTTAAAGACTTCTTAGCGCAACTCCCTCACTTAACAAACGCCGCACTCGAGAGCTCTCGCACGCCTCTCTTCCCATGAAGCCGCCCCGTGATGGGAGCCACATTTTGATATGTGGGTCTTCAGACGAGCAGGCAGATGTGTAAATACTCGTCTCCTAGGCCTGAGTATGATTTTTAATAATCGAATATGGAGCTCGAGCCAACATTTTATTCAGGCACTAAATTTAAAAGTGGAGCCAAGAGACCTTAAAAAACTTATGATTCCACAAATGCAGGGAATTTTCCTGCAAGATTGCTATCTCAAAACTAAAAGCGTAAAACCAGCCTTGGGTGGCTTGGCCCTCTTTCCTGAGCTCCAGCTCAGGGGTGTTCTTGTGTCTCTAGTGAGCTGCCTGGACTAAGGCCCTCCAGACAGCTTGGGCGGGGGATCCTCATGCCCACTCCCACCCCTATCCCTGCCTCAGGCCCAAGGAGGCCTCCTGAAGCCTCTTGGCTCTGTTATTGCCCCTCTCCCTTTCATACAACCCTTGGAGCGAGCACCTGAGTGCCCTGTGATAAAGATAGCATTTCGACTTGAAAGCATAATTGCTGACACACATTACTGTTTCCCCGGAGGACATCAGTCCAGACAAATCCTCTACAAACCTAGGACAGCAAACTTGGCAGTTTATGATGGAAGCCTGTGTGTAGCTTGTGGTCTCCCTGGTGAAGTAGCTCTGTCTCCTTTTTAGGACTCGGGTCCAAACACCTGCCACGCCAGCAACAGCCTCAACCCTTCCCCCTCTGCTCTCCCTGACCCAGGTGAAAAGCAGCAGCTGCTGACTGCTGGCACTGCCCGTCCCATCCTGCCATGCCCATCACCAGGATTCAGAGCTCAAAGGCTTAGGTGAAGCTCTGCTCGCCCACTGCACCATTTGGAGATTCCAGGGAATGCAGCAAACCCCTCCAAGATGAGGCACTGAGGACTGAGGGCCAGGGGATGTCCCTCCACCTCAGAAAGGAGAAGACCGATGGAAACTTTCATGGGAACTTGTGTTTGCCAGGTCTCATTTGTTCATTCATTCAGCAAATATTTATGAGCGCCTACTATGTGCCCAGCACAAACCAATATACATCAGTTGGTAATAAGCTCAAGAAAGAACAATAAAATGGGGCAGAGGGGATAGTGAAGGCAAGGGGGTAGAGTTGCTGTTTTATAAGTGGTGGTCAGGGATGGTCCTAATGTTTGAGTGACATGTGAGCAGAGACTTGGAGGAAGTAAGGGTGTGAACCACGTGTGGAGATCAAATTAGCTAGGCATGGTGGCACGTGTCTGTAGTCCCAGCTGCTCAGGAGGCTGAGGCAGGAGAATCG
Organism: Homo sapiens; assembly: GCF_000001405.40. Classification (NCBI taxonomy): domain Eukaryota; kingdom Metazoa; phylum Chordata; class Mammalia; order Primates; family Hominidae; genus Homo; species Homo sapiens. Next base: position 55,380,760 of record NC_000016.10, read on the forward strand.
CTTGAACCTGGGAAGCGGAGGTTGCAGTGAGCCGAGATCAAGCCACTGAGACTCCGTCTCAAAAAAAAAACTCCTATTACACAAATGAAATTCACCCAGTAGCAGTGAATGGACTCTGCCCAACACACTCCTCATGCCTGGTGTTTGGAGGATTCTGTAACTCTCGCTTAAACTTGTAAAGGCTATTGAACAGTCTGACTCCTTTCCAGATCAATAAGGAAAGAAAAAGATCTGGTTTTCAACAATTCATCTGGAAAAAAAAGATTCATGGTCCAGGTGTAATGCTTTTTACTATTATTTTTAAAATTGTTTCAAGGCTACAAAGTATAATGTTTTCACATGCATCATTCCATTTGATCTTCATAGCTATATAAGATGGGCAGGAATTATTATTTCCATTTCACAGAAGAAGAAACAGATATTCAGAAAGATTCATGACTTGTCCAAAGTTATTCAGAAAGTGGATGGGGACCCTTCATGTAGTACTACTTCTTCTGACTCCCAAAACCATGTGGATTCCTGGGCTTCCCAATGCGTGCCTGCTATGGGATGGATGCTCATGGCATGGAATCTGAGGCAAAGAGCCAAAGCTTTTCTCATTGGATGTTTCCCCTGAACCACATGGATTTCTTCCACATAACAAGGTGGCTGCATTTGCCCAAATCTGTACCATGGGTCGACAGGGAGTGAACATGGAAAACCATCTCTAAGTGCCTCTGAAGGGTTCGAAAAAGGAAATAGAGCCTCACCTTCTTAGCACTTCACCTGACCAACTTGTTTGTCCTTGTCTTTTACAGTGATGGTTGTCAAGACCTCCCACTAACAATTTGGAAAATAAGTCAAATGACTAATTGACAAACACAGTGTTTTCAGTCAGCGCCTTGATAGACCACTGCACTATTCTGATGGAAGGCTGCCAGGCATGCAACAACCTAACAGTAATAGGTCCATGCTGTCTTCGACCTCACATCCAGAGTTCTTGGTTTGGAATAGTATTAATGTGCAGGCATTGAGCGTTGATTTATTTTAACCGACCAGCAACAGCCATTGTGAAGCACAAGTGAGCAGACACCCACAAGGAGGAGGAAGTTCAGAAACCAATTCAAATTTGCATATTCATTTGTTTGATAAAGGAGGTATTTCCAATAAGTCAGGAAATTAATAATGATTTAATGAAATTGTAGGGCGGAAATTGATTAACCATTTAGAAAATACAAGGTTAGGCATCACCTCACTTTCCAGGTCCAAATAAATATCAGCCCAATTAAAGACATAAATGTAAAACTAAAAAAAAAATAAAAGAAATAAACCAGATGATAGGGAGCTTTTTATCTGAACTTGAACTGGAGAGGATCTTTGCAAACATCCACACAGGGAAAGGTGGTGCATATGAAAAGATTAATGATTTGACAACTTAAATATGCTCATGTTTTTGTTAAAATACAGTCCTGTTCCCTTTGGCCTTTCTTCACCCTCACTGTTAAAATCCATTTTTCTCTCCTTCCCTGTGTCCCTAAGGCCTTCCTCCATCCAAGAAGGATCAAGGGAGAACTCTGTGCTGCTCATCCTGAGAAAGGGAAGGCAGAAATCCAGGAAAGGGAAGCAGATTACCTAGGAACAAAAAGCTTGAGAGTAGCCAACAGCTAGACGGCCTGGGTTTAAATCCCAGCTCTGCCACTTACTAGCTGTGTGGCCTTGGGCAAATAACTCCCTCTCTCTGAACTTTAGTTTCCTCATCTATAAATGAGGAGAGAAATGATGCCTGTCCTGTCAGCTTGTTCTGAGGACTAAATGAGTTAACCTGTAGCGCTGGGAAGAGTGCCAGCTCTGTAGTAAGTTCTCTGTAAACGGTAAGTTTATTACTAGACTAAGATCAGACTTACCTTACCCTGGAGGTTGGGGATTGGCTCACACATGTCTTCATCACAGCAATAGGTGCTGGGCCAGCATCAAGCCCTCAATAAATACTGATTTTAGATAGAAACTGAGTAACTGTGTATAGTACTTGGGACATTCCTTTTAGGTCTATTATTTTCTGTTAGCCATACAATAACATTGGGATGTAAACAGGCTGAGCATGATTGTGTACCCATTTCAAAGAGGACAAAACTGAGATGTGAAAAGCCTTGCCTAGGGCCACAGAGAGTTGGACTTAGACTCAAATATTCTGGCTTCTCCAGTACACTTTTACACCCCAACCTAAAACTACACTGAAACCTTAACCCTGCCACCCACCAAACAAACACTAGCCATGATGTGCTTGTTCTTGTCTCCAAAAGTGTCCATTTATGAGCTTATCCTGTACCCAATCCAGAGCTACGTGCTGCACATGCGCCATCTCACTTAGTCCTTGGAGCAATTCCACAGAATCGACTTTATTGCCTCCATTTTACCCAAAAAGAAACCAAGGCCTAGAAGGGGTAGGTGAGGAGCCCAAGGTCACACAGGGACAGAAGGAAATCCCTATTCAAATGAGGCCTGTGTGATGACAAAGCTGAGCTTCCTCACCACTACTGTAAACCAGGGTCAGAACTGAAAAGCTCAAGGCCCAGACCGCTCCTTAAAGTGGTTCATCATCCATCCTGGGAGGATGACATGGCTCAAAATAGACGGCATCAGGATTTAGACCCAGGCTGACTGACTTAGGGGCCTATACTTTAGTTCCTATGCTACCACCCAGTTAGTCCCCAGAAAATAATACTAAAATACTAGTACAGAAATAAATCATTATATACCTACTAAGGATGAAAACATGGGGCCAGGTTATATAAGAACCGCAGAGGGACCCATAGTTTATTAATGCACCAATAGATTCAACCAATGTATGTTTAGCACCTGCCGTATGCCAAGCACCGTTCTAGACATCTAGTGACACAAGCCACATGCTACCAGAGAGTTTGCAAAAAGATCAGGAAGAGGAGACAGAGAGTTAGGCAATAAGTTAACTAGCAATTAAAGATTAAAATAATAGTTCAGATAAGGAGGGTGTTGGCTTCATGGCTCCAGGAAATAGATCGATGGTTTCTGCCCTCAAAACACTTAAGACCTTTTTGAGAAGACAAGACACACAAATCATCAACAGATAAGTTCAAAGGCAAAAGTAAGTGGTATAGATGACTGCAGAAAGACAGTCATCTAGAAAATGATGACTAAATTGCCAAGGGAGAGATTTGAACAAACCATGATTCTGGAAGGATTTGTGGGATTTGGGAAGCTAGGGAAGATTCATGCAGGCTCCAGAGCCTTAGCTGGCAAATCTGTGGCTTACGGCCATAGTTAGCTATTATTTTTCAGAGTTTAAATGAAAAAAAAAAATTCCCACTAAAATAAAATAATAGAGGAAAGATAGTGTCCTCCTGGCTTCTCCTCCTACCTCCACCATCCCCACCCACATAAATTCTTCACATTGTCACTCACCTCTTTCCTGGATTGCCTGGATCCCCATATCTGATGGAAATTGAGGCAGGGAATAATTATGAAGACATGTTCCCTTCTTCCTGCTCACCCCCTCCTCAAATCACTCCTGACCCCACTGTAAGGAGACAATATTGAAAATACTCAAAAATAACCCCACTAAAAACATGAATCAAAAAGTCACGGCTCATGGACATGTTTTTAAAATTGCTTAGTTGCATGCAAGTCCCTTTAGTGCTCGAAGGACTTTAATAAAATTGATTTTCTGAGTATAGCCTTTTAGCAGCTACTGTATAAGCTTGAAATATGAACCCTTCATTGTCGAAAGTGTTTCATTTTTGCCCTGTTACTAATGATGAAGGGAAAGTGTGGGTTTGGAATTCTCCATGGCTGACATTCTCATAATTAAATAGTATTAATAATAAAGCTTTGCAGATTTTAAACAAACTGGCACAGAGGTGGAACGGTTTGCCGTATTTCATTTAGAGACCACAGCAATTAGCCCTTAATGAATAGTACACAGCGACATATAAGGGAGTTATTTCTACACATCGTTTATTTGCCAAATCACAAAAGGCGACATTTTCATTCTGCTGATTGAAAATGATTCTCAGGATTTCTTCTGAAGGCCTCTTAAGTAATTGCATTGTGAAACTTAAATAAATAAATAACAATAAAGAGAGGAACGTTAATTGCTTTTAATATCTACGGTCTAATTTCAGCTTAGCACACTAAGAACTCTGAATCTCAAGCTCTACAACAATAGATCAAAAATAGAAGGCTCATCATGGTTGATATATTTAGAGGCTGATGTTTTTGTTTTATAATTTTAGGAGAGATTTTGTTCCCAAGCTCATTGTTAGTCGTCTCTGTGAACTGGCATGGGGGTGTTTTTATAGAGGACTCTTGGGTGGGGTGACTGTGAAGTTGTTGCCAAAGGAAAATGACAATGCTTATCTGAAGGTGAGACAAGAGAAAGAACTGTTCAGCTGTCAAGGTCGTGAATGACAAAGGAAGGGTTATCCTTGTAGAGTCTGCCCTGAGGCTTTTAAAGAGCAGGATAAATTATTTTTTAAGGTTAGGTGGGCTCTAGAACTATTTTTACACACTTGAAAATAGTATTTCTTATCTTTGAGTGTCAGCGATCTCATCTGCAGTGAAGGAAGGAGAAAGAAGAAATAGCTAGACAAATCCTAAAGTCACCTCAGTGCTGTGGAACACACAGATCCCCCATTTCTATATGGGATTTACTGAATTGGAATTTCTGAGGAAAGGGCTTAGGAATTCTGCCCTTTGAGAAAATGACCATGAGTATCTGGTAAACTTGGTAAAAACTTACTAAGGGAACCTTTGAACCCTTCAATTCCAGGACTGTGGACAGAGGCAAGGCCAGCCATACTTTGAAGCAGAGCATTGTGGGAGATAGCGGGTGCTGCCCGCAGTGATGGTCACTTGAGGAACTCACAGGCCCCCAGCCTAAAAGATCTCTTCCAACCAGTCTGACACAGTGCTGCAAACGTCCCCACCAAGGGACAATTTGCCCTTCAATGTAACTCATAAATGAGCAAGGGTTGTAAACAGCAGGACTGAGAAATGGTAAGTTAAAAAAAAAAAATCTGAATGGAAAGTCAACTGAGGACAAGAGTGGGTTAGGAGGGGGCACAGAGACTCCCATGGAGGGATCAGTGCTCAGTACAGTACAATACAAAGACAGGTGAATGGATAATCAGAAGATCACAATTGCACTCTTTACTGTACCATTAATTCCCTAGTGATGCTGGGGGTCTGTGTCCTTTCTGGGTCTCAGCTTCCCCAGCTAGAGGATGAAGTGGTTGAAGTAGGTGCCTAGGGCCCCTTCAGGCTGTGATATTATAGCTCACAGGGCCTGGCAGCTTTGCCAAGGGCTCATCCTGATTTCTGCTTTGGGCCATGTAGCCTAATTCTGCTTGGGAGTAAGAGCCTAGGTAAAGCACTTTTCTTTGGCCCTCTAGTGAATTCCAGGATGCATATAACTAGAGTGGGCCAACTCCAGGGTGGTCAATGCTAAGTTCACCTCCAGGGGTTTTAGGAATTAGACACAGTCTTAAAAACTAAGAAACAAAGCAGGATTTTAAAAAAATATCCTGGTCTCTCCAAATAAAGAAAAATTTAAAACAACGTAATATAAATACCTGTCGCTAGAAACAATCTACTTTTTAAATTTTTTAATCTTGTACTACCATTTAACCTTTTTCCCAATGCTCTTGCAAATTCATTAGTACGACAAGGTTCATATAACCCAGAGCACCTAGCACAGCAGGTGTTCAATGTGTGTCAGGTGAACTAATTGATATATTAGTAATTTATTTGGTGTTTCACTGTCCTAAATGTTTTTCATGCATTTTATCATTTAATATGCACAATCATCCTTTCAGGTAGGATTATTAGGATGAGTGGGATTATTGCCCCATTCTTCAGGCACATTCAATCCTAAGCATGTTCTCTCAATGACTGGGTACCCTGCCTCTTTCTGCTATCAGTCCTAAAGTTGATTCTCAAGTGGTTATTCATAGCATCATAAAACCTTAGGGATGAAAGGGAACTTTGGAAGTCATCTCGTTCAAACCCTTTATTGGGCAGAAAAGCAACTGAGCACATTGCCTCATTCTAAGCCATGCAGGAAGTCAGCAGAAAATCCAGAACCAGACTTAAATCCCCCCTGGGCCAGTGGAGGGCCTTCTCAGAATCCTGAACCAGGCAGTAGATTTTTCAGTCTGTAAAGGAAAGGCAAATATAAGGAATAGACTAAGAAATTGGAAGTTGGAAGAGTTCACAGAGGCCACTTGGAATTCCTTCAGCAAATTTGTCCTAAGACAAACATACCTGGAGGCCTAGGTGGAATGAATCATACTCAATTCCAGCTTGTCCAGTCCATAAATAGCTGAACAACCACCAGAGAACTCAGACCCAACGGATGCCCTAGTGAGAGCCTTATGTTTCAACACGAATATCCTAGAGGAGACTTCTTCCGCCTCCAGTAGGCTCTAGAAGTGAACCCGAGTTAATTCCAGCCTAGTCTCTAAGCATGGGAGCCAATCATAACATCACATTCCCCTGGCCTTCTGTGATTGGTTCAGAGATGGACAGGCAATCTCATCAGAGCCACTGAAATTTCTCCTTAGATTCTTGGGAGAAAGTCCACCTGCTCTGTTTTGCCAGATTTGACCCAGGGTAGTACCTAATACAAGTGGAGTCATTCCATATTTGTCCTTTCGTGACTGGCTTGTTTCACTTAGCATAATGTTCTCAAGGTCAACCATGTAGAAACATGTGTTAGAATTTCCTTCCTTTTAAAGGCTAAATACTATTCCATTGTATGTACATACAGAGTCCTCATGAGTGGGATTAGTGTCCTGACAAGAGACAAAGAGACAGAAGAGCATGCATTCGCTCTCTCCCTGCCATATGAGGATACAAGAAGACAGCCATCTGCAAATCAGGGCACAGGCCCTCACCAGACACCAGATCTTCTAGCATCCTAGTCTTGGACTTAGCCTCCAGAAATGTGAGAAATAAATGTTTGTTTTTTTCAAGCAACCCAGTCTACAGTAATTTGTTATAGCAGCCTTGAAATGACTAAAACAGTGCATGTGGCTATTGTTAGAATAAAAGCACAATGCTAGCAGGAAATATCACTGTCACTACCTAGTGTTAATATTTCCTTCACAGTACCAGCTGTAGATAACAAGGTGAGAAAAGATGTTTTCTATTTTCTAAAGAAAAAAAGTGCTCAAGTTTAACTAGGTAATTAATTAATTCACAAGTGAATCCAAAGTGGGAGCGATTACTAAACAATGACTAATGGTAAAGAATAAACCCTAAGGTAAGTGATGATCAAGGAGATGAAACAGTTTTAGTTTAGAGTCCTATTACAATTCTATTTCAATATAAATAAGCTGACACCAGAAGCAAACAATTAACCCCAAAGCCACTGGCTGTTCATTAGCTAAGGAATAATTTTACATTTCATTATTATTCATGTTGGCTAAATTTCCATTAAAACCAATTTAGTAAACTGGCCCTCTGATGGGCTTGAAATTAATAGGAGGAAGAGAAGGCAGAGACGGAACCAAACAGAGGCCATTATTTAAGCATTCTAGGGACAGGGAATCTCATGGGGGCAGATTGCCACTTTAATTAAAAATAATGTCTCAATTCACTTTCAAAATGAGTATCTAGAAAATGTCTGGGAAATTTTCCCTGGCCAGGGTGTCTGGCTCATTCACCAAGTGGGTGATTTCTGCTGCTGGACTTTCTGACTGAGTGGAGAAATGGCCCGCTCGATCCTGGGTCAGCTTCCCCACATTCCCAGCTCTCTGCAGCGCAGTCTCCAGTGGGGAGGAAAGATGCTTGGAGCTCCTAAAATAGTCCCAGACCCTGGGTGTGAAAGCCACTGTTTCATTCTTTGGTCCAATAGACAGGCTTAATGACTTCTATTTAACATATAAATGTGACTGTAATACCAGTGCCTAATTGGCTCACATTTAAGGAACTTTCACTTTGGCCAAGCATGAACTAACTCCTTTAATTGTCCCAATCCCTCTAATGAGGTGAAGTCTATTATTATCCCCATTTTATAGTTGAGAAAGCTGAGACACACAGAGAGGAGGAGTAACTGATATTCCACGGCTAAGGTGGCACAGAGCTAGGGTTCAAACCCGTGTCATTGACTCTAGGTCTGTGTGCATAACTGCTAGGCCATGCTGCCTCTGGAAAAAAATAACAAAACAACTTGTGTTTTTTTTTTTTTTGGAAGTATCCAAATCAACAGAGCATAAATTACCTGGTCAGTTGCTTGTGGGAGAACAACGTGTGGGGGATTTGGAATGCCAGGGCAAGAACTTTGACCTTTACTCTTAGTGGCTTCCCAGAGTGCAGTATCCAGTCCCCTTGGGACCCATCAACAGAATTCAAAACAATATTTAGTAGTTATATTGTTTATTTTAAGGTTTATTATAAACAAATTTAACTTCATATATTATATAACTGGTAAAAAAGATAATTCTCATTTAAGAAAAAAATAATTTTTCACACTGCCCTGTAACCCTGTGTATCAGGCATTGTTCTAAGTGCTCTGTGTTTTAACTCTTAATCATTATAATAAGGCTGTATGACAGGCACTATTGTTTATTTTGCTTACAAATGAGGAAACTGAGGCACAGAGATGAACTTCTGCTAGATCTCACAGCCAGCAGACAGCAGAGCAGAGATTTGAACCTAGACACTTGTTTCCAGACTCTGTGCTCTTAACGATTGTGCTAAGTGATTAGGAGGAGAGGAGGTTGCAACATGGCGGAAATCATGATGGTGACTGACTCAGGTTGACACCTGCTGTGGGGATGTAGTCCATCATGTCCTCTTCACAAGGACTTCCGGGAGAGGTTGCCCAGAAGCCAGCTCGTGGCCATGCAAGGGGCATTGGCAGCAAAGCAGCACTTCTTAGCCAGCATGGCAGAATTCCCAGCACATTTCAAGGATCAGATGTCCACATCCGAGATGAACCCAGCCCTTGGTGTTCAAAATCACTTTAAGGGGAAGTAGAGCTTTTTCTTTCATGTACCTGGACCAGTAGTTCACTTACTCTGAAAGTCAAGAGGCCCCATGGACTGCCCAGCCCAGCTGCTGTGGAATGTGGCAGAGAAAGAGGGTGAGAGGGCCTGGATGACTCCCATGCTGGGAGTATTATGCAAACGTGGGAGAAAAAAACATGCTTCCTCTCCTGGCCTACAGGAGCGCTTGAAAGCCTGCTCATCTGCAAGCCCTAGGGCTGGACTCTACATCACAGCAGTGGATACTCCATCTCCATTGAGAACCCGATGACTGGTGAGTTTCCTACCTGGGTCGCCCTTACCTAGGATCCTCACTTCCACCTCAACCCACCTGCTTTCCTGTAAACCCCACGGAAGGAGAGGTTCTGTCATGAGCACTTCCCTGGTCCTGTGTAGTCACTAAGCATCTGATGCCTGATCCAGAAGAACAGAGTGACCACCAGCCCAGACTCGGTCACCAAAAGGACTTTCCTAGACTTGGTCACCAGCTTCAACTTTCCCAGCTTCCTACTAAATAGCCTTGGGCAAGCCCCACGAACCCCTTGTGCTTATTTTCTTCATATGTAAGGGGTGACAGCAGACCCACCTCACATGGATATTGTGAGGATTAAAGGGATAATGTATGGAAAATATTTAACCCAGTACTGGGCACACATTAAAAGCTAGATAAATAACAGCCACGACTCCTGACACTATTCATACAAGTTTCAAGTTTGATGGCCGAGATCTGGAGTTTGGAAACTTGCAAGCCTAATTTACAAGGCTACGACCCCCGCCTGTGTTGGGTTCTGCATGCAGCAGCTACTTCAACCTTCCAGACTTGATGCCATCTTCACTTTAATAGATCAGCTTTCCCTTTCTGGTCTTGACAAGTCCTTACTTTACCTAATGGGAGGCCACAAGGAGCAATTCTTTGAAAGGAAAGGGGGAGACATCCTTAGAAAGGCATCTAAAAAGCTGCCATTTCGGTGCCGAGAGAAGGCCATAGGCACTCTCTCAATGACACATGCACAAAAGCTCTTGTTGTGGACACAAATAAGAAAAGTTGAACCCCTCGCCCGGTGTAATTCACTTCATTTATTGACCCGAGTTCTCTCCCTGCAACCCTTGATTCCTTTGAATTTGTCAGCAGTTCAGAGACCCCTGGCATTCAACATGATTTGTAATGTAAATTATATAATTGTACTTTCACATATTTTAACATCAAATGAAATGATTGACTACAGAATCGGAGCTGTCTACAGGTGGGGGCCAATTACCATCTGAATAATCACAGTGCCACACAAGAATAGCATAGCCGCTGAGCGTGACATATTTTTATCTCTATGCATTTCAATGAAGTCAGGCTAGTACATAAAAGGTTATCACCTAGGAAACATATTTTCCTAAGCACAAGTTAAACATGCAAGTGAGATCAGCAAAGATATTCAATTTAGCCAGTCAACCCTAACCTATTAATATTTTAACAAAATCCAGGGAGGATAATTTTTTTCTTTGATCCCATTTCATGTGAGCAGCCGGGAAAGGGAAGAAAAATTAAAAACAAAATAGTCAAGCATACAGAATGAGGTTATGTATTAAGTGGGCTATTTAATGTTTCTGGCATTTCATAGCCCAGGGGAAAGTGTGGATGGATTTAACAATCAAGAGCTGTGTTCCCTTGGCCACAAAGTTCGAGAAACATAAAATAATCTATACTTCCAAGCTGACAAATCGTACCTGACACCCAGCTTCATCTCACCGGGACTCCTGAGATCAGCATTAATCATATGTTACAGGGAGTAAAAAGAAAAGTAAATCACACCACGCTGAAAAGTGAGATGGAAGGTCTTCGGGCAAGGATTTTAATCAATAATATGTGGGATGATAACCAGAAGCTATTGTTTTAATCTTCCAATATGAAAAGAAATAAATGCAAAACACGAAGCTACCAGGGGCCAAGCGGCTTCCATGATGCCTTGTAAGAACCAAAAACAGTTTGGCAGCTCAACTTTCTAGTTTGATTCATGACAACAAACTAACAAACGATTTCTTTTTAAAGAGACAGAGTCAAGTGCATTCTTCAGGTTTCCTGTTTCTGGAGCCTTAGCTATTGCTCAGGTCTCAGGACATGGGTTCTGGATTGCTTGGTTTTCCTTGTGCAGGTTTTTTCATGTTTTGCATGTCTGACATCTATTCATGCTTCTTCTCCTAACATCACCTCCTTTCTCCAGCCCCACCATCAGTTCTTGTGGTTTGGGCTGTGTTTTTACTAATGGTTCCAGAGAAAAACTGGTATAACAGTGATTAGATCAGGGATGGATATGTGCTGTATTTGAGCCCTGAAATGCAGGCGTGGGAGTTCATGGTAGTACTGTCATAAAAGAGGCTGTTGTGGTTTGAGGCTGTGTCCCCACAAAATTCACATGTTGAAGTCCTGACCCCCACTGCTCCATAATGTGACTTTATTTAGAAACAGGGTCATTGCTCATGAGATTAGTTAAGATGAAGTCACACTGGAGTAGGGTGGAACCCTAGTCCAATATGACTGGTGTCCTTATTAAAAGGGGAAATTTGGACAAAAACAGACATGCACACAGAGAGAATGCCATATGAAGATGAAGGCAGAGATTGAGGTGATACTGCTACAAGCTAAGGAATACCAGAGACTTCCAGGAATACCAGAGACTTCCAATAAATCACCGGTAGCCAGGGAAGACCGAAACAGCTCCCTCCTCACAGCCCTCAGAAGAAACCAACCCTGCTGATAACCTTGATCTCAGACTTCCAGCCTCCAGAACTGTAAGACGATCAGTTTCTGTTGATTAGGCCTCTCAGGGTGCGGTACCTTGTTACAACAGCACTAGCAAAGTAATACAAAGGCTCATTCTCTCTTATTATCATGTACTTAGAACCTTGATGATTTAAGCTTGACATGGCTAAGATTTATCTTGCCTGTGAATGGTGCCAACACGTGAGAAAGTTGACCAAATACCTAAGTAGATGCCTACCTCATGCAGATGTTGCTCATACCTCTGGATCCAGCCATACCTGAAGTTTTATCTCTGACTTTGCAGTTATGTGATCTATTAAATTTCCACTTTTACTTAAACTGGTTAGAATTGAGTGTTCATCACTTACAACCAAAGGAACCCTAAATGATTTATTCTCAAAGCAGCCAATGTGATCTTAGGATGAATAATAGACATGAAGACTTTGGAACAAAGAACATGATTGTATTAATCAAACCACAGGAATGTTGGATCCAGTTTGAGGCAACATATGTTTAAGAAGGACATGGATAGATCTGAACAGAGTGATTAGATGGTGAGAGAAATGGACATCAAATCACAGGAGGTATGAGAGAAGAAAAGGGGTGTGTAGAAAGCATAGATGGCCTCAAATATCTACAGGAATGACAATTTGAGGAAGGATTGGGAATTATTTGTGTGACCCCCCACCCAAGGATAAAACTAGGAAACAATGGGAACACATATTTAAAGCAGAGTGATTATCTAATGCTCCCAGCAATTAGAAGAAGAATGAAAAGCCCCTGAAAGCAGCAAGTCCTTGGATTTGGGAGGTGCTTCTACAGTAGAAGGGACTCTATGATTGACTGGATGACTTTAAGGCCCCTTCCAGCTTGTATGTTTAGTTTTATAATTCTTTTACTAAAACCCAACATTCTTCTGGCTGAAACACACTATGATTCTATGATTCCAATTCAGTTCTTTCCACCTCAACTTCTTTCCAGACTGTTGAGAATTCTTGCACTTGCTCGAACACACAATGTCATATCACTAATCTTAGATTTATGGAATGGCTAACACTGTAGGTGTGGGACTCTTGGTGGCATGAGTCATGTGAAGAGCGATCAAATTTTATTTTTTCCCCTAGCTTTAATTAAATGACCTATTCCACAGTGGAGAGTTGAAGGATGATATTAAACCTATGTAATAATCAATCTGGCTATAGATTTTTTAAATAGATGGCTCACGTTAGACACACATTATACTTTATTTTCCTGAACTACGTGAGGTATGCAAAGACACACACTATGCTTGAAATCAAGTGTCCAGTTAAGGCACAAACTGGCTAAAAGCTTAAAATCGCATCATAAACCCTCTCAGTCTTTCCTTGAAAGAACTTGAGGCTTTGCGACATTCAGATATGTTATAGCTCCAGGTATTCAGATATGTTATAGCTCCAGGTGACCATCTTAATTTCTACTGTTAGCATTTGTAGCAGCTTGTCAGATTTCCAGACACCCTTCTGCCAATTCAGCCCAGCAGCTGATGTTACAGAGAAGCCTGGGCAATGTAAGAGAAAACATTCTTCTAGTTTTGCCCAGCATGGATGTGGGCTGGGCCAACAGAGGAAAGAAATCTCTGTTTATAATCAGGGAAGGAATCGAGAGCCGATGATGGGAGAGTTTCCATCCTCTGTGCTGGAAGGAAGCCCTGATTGTGCTCAGCAAATAAGGTCCCAGCCATTTCAAAGAGGCTGCACGTGGCTCTCCACGATTTTAGCATCTGCTATTTGCCTTGGCCTAATTTCTTCCTTGATGCTAAATTATTCTCCAAGTCAACTATCTTTTTTTAAAAAAATGTAATTTTTAAAACTAGTCCCCAACACAAACAGGAAAGCAGTCTGTTAAGAACATCTATAAATTGATATTATTTTAAGGGCTTTGCCTACTACAGTAAGTAAATCCATTTCTCAGGCTGGAAGAGTTCTTGGAGACTGGGGAAGTTACAACATTGTCCCTTCAAAAAAGAGTAACTCTTTACGAAAATGAGTCTCTTGATCTTACATCCTCAGGGTCTTTCACCTTAAAATAATCTTATAGCAGAGAATTCATCAGAGTAAAAAGCAAGAAGAAGCTGGGTGCAGTGACTCATGCCTATAATCCCAGCACTTTGGGAGGTTGAGGCGTGCAGATCTTTTCAGGTCAGGAGTTCGAGACCAGCCTGACCAACATGGTGAAACCCTGTCTCTACTAAAAGTACAAAAATTAGCCAGGTGCTGTGGCTCATGACTGTAATTCCAGCTACTTGGGAGGCTGAGGCAGGAGAATCAATTGAACTGGGAGGAGGAGATTGCAGTGAGCCAAGACAGCACCACTGCACTCCAGCCTGGGCAACAGAGTGAGACTCCATCTCAAAAGAAGAAAAAAAAAAAAAAGAAGAGACTAGAAGATAAACTCCCAAGATCCCTCAGGTCTGTGTGGAGGGTCTTAGGTTTGCAAAGCACACGGGCACCCAAGATCACTGGAGTCTCCCCCCACTCTTGTGAGAAAAGTAAGCCTGGAATTATAATTTTCAGTTTCCAGGTGGGAAAACTATGCTTCTTAGAAGGTGAGTGTATCAGAGCTCTCCCAAGACCACAGAGCCAGTAATGCACCGTCAGGGCTGGAAGCCAGATTTTCCCGACTCCATTTCCACTAGGATCTGCTGCCTCTGAATGCCATTAAGAGCAATATGCACATTTGACCATTGAACAACACAGGTTTGAACTGTGCAGCTCCATGACTATGCGGATTTTCTTCTACCTGTGCCACCCCCGAGACAGCAAGAACAACCCCTCCTCTTCCTCCTCTTCCTCCTCCTCAGCCTACTCAGTGTGAAGAAGATGAGAATGAAGATCTTTATGATGATCCACTTTCACTTAATGAATAATAAATATATTTCTCTTCCTTATGATTCTTAATAACATTTTCTTTTCTGTACGTTGCTTTATTTTAAAAATACAACGTATAATACATATACGTGCAAAATATGTGTTAACTGGCATTGACGTTATCTGTAAGCATTCCAGTCAGCAGTAGGCTATTACTAGTTGAGTTTTTGGGGAGTCAAAAGTTATACACTGATCTTCAACTGCATGGGTGGTCAGTGCCCCTAATTCCTGCATTGTTCAAGGAACAAATGTAATATAAAAATAAGTATTTCCTGATTTAGACACCTCTTTGCCAATTCCTTAGAACAGTGGTTCTCAAAGTATGGTCCCTGGACCAGCAACATCAGTATCATCTGGGAACTCATGAGAAATGGAAATTCTGGGCCCTATCCTAGACCTCTTGAATCAAAATCAGGAGGCAGGGCCGGAAACCTGGATTTTAAAGTCTTCCAGGTGATTCTGATGTATGCTCAAATTTCAGAACCACTGCCTTAGGAGGTGGTGGTATTTTGTGAGTTTGCATGAAAGGCTATTGGCAAATATAGACACCAAAAATACAAACTCATCACCTCTGAATTCCATTTAGTGAAGGCCAGAGTCCAAAGCTCTAAAATGCTTATTACTATTCAAAGCTGCCTTGGTTGGCTCTGAGAACAGACTACACTCACTCACACTCACATACAGGCCTGGCAGCAAATTCTCTGCTGTTCACTCACCATTGATGCAGAATTGAGCCGGGCTCAGTTGTGCAGTTGATTATAGTCTGGTACGGGGTGACCAGTTACTCTAATCCTGTACTCTTTGGAAAACAAAGAGCCAAAGTATCCGGATATCTGGAGTATGCAGAGGAGGCCCGCGGGGCTCCAGTTTCATCTGTATATTGCTGGGCAGACTAAGAGTGTGGCTATATGTTCCTTCCACTACCCACACTTGCTCCCTTTCGGATTTAAGCATTCTGCTCAGGGACATATTAATATGCAAAAAAAATCAAACATCACCAGAAAGATGGAAAGTACAAAGAGTCAGTGATTATTAAAGTTGGGAGAGCAAGAACCAGTTATTTTTTCCAACCTTCTAATGGACTCTGAGGCCCACCCAAAAGCAGTCGATGGCTGCCATAGAAAGAATTCAGCCTCCCAAGCTCTCTTGGCTTTCCCATGATGCAATGGTTCAGCACAGAAAATCTGTCTACAAGGACTATTGCCACTGATGTTGTTGGAAAAAGAAACAGACAAAAGGAAGAAAAATCATAGTGTCTTCAAAAGCCAGGGGAGTTTAGGACAAGGTTGAAAATTACATGCAATGATAGAAAGCAATGATCTTTGCCAATGGGTAGTTCTCAGGCTGAGCTTGGCCTACAGGAGGGTTTTGTTTAATCCACACTTGGCCCAGTTCAACAGTTTTGTTTTTAAAGGTGAATTTGTTGCCACTGAACAAAAATCAGAAAATCTCATACAAAAATACTGGATCACTCTGTCCCAAAACATACCGGACAATCCGGCCATACTGGGGCCACATCCTCATGGGGCAGCCATGTCACCATCCCCATTCCAGACAGCTGCTCTCATTTGATACCCACCTAACCTCAGCAAGCATTTGACTTTTCAAGTCCTAATTAAAGCAAATCCTAAGTTTATACCATTTAGTATCTAGAACCTAAATTATTTCAGTTCTAGTCTAACACAGAACTGTGGTCTCCTGGGCAGTTGCTTTCCAATGATAGGAAACGGGAATCTTTAGAAGACAAGTCACATAGAAATCTAAAATCGATGACCCAGTAAGTGTTCACATTCTCTGCCAATAAAATCAAATGGAAAATGTAATAATCTATAAAATTACAGTTGTTAAGAAAAGCTAACCAAATTACTTAACTTTTTTATATTCGTGTATGTGTTTATTGTCTGCCCCCTCTAAGGGACCATAAGCCCTATGGGTACCTTGTTCTGGTCATTGTCATATGCCCAATGCCTAAAACAATGCCTGTAGGCACTTGTCAGATATTTGTAGGGTGAGTAAACAGTCATATATATGGAAACTTTACTTATGCTAGGCATGGTTCTAAGCACTTTATGAGTATTAAGATCTCAGAGCGTTCCAATGAGAAAAAGACTCTAGCAGATGTGGAAATCAAGACAAAGGGGGCAGTTAGCGAATGTCCTCATGTTGCCCCACTGGCCAGTGACATGGCAGGGATGAAGAGAAAAGAGCTGGCCCACTCTTCCTCCTCCCTAACTGTAGCTACATTGCTTGGGCTGAAACTAGTAAACCAAAGACCCAGAAGCCACTCTGGGTCTTTGAATCTCTTTCTGACGCAAAGTAGGTGCTCACCAAGAGATGTCTGAATTTGCTAGTTAAAATCATTATTTATCTGAGAATAAAAATAGGCTGTTAAAGAAGCCCTGTAATCTAATGAAAAAGCAAGGAGTTATAAAGTTACAGACCCTCTCAGGGTTCTATTTTTTTTTTCTTTTTCCTTAAGTAAATCACTTAGCTTTTATAGCTTCCTGTTTTCCCGTCTATCAAAATTGGGCAACTACTTTTTTCTACATCCTTTTCAGGAGGACATTCAAAGGGCAAAATGTGCTAGAGGAAAATGTAAGAGGTAAATATTTATAATGACAAAACTAATTTTACAAGTTTAAGACATTGCTTTCAATTCATTATTCTCGTTTTCATCAAAGACCCCTGTTAGGACAGGGATTGTTAACTCCATCAAAATGAGGAAAGCAAGGCCAGGAAACATTGGATCACCAGCCAAAGATCACAGAGTTGACAAGTAGTAGAACTGAGGCCAGAACCAACCAATTTTTACACTGGGCCAAGTGTAATCGTGTAACGAGAACTGTGGAAAGTGGGCTGTCACTGAAGATGTGCTCTGGGAAGTAACGGGGCCGGGGTATAGACACGCATGCAGTGAACATAGAACCAGGCAGTTTGCTCCCCAGTAAAGATGAGAGAGCAAGTTTCCCAGAGCTATGGAAAGCCATGCAAGGGATGAGAGAGACAGGTGGGGAGGATCCAAGGTAAAGGGCATGAGCAAAGTGGTTTAAGGAATATTCCAGAAGAGGTTTGAGAGTGCTGTCTGTGCTGGAGTCGAGATACTGGCAGAGATAGGAAGGGAAAGAGGGTGTTGGGAGCTTGTGGTTTTCTTAGTGGAAAGAACTTGGGCATTGGAGGTAGAGAGTCCTGGGTTCAAATCCTGAAGTGGCCTCTTTCTGTTTCTGAATCTCTATTTCTTCCTTGGTTTGGTTGATTTGAGATTGGAAAGAGGTAATGTCTGAGAGCTCCCAGCCCAGAGCCTCGCACATAGAGTCTGGCCCTCACCCGTTAACAGCTCCTGCTCTGATTCTACCGAGGACGGGTTGGACAGGGAGAGAGGAGAGGCAGGCAAAGGAGAGGAGAAGCTCAGAGATGCCCTACTGCGAATTCATTAGCACTGTGAGATGGAGCGCCATCTCCCCCTCAAGGTTTTGCTGAGGTACAGAAGCATCTCAATCAGCCCTACAGGGACTTTCAGGCTCCGGTGTTGATCTGCGTGTGAGTGTTTTATACAAAGAACTCTGTCTTGCAGCCAGGCCTGTAACTGGGGAAATGCTGCAATGATCTCCCTCACAGGGCTGATGCCTTCCACCTCCCCAATCACCTTTCAACTGTGTCTTTGAGGCCTCTCTTTCCCGATTGTTCAGAAGCATCTTGTGTGTCTAGATAATCGCCTTCCCGGGATCTGCTGACCGGCAGCATGCAGCCTTGCCAACCGGGCCATAATCAGGCTTTTGACATACAAAGGTCAGCTTTATTGTTGTTTTTATTTTTGTGAGTGATGTATAGTTTAAGAAACAGATTCATTCAAGGGGAAACAGGCAACTACTAACCATTAGACAGAGGGAAATAATTGCTTTTTAATACATTATTTATTGCCTGTTCAATTCTAACATCTTTCTTGTCTGGCTCATAACTTCAACACATTAGAAAGCTCCTATTTCCTCTCCGTTGTATAAGTGTAGACAGTAAAAGTGTATTGATACTAGTAGCAAAGACAGGCATTCTTTAAGAAATTTTTCTTCTGTTGTAGACATTTTCCTTACTATTCTGTTTCAAACATTTTCTTTTGTCTGTGTCAAGTCATTTCAGTGTGGTAGAAAATAACCTCTTCCTGGGCTCAAACACAGCTCTTAATAAACAGCATTCCTTTCTAGTATGTTCTAGGATGTGTGTTTGATAACGGGCCTGGGTGTCTACCCATTGAGGGGAGGTGACTTTGTTGGGGTAGAATTGAGATCTGAATGTGCATGTCATTGGCTTTACTGAACTACCCCTTTGGGACTGAAAACCTTGCAAGGGCAGGCTGAGGCGAGGATGGCTGCTCAGGTCTTGTGTCCCCGTGGCAATGCGTATCCTCGCTCTGCCATTTTCAAAGTGCTCAAGACTGGCCTCAGGCCAGGCATCACATGCTTATGCAAGACCAGAGCTTTTTCTACTCACCATGGCGGCAGGTGTGGAGACATCACTTTGCCCCCCTGGCCACGGTCACCATTGGCAGAGTCATCCGTTCCAACCCATACCAATCTGAAAAAGACCCCTTGTGCCTGTGCAAAAGTGCCTGTAATATTTGTATGTTTCCCAGGCAAAGGATCCTTAAAGCTGAAAGGAAAAGTAAAACTCAGCAGCTATAAACTGTACCAGGAGCAAACTCTGACTCCAGATTTTTGTGACTCACAGAGTGTTTTGTTTATAAGTGTTGTTACCAACACTTAAGCATCAGAAGAGTTGTATTAAAATATGAATTTCTCTTTCTCCGGAGAAGTCAGCTCTGGCCACCTTGGCCCCTTGCTCCGTGGTCACAGTTAAGTGGGGTTGAGTGACAGCTGTCCCGCTGAGTGAACTTGAGCACTCCAACTCACCAAAGTCCCCATGGCTCCCTGTGGCTCTATACTCAGGGCATTCCCTGAATATAAAGTATAAAGTCCCTTATGTTACCTATCTGATTCCATAGGCATTTAGAACATTTAAGAAAATCTATTTAATTTTTGGCTGTGAAACTGATGTGTGCAAAAAGAACTACAAATAGTATAAAAGAAATAAATAGTGAAAAAGAAGGTGCCCTCTCACCCTGACCTGCAGTCTCTCAGGACAATCACAGTTCTGTTTCCTGTGTCTCTTTCTAGATATACAGTACGCATATGTATGCATATTACATCATCACCTTTTTAAAGTACAAGAATGCACACAATATTTTGCGTTTGACATAATATATTTTAGGCATCATATCTTATCCATACATAGAGATCTGTCTTATTCTTTCCAAAGGCTGCATAGTATTCCTTTGTGTGGATGCACCATAATTTATATAACCAATTTTCTACTGATGGACATTTAGGTTGTTTCTAATACTTTGCAATCACAAACAGTGCTAATATGAATTCCTTGTGCCTGCTTATCTGTACAATTGTGTGGATGCATCTGGAAGAAAAATTCTTAGAGGTGGAACTGCTGGATCAATGTCATTTAAATTGTGATACATATTGTCAAATGACCCCACAAGTGCTCATGCTAATAGATAGTTCTATTCACAATGAATAAAAATGTCCCCTAGATCTAGGACCTGATATGATCCAATCCACTGGACAAGTGAGGAAACTGAGGTCCAGAGAGAGGAAGTGAAATGGCATGTAAATAGCACAGCACAGACTTGAGTTGATGCAGGACTCAAGATGCCATTCGCCACCTCCCTTCCACCATGCCCCAGCTGTTCAGTTCTCCAGCCTCCTTTTGTAGGAAACTAAACCAAGGGGCCCTGGGATTAGCTCTGGGGTTCGGCAACTGGACCCAGGCCAGCTTTGGGGGAGCAGATGTTCTGCTAACAAACACTTCCATAATGACTGGCACATGCTGTCACCTTGGTGGGCTGGCTCAGCGGTGAAGGCCAAAGATTAAATGGACCATGGAAGCTGAATTACCAACCCAGCCCTTGGTGGTTTTTAAATTATAGATTTTTAAACAAAGCTAAATATAGAGCAATTAAGAAATGGCTCCACATTCTACCCCTAAGAAAAAAACAGCTGAACTGGAGCTAAACACAGCACATGCATATGCATGTGAAATAGGCGAGGAACAGAGGGAGCTGGTTAGAGTAAAATCCAAACTCCTTCCAGCAGTTCTTCCAGCATAGCCCCCATACTCCTGCCTCAGGGTCTTGGTACATGCTGTTCCCACTGCCTGATGCACCTCCTCTGTTTTATTCTTCTCATAGCTGGCTCTTTCTCTTCCTTTAGAATAGAAACATTCTTAGATTTTTCCCATTCGTCCAATTCCTATCTCAGTCTCGTTTTCTTCTTCCTTGTATCCTATATGACAACTGGCCATTTTCTCATTGATTTACTTTTTTTTTTAATCTGATTCCCCCACTAGAGCCAAAATCTCCATTTGCTCTTCTGCACCATTAAGACGATATTTCCATTCTGCCTGTTGCTGTGAGGACAAATAAGATAATCTGAGTCAACCCACCCTCAATGATCACCTCTCCTTTGAACTCAGTAGCATTTCTAGTCTGTGGCATGAAATTTAAAGCTTTGTTGTATAGTACAGGGGTTCTGCAAGTATAGCACATAGACCACAGTGAGTAAAAATGATGCTGTTATAGGTGGGACATGGAGAAACTTTTAAAATATCTTTTCATCGCAGCTACTCCCTAGTACCACCCGGGTCTAAAGCATCATAATTTCTGTGATTACTGCATCACTTCTGTTTCCTCATTGGCCTTCCTTCCTTCCATCCTACAGTGTATTCTGGTCTCAGGAGCCAGAGGGGTTCTGTTAAATAAGTCTTGTCATGCCACTCCTCTGCTCAGGAATCTTCCATGATTCCCATGTCCCTCAGAGAAAAATCCCAGGTCTTTACAATGATCTATAGGACCCTGTACAGTTGGGTCCTACCCCACCCTTACTTCTTGGCCCTCATCTATGACCTTCCTCATATTTGCTCACCTCTAAGCCCATGGATGTCTTCAAACATAGCAGGCACATCTTTACTACAATGCCAGTGCCCCTTCTGTCCCTCTGCCTGGAATCCTTTTTTTGTTTTTTTTTTAATTTGCTTGTTTTTTGTTTTAGAGACAGGGTCTCCTTCTGTTGCCCAGGCTGGAGTGCATTGGTACACTCATAACTCACTGCAGCCTTGACCTCATGGGCTCAAGTGATCCTCCAGGCTCAGCCTCTTGGGCAGCTAGGACTACAGGCATGTGCTACCATGCCTGGCTATTTTTTTTAATTTTTCTTTTTTTTTTTTTTGTGGAGATGAGGTCCCAGTATGTTCACCAGGCTGGTCTTGAACTTCTTACCTCAAGCGATCCTCCCACCTTGGCCTCTTGGCCTCCCTATGTGCTGGAATTACAGTTGTGAGCCACTGTGCCCAGCCTGAACCTTTTACTCCCAGTTATCTGTATGACTTGAGTCCTCATCTCCTTCAATCTCCTTAACTGATCTTCACTCAACAGTCAACTTCTCATTGTGCCCTTCTCCAACTACCTTCTTTAAAATCGCTACCCACTCACACCACTTCCTGTCCCTTTTCTCTACTTCATTTTTCTCCAAAGCCCTTACCACTTTCAGTGTTCCGTATTTCTTCTTTACTTCTCTTCTGTATTGTCTCTCTTCCCTACTAGACCATAAGTTGCAGGAAGGCAGGGATTTTTCTGTTTTTTCATAGCTATATTTCTCGCATCCAGAACAGTGCCTTAGTAGGATCTCAATAATTATTGTCAAATGAAAAAATGAATTTGGATGATTGAGAGTATATTAGGATTCTCCAGAGAAACAGAACCACATGGATATATATAGATATACAAAAAGATTTATTTTGAGGGATTGGTGAACACAACTACAAAAGCTGAGAAGTCCCATCATCTACTTTCTGAAAGATGAAAGCTAATGGTGTAGTTCCAGCTCAAAACCAAAGTCCCGAGACCCAGGAGAGCCAGTAGTGTAAGTCCCAGTCCAAGTCTGAAGGACTGAGAACCAGGAGTGCCAAAGTCCAGGAGCAGGAGAAGATGGATGTTCCAGCTCAAGCAGAGAGCAAATCCACCCTTCCTCTGCCTTTTTGTTCTATTTGGGCCCTCAACAGATTGAATGATTCCCACGCACACTGGTGAGGACAGCTCTACCTTACACAGTCTGTAATTCAAATGCTAATCCCTTCTGGAAACACCCTCACAGGCACTCCCAGGAATAATATTTTACCAGCTATCTGGTCATTCCTTAGCCCAGTCAAGTTGACACATGAAATTAATCATCACAAAGAGTAAGCAACAGAAACTGACTCTGCAGAGAGTAAACAGAAGCTGTTAGTTACCTGGAAAGTTGCTGGGGTTTAGAGCCTCAACCAGAGCCAGAAAGAGCAGACTGGGAACCAGCAGGTACCCAGCAGTTCCAGGAGAGCTGCACTGCAAAACCCTCCCAGAGCTTCCTGGCACAGCTGATGGAAGAACTTGACTCCATCACTACCTGTAGTGATGGTGTCAACTGATCTCCTTGTGTCCTAGAACCTCATGCTCAAGACTCAGAGTCTGGGAGATGTGCCTGACTGCCTAGGTCTGATTGTATTCAGCACTATCATGGCCCAGGTAGGGAGAGAAAAGGTGGATTTGGACTGTCCACACAATGGGACATTCCCCAAAAGAAAGATTCTGATGCTTTTAGGAAGGAAAGGATAGTGTACATAAAAAAATAAACAATGACTTTAAACATCGAACTTCTTTATGTTATTTTCTATTTATAACAAGTATAGTTGTTAAGAGTGTGGTCTCTGAAAGAGAGACAAAGACAAAAATATCAAAATGGGGAAATCCATTTCATCCTTCACAACAAAAAGATATGCAAATAGCCCTTAAACACATAAAAAGATGTTCAGTTGAACACATAGTAACATACACCCAAATTAGACCTAGACAGCAGCATAGCTCACCTATCACTTGAGCAAAAATTCAAAAGCTTATGGACATACTTTGTTAGAGATGCTACAGGGGCTCTCCTGGATTGCTGGAGGGAATGGAAGACAGCATGCCTCCCAGGAAGGGGATTTGGCAACATTTAACAAGACTGCTTATACCTCTACCCTTGGACACAGCCTTCCCATTTCTAGAAATCTACCCAGGAAATACATCTTTACAAATATAAATAACACATGCATGAGGTTCTTCACTATGACTTTTTTTTATAGTAAAATATTGAAAACAACCTAAATGCCTATCCACAGAGGACTGGTTGAATAAATCATTATATAACCATAGAGCAGAGTACTATACAACCACATCAGAGAATGAGAGAAATCTTGCATAACCAATATGGAGTGACTTCCAGAAACTATTTTTAAGTAACAAAGTAAAGTACAAACAAATGTATATCTGACCTTGAGGACATGATGCGAAGCAAAATAAGCTGGTCATAAAAAGTGAAATACTGTATGATTCCACTTACGTGAGGCATTATCTAAAGTGATCAAAGTCAGAGAAACAATAAGTAGTGTGCTGGTTTCCACGGGCTGGAAGAAGAGGGGAAATGTAAAGTTGATTTTTAAATGGGTATAGAGTTTTTGTTTTGCAAGATGAAAAAGTTCTAAAGATCTGTTGCACAACAATGTGAGTATACTTAACACTACTAAATTAAATACTTAAAACTGGTTATGATGCTAAGTTTTATAATATGTATTCTTTTTTTTTAACCACAATTAATAGTTTTAAGGCTGGGTGTGGTGGCTCATGCCTGTAATCCCAGCACTTTGGGAGGTTGAGGTGGGAGAATCGCTTGAGGCTAGGAGTTGGAAACCAGCCTGGTCAACATAATGAGACCCTGTCTCTACCAAAAAAATATTAAACATGTATATAATATGCTACCATTTGTGTAAGAAATAAGGGCAAGTAAGAGTATATATAGTATTTACTTATTTTTATAAAAAGAAACCCAGGAAAGATCAAACAAAAATGAATGAAAATAGTTTCCTGTAAGGGGTAGATAGGAAAAAGGAAAAGTGGAAAGGGATTGGAAGGAGACTTCACTGCTTGTTTCCTCTTAAATAGGGTTTAGATATTTGAATTTTGTAAATATTTTAAAAGAATAACAGTAAATTTAAAAGAATACAGAAAGTAAACCCTAACACCAAACACAAACAGAAAAGAATGAATTGAAGTGTATACCACAATTATAATATAACCATACACCCACACAACAAGTAATTCTAGCAACTTTTGAACACAATATTCTGACTATCCACTTACAGTGGGATACAGTCTAAGAACAAAAAGCATATAAAGAAATCCTGAACTTTACTGAGGATATTTTTTGTTAATAGGAGTATTGATGTAGTAACTCTGAAACTATTTTGCATATATTGTAGGATAGGGCAAATGAATAAATATATCAATTGTGATAGGACACAGTGTTCTCACTGTGGGGGGGGAATACATATATGAAATGGGGAAGAGTGAAGGATACTGTGGTTTTGGTGATTGAATTGCAGGTATCATATAAACTCAGGAACTGTAACTTTGAGCAGAAGTGACATGAGGTCAAAACTGGTTGCAATAATTCTCCCTAAATATGGCTCCCAGAAGGAGCATTCCAAGTGCTTTTGCTAATTGGCCTTCCAGAATAGTCCTTGATTCTCCCAGTGTGGCTTTTTCTATATTTTTGGAACCACTCCATGCCCCTCTGTGATGGTCAATTTTATGTGTCAACTTGGCTTGGCTGTAGTCCCTAGTTATTTAATTAAGCACTAATCTAGTTGTTACTGTGAAAGTATTTCATAGATGTGATTAAAGCTCCTAATCAGTTGACTTTAAGTAAGGGTGATGATCCTGAATAATCTGACTGGGCCTGATTTAATCAGGTGAAAGGCCAGAAGAAGAAATTCTACCTGTGGACAGCAGTTCAGCCCATGCCCAAGACTTCCAACTTGCCCTTCCAGAAAGCCTGTCCTACAGATTTAGGACTTGCCCAGCTAGCTCCACATTACATAAGCCAATTCCTTGCCATACACCTGTTAACATATATCTTCTGCTGGTTCTATTTATCTGACTGAACTCAAATTAATATACCCTCTAATAAACTTCTTTTGTTTCTCTCTTAATGTAGTTTCTGCTGCTTATTACGAAGTAACAGAACCTCACATATAGTACAATGTTAATAATGTTTCCATAACTCCTCCTGTAGAAGCTTCTCAGCATGGAGAAAGTCAGGCATAGGCTCTTCCCTCCATCAGATATGGGCTCCATGTTTACCAAAGCCTCCTTCTTCCTGATCTGGAGGCCCCATTAGGATTAGCAAGAGGCTGTATCGTCAGCCGGTTCTGGGGTTCCTGCCTCTGTGCCCTGCTAATCAGGCTCAGGATTTGTCAGCAGCCCTGAAATATTCATGAACAGCTGTTTCAATGATTATAACAGCTGCACAAATAGAGAGGAGGCCCACAGGGGAGTCAGGGAGGAAGGAGAGCTGGGGTTTTCATGTCATCTTCTCTTCTGTTCTCAATCCCATCAGACAAAGGAAGACTTTGGGAAATCCCAAAGAACTCCAGCCAGATAGTGCCAGGCTTCAGCACAGAAGCCACAAGAGCCCAAGAGCCAGAGCATCAGCTTCCCCTAGAGGGCTTGGTTAGTCTCTGTTAAAACACAGATTGCTGGGCCCCATCACAGAGAATATGATTTAGTAGGTCTGGGGTAGGGCCCAGGATTTTGCATTTTAGTAAGTTCCCAGGCAATGCTGATGCATCAGGTCTGGGAACCATATTGGTCTACAATATTAAGGCAACAACTCACAAAAAAGAGAAATATATAGACAGTCTGTGCCTTATTTGCCTGAAGAAAGCCCACTTGAGTCTTGTGCTTATGAGTTTCTTCTCTGAGCCTCAGGGTTTGCACAGAACTGCTGGAGATACCTGGTTACCCTGAGATGTGATCAGAGGTTCCCAAGTCATTAGGTTGAGAATGGTTTTGAGCAAGACTCACCTCAATGTCTCCAGATTTCAATCACTCCTATAAGATCTTATTCCACTACTGTCTAGCTGTGCATCTTAGAGAATGAATGACTAAATCTCCCTGTCCCTCAGTTTCCTTATCTACAAAATGGGGATAACAATAGTAACTGTTTCATGAACTGTTGTAAGAACTCCATGAGATGGTGTGGATAAAGAGGTGCTAGGCCTCCCATTGGCTGAATCCAAGGGCAAGGGAGCCAGAGGTGCAGTCCACAGGAGTTCACCTCCTAGAGCACAGAGCAGGAAGAGCGGGGCAGAGAGTGGATGGGTTGGGACAGTGGCAAACGGAGAATCAAGAACATTCGATGCTTGATCAATGTCTACTGTTATTTGTTATTGGTAGGGTGAACATACATCCCAGCTTTCTGGGACAATTCCAATTTATGGCTGTTGTACATTTTCACTCTCAAAGGTATTTCACATCTCAAAGGGCTTTATATAGAAATTCTAAAATCCCATCATTTAAAAGATAAAGTCTACAGTCATTGTAGTTATTAGCCATTATCAAAGTATGTGAGAATCTGATCTGCAATGGAAAGAGAGTTCCAAAGAAATAATTTTGGTCCTTTGAACACAACACGCTCAACCCAGTGTTAGGTTTACTGATGCAGGTGGAGCACTCAATTGGCGAACATATACATATAAGAACATAATGTAGAAAAGTGCACATTTATGCTTTATGTGCTTTTCTGTATTTATAGGATGCGTTAATAAATATGTTTATTGTTTTTAAGTATTCAAGCCATGTCACTTTCTAAAATAATCAGCTTAGCTGGGCCAAGAACACAGAGAAAAGCTGTTTTTTAAGAAAAACTCAGCATCTCTCTGAAATGTTCTGCAAAAGCCCCTAACCCAGGGAACAGGGCAGCAGGTGCACCAGGCCCATGTGTGAGAAATTTTCCAAGGAGACTTTGAGGAGCCAAGACAGAGTTAAGTCCTTGTCTCCAAAGAATCTACCGCGCATCTCCTATCCACTTGCTTTATCTGTTTAGCAAACTCACCCTACATCTTACCTCCTCTTTGCGCCTGACATCTAGGAGGATCTTTGAAATTTATTTTCTCCTTTTAGGCTGCTGTATTTTTAATGTCTGAGTGAAAAAACAAAGGAAGATGAACACCAGACAAGATCGTTTCATTCCTCCATGAGCTGTTTGGAGCCTGGCTCAAGCTCAGCTACCATAAATGTTTTAAAATTCTGTCTTTGCAAGGGAACAAGTGCTGGTGTAGTCATCTACGCCAAAGTCAGGGCCCTGTTTCTGCCTTTCCTTTGGTGGCATAAAAGGCACCCCCTGCATCAGTCATTAACAATCTATTAACACAAGCAGCCCAGAGAAGATTTCCCTGTCTGGTCAACCATAATGGAAGAAATTCCTGCTGCCCAGCTGGCTGTCCCATGATCAGCTTATGCAGGCTGTTTTCAGCTTAGAAAAAGGCCTGCTGATTCCTCTTTCATCTCTCTCTGAGTAACAGATACCTGGCCGGCCTGCTTTCCTCCTCCCTCACTGCAAAATTATCCACCTGCCTCCTCGGCTTCTGTTATTAAGAGCTGCTCACACAAGCACTGACAATATTGATTGTGTCCAAGTGGCATGCGGGGCTGTAAGATGTCGACTCGGCATGCGGGCCAGAACTCAGGGCTGTTTCATCCACCCACGTCAGAATAAGGAGGGTCTTGAGGGGTCTTGAGGAAGTAGTAGTGTCTGCCTGGTGTTTCTGACTCTCGAATTTAATTGGTTTTGATTTGAAGCAAAACCAATCAACATGATGATTTTTAGCTAGTCAATCAGAATCTGGTTTTTTAAAAAGCCCATGTGCCTTCAAAAATACATTTTGGAAGTTTGCAAATCTAGAGAATTGTATTCTAGTCTTTATTTTTTTCCTTTGTAATAAATTATATATAACATAAATATTATCATTTTAACCATTTTTAAGCAGAAAGCTAGTGGCATTAAGTACATACATAATGCTGTACAACCCTCACCACCATATATCTCCAGAACTTTTTAAATCTTCTCAAATTGAAACTGTACCTACTAAATAATAATTCACTATTTTCCCCTCCCCACATTCCCTGGCAATCACTATTCTACTTCTTCTTTTTTTTTTTTTCTTCAAGACGAAGTTTCACCCTGCCGCCCAGGCTGGAGTGCAGTGGCTCAATCTTAGCTCACTGCAGCGTCCACCTCCTGGGTTCAAGCAATTCTCCTGCTTCAGCTTCCCGAGTAGCTAGAACTACAGTCACCCGCCACCAGTCCCGGCTAATTTTTGTGTTTTCAATAGAGACAGGGTTTCACCATGTTGACCAGGCTGGTTTCAAACTCCTGACCTCAAGTGATCTGCCTGCCTCAGCCTCCCAAAGTGCTGGAATTACAGGCGTGAGTCACTGCACCCAGCAACTTCTTGTCTCCATGAATTTGACTACTCTGCGAAGCTCGTATAAGTGGAATCGTGCATTATTTCTTCTTTCGCATCTGGTTTATTTCACTTAGTGTAATGTCCTCAAGGTTCAGTAGTGTCGCAGCACGTAACAGAACTTCATTCTTTTTTAAGGCTGAATAATGTTTCCTTCTATGTAGATATCACACTTTGTTTATCCATTCATTCATCAACAGATATTTGGGTTGTTTCCACCTTTTGGTTATTGTGAATAATGCTGCTATGAACACTGTTGTACAAATATCTGCTTGGGTTTCTGCTTTCAGTTCTTTGAGGTATATGCCCAGAAGTGGAATTGCTGGATCATATGGTAATTCTATGTTTAAATTTTTGAGGAAATGCCATAGTGTTTTCCACAGCAGCTGCATGATTTCACATTCCCACCTGCAGTGCACAAGGGTTCTAACTTCTCCACACCCGTCCCAACACTATCTTTTTTTAATAATAGTCATCCTAATATGTGTGAGGTGATATTGGGATTTTGATTTATGCTTTCCTAATGTCCTCAAAATTCATTCATGTTGCAGCATGTATTAGAATTTCCTTCCTTTTAAGGCCTAAAAGCATCCCATTGTATGTCTATACCTCATGTTGTTTATCTGTTCATCTGTTGATGAACTCTTGGGTTGCTTCCACCTGTTGGCTCCTAAAGGCCTACGTGGGTTCTCCATTTAACATGGATATCATAAGCACTTTCTATGTGCTAAGCACCGTGCTGGGATAATGCAGACCTAAGCAAACTGCTCCACACTTTGCTCCTTGTAGTTGGGGAGAAAAGACATGCATTAATCAAATAACCATGCAGATAGCTATACAATTACACATTGTGATAAGTGCTATGTAAGAAAAGAACAGATTCCTGTAAGTTATGTCAAGGAAATAGAAGAAAATCTCTACCTGTCAATTTACAAGCTCCTGAAAAGCCAATTTTGTCTATCATTTATTCATCCAACCAACAGACATTTGATGTAAGTCTCCTATGTACAAGGCCCTGGACAGAATAGATGGGAGAGGAAGCCTCTGGCAGGGGGAGAGGTATCAAAAATTGGTAAGACAGAGGTCCTGCCCTCTACAAGTTCATAGTCTCATTAGGGAAGCAGAGAAGTAAATGGGTGAATGCCAATACAGTGACTGGTGATATAGCAAAGGTGCATCAGTCAAATAATCTGAGTATTTAAAACAGAAAGAATTGAATACGGGGAATTGGCTACCAACGATAGAGGACATAAGCCAAACATGGGGTTGTGAGGCAGCCAAGATGGTTAACAATAGCAAGATAAGCTGCACTCCTGAGCTGCAGAAATAAAGGAGGGGTAGACATGGGAGCTGAGGACCAGGGGACAGCAGAAAATAAAGGACTAATGGCAGGTCTATCTGGTGGGAACTGGAGCCACAGAGAAAACAGCTGCTGCTGCGAATTCCATCAGAGGCAGAGAGAAAGTGGGAAACACCCTGGCTTCTCTCTTCCTCTCACCCTCCAGGTCCCAGCAGTGCTTCCCCTTGGTTGAATGCAGCTGGAGGCCAGCTGACGCAGCTCTGGGAAATGTAGTGTGTAGGTTGCAGCCTCCTCCCTCTCCTGCAGGGGAAGGACGGGAAGTGGATCCTCAGCACAACAGGTCTGAACAAAATTCCAGAAAACCTTGAAGCATGGGAGAGTAGCCCAAGAAGAGGAGGAAGAAGAGCACTGCAGACAAAGGAACAACATGAGGAATGGTTGAGGTGTAGGAAACACATTTCTCCCAGCCACATCACCAGGACATCTAGTTTTGCCAAGCAGAGGTTATTCTTGGCACACGTCCCCATCACAGCTATGTGCACTCATGCATGCACACACATAACACACACACACACCACTACCATCACCACCACCACTATCACACAGGGCCCCAGTCTCTCTAGAATATGCTCCCCAGTCACTGTCTTCCCTCTATGTAACTCTGAAGTCTCTGTAGTCCTCACTGAGCTCACCCATGCTCACTCCTTGTATAGGTCAGGATGCCCAAGTAGACAAGGCCCTTGGATCTTCTAGTCCTGCATAGAGGCCTGGGGCTTCGTCCCAGGGAACCCTGCAGTGCCAAGCATTAACACTTTAGTTGCTGGATCTAGAGGAGTTTCAAGGAGTCCCAGGGGAGGTGATAAGAAAGCCAGGGCAGCAGAGGCACTCAGGGGATATGGTGGGTGCAATAGTGTGTCCCCTCCACCCCACAACAGCGTTCATATCTACCTACAACTTCAGAAAGGTGCCCATATTTAGACAAAGAGTCTTTGCAGATGTAAGCAGTTAAGGACTTCAAGATGCAGTCATCCTGGATTTCAGGTGGGCCTAAAGAAAATGTATAGCGAGAACCACAGACAAGAAGGCCATGGAAAGACAGAGGCAGAGGTTGGAGTGATGCTGTTGCAAGCCGAGGAACACCAGGGCCACCAGAAGCCGGAATAGATGAGGAAGGATTCTCCTCCCAAAGCCTGCAGAGGGAGCAAGGTGTCAACTGCTGATACCTTGATTTTGGACTTCTAGCCTCCAGAGCAGCGAGAGAATACTGATATGATTTGGCTGTGTCCCCACCCAAATCTCATCTTGAATTGTAGCTCCCATAATCCCCACATGTTGTGGGAGGGAACTGGTGGGAGATAATTGAATCATGGGGCTGGTTTCCCCCTACTGTTCTTGTGGTAGTAAATAAGTCTCATGAGATCTGATGATTTTATAAAGGGTTTCCCCTTTCACTTCGATCTCATTTGCTCTTGTCTGCCACCATGTGAGACATCCCTTTGCTCTTCCTTCATCTTCCTCCATAATTGTGAGGCCTCCCCAGCCATGTGAAACTGTGAATCCATTAAACCTCTTTCCTTTATAAATTACCCAGTCTTGGGTATTTTTTATAGCAGCATGAGAACCGACAAATACAAGTACATTTCTATTGTTTTAAATCCCCTAAACTGTGGTTGTTATAGGAGCTCTGGCAAATGATATAGGAGGGCTTTTTACCAACCAGGATTTCCATATTTAACAACTCACACAGCAGAATTGCAGCATATCAGTGCAGACTTGGTCTAATCTCTTTGTATTCCAGGTGAGAAACAGAACCACAGAATTAACCATGGGTTGCAGATGGAGTTAGATCTAAAAGCCAGGACTTCTGCTACTCCGTTCCACATTCTTTTCCCTTTATTCCCTGCCTGAGGGAAAGGAACTGAGAAGGAGGGAGGGGGCATATGTTCCTGCTCTGTCCCAGCTCTTCTCCCAGCTCCCTTCTCTCCTGCCTACCCCTCTAGGCTGCTAGTTTGTGCTTCTCCAGTCACCTTAGGCCACCCTGCCTTGTCTGGCTGCTAGAACCTTTGTCAAAACCCATATTTAGTTGCTGCAGGCTCCTTGCCTAGTGTCTCTGAAGTTAACGATGGAATCTTTGAAAATGACATTAGAAGCAAAACATAAGCAGCAGAAGACATGAAACTACCTCAAGCCCATCTGTTCAAGCACGATCCACCTCAGAGCTCCCATTTCCCATGTAAAACAGAAGATATGATTTATAATTTATATCTCACAGGTACAATCCTGATTGAAGCAAACCACTTTGATGAAATGTTGGTTTCATGCTAGTGGAACACCATTCCAAATCAGAGAATATTTAGAACTCTAACTCCTCTGCTGCTGCTTTGAAGTAGAAAAATTTGTATTTTATGTGCTTTTCTGGGAAAAAAAATGTACACTTCAACAGGCATGTGGTGAAAATATGAAAGCATTTAAGTGTGAATCAGCACCAAAATGTAATTAGTACACTAAGCACTGAAAATATTTATAGACTCATATCTCGTGTTGAAGACATGGTTCCAATAATTCTCAGAAAATTGCAAAATTCGGACTTTGTTTTCTTGGAACTAACTTAATTTATTTGAAATCTACAACATATGAAGAACAAAATCAAACATTACCAACTTTTCATCCCTTCAACTAATGGTCTAATAAAGTTGTTGTGAGTATGTGCTGTGTGTGTATGTATGCATATGCCTTTGATTGGTTGAGAAAGAAAGAGATGGAGAGAGAAATAGAGAGCAAATAAATTGGGTTTTGGAAGACAGTTCCTCCCATTTTTATGGGAATGACAAAATATCTATTACAATATGACCAAAACACCAATCAAGTTAAATCTCTTGATTGTTTCCTTCAGTGACAAAACTAGCCAATTCATTGAAACCATAAACAATAACTGGTGTTCATTGAACCTCTCTGTGGTAGGCACCCATCTAGAGGCTGTGGAGATTGTGATAAGCAAGAGAAACTGCTCTTACTCTTATGGAATATGCTTCCCAGTGAAGGGTTAGAAAATAAACAAATAAATATATAGAATGCCTTTATAAAAACCATAATAAACAATCTTTTAAAGCAGGGTGAGGAAATAGAGAGAAAAGCTAGGGGTATTACTTCAATAAAGAAGACCTGTCTGAAGAGGTAACATTTGAGCAGTTACCTGAATTAGGAGGGGGAGAAAATCATGCCAAGACCTGGAGGAAGAGCATTCCAGGCAGAGGAAACAGCCAGTGCAGATGGCCTGAGGTTGAAATAAGCTTGTGTTGGAAGAGCAAGACTGCTGTCATGAGTGGAGAGGGATAAATAAGGTGGAGACGAAGATGTAGTCAGGGAGATGGGCAGAGCCAGATCCTGCAGGGTACAACAGGGATGCCTTACAAGTGTCATTCTGCATTAAGTCCAGCCACTGCAGGCCAATTTGGCAACCATGTTTTAAGTTGTACGACAACCAAGGCTCGGCAGGTATTAGGCACTGCAGGAGAAGGAAAGACAGACTTGCAATGCTTGTGGAATAAGGAAGCATGTGAAAAACATCACAAGAAAGTTACACACAGAGGACTTTGACTTTGACCTGAATTAGCCTAAGTTTAGCTGAATATTTGGGTAGACAGAACTGGAGGAAGGACTTGAATTTCATTCATTTGTTCATTCATTCATTCATTCATTCATTTGATCAATCAATATTTACTGAGTGCCAGCATTATGAGATGAGGCTGTGGGAGTACACTGCTGAACAAAAACAAAACAAGGTCTCCGCCCTCCATTAATAATATAAACAAATGCTATGCAGTTTTCATTGCAGTGAGAATTATGCAAGAGAGATTCAAGTTGGGCTTGCCAAGTGCTATCAGAGAGACTTCCTGAAGAAGGTGTGACTGGCTAGGAGCTGAAGGATGATCAGATTTTACCTGGAGGAAGGGTGTTGGGAGTGGGAAGCTTTCCAGGTAGAGAGGATGGCAAGTACAAAGACTGTGGGATTCAAGACTTAGAGGAGACTGATGGGAATCATGGCCTGAGATGTGGCTGGCAGATGGGTACCAGGGTCCAGCCATGGTGAATACTGTAGACTGCAGGAAAGACTTGGGTCTGAGTTTGTTTTTTTGTTTCTTGAGATGGAGTTTTGCTCTTGTTGCCTAGGCTGGAATACAGTGGCACAATCTCGGCTCACTGCAGCCTCCTCCTTCCCTGGCTCAAGCAATTCTCCTGCCTCAGCCTCCCAAGTAGCTGGGATTACAGGTGCCTGCCACCATGTCCAGCTAATTTTTTGTATTTTTACTAGAGACAGGGTTTCACCATGTTGGCCAGGCTGGTCTCAAACTCCTGGCCTCAGGTGATCCACCCTCCTCAGCCTCCCAAAGTGCTGGGATTACAGGCATGAACCATCGCGCCTGGCCGGGTCTGAGTTTTAAGAGTAAAAGAAAGTCAATGAAAGGGGTTGACTTGAGGTGAGTAGGTTTCATTTTGCAATGAAATAAGATTTGCAAACTGAAAAATTCACTCTTCTTGGAGGATGGAGGGCAGATGGGAGAAAGAAACAAGAGTGAGTTTAGGGAAATCAGACGAGAGCTACTGCAGAAGTCTAGTCAACGAGAGAAGCTGCTGGTGGTGGGGGTGAAAATGGAGGGAGAGAAAAGTAGTGGTGGTCTAGAGACATTTAGGAAGGCTGCGATGGGTCCCAGGCTGCTGGTAGGTGTGGCCATGTGACTTGTTTCAGCCAATGAAGTGTGAGCAGAAGTGACGTGAGAATTCCAGGCGGAAGCTTTAAGAGTCGGTGAGTGAATGATTCACATCGCTCTCTTACGCCATTTGTCATTGTTCCCAATGGTGGCTACTTTTTCAGTCTGGGTCCCCTGTGCAGGGGAGACCTGGAACAGAGTCCCAGCTGGCCCACTGGACATGTAGCATGAGTCAGAAATAAACTTCTCACATCGTTAGTTCCTGAGATTGTGTGAGTGTTTGTTTCTGCAGTGTAAGCTAGCCGATCCTGCCCAAACAAGAAATAAAATGAACGTAATTGGGGGCAGTTAGAATGGAAATGACAGTTATTCTGAGAGCTCTCCAGTGCTTATTTTTAGATTGTTTTCAAGCACAACTCAGCACTCCAAGCAAGCCCCTTGCTCCTTGTCCCCTCCAAATTCAGTCTGATGTGATTCAGTGTGACACAAAGGAAAGTGAATCTATCTTCAGCAAATGTGGCCTTTAATGGTAGCAAAGTGCTTTGAAGATGAAAAGTTCTCTGCAAGTGCTAAGCATTATTATTCTGTATCAGATGTCAGTATGCACTTAAAAAAAGATTCAATTAAAGTGCCTTGCCATTGTTTTATGATACAAGCATCAGACATTTCCAAAAAGGTCAAGTCATGACAGGAATATTTAACTCCTAGAAGGAGTAGAAAGTAATTGGAGTGAGCTGGAGGATGATCCAGGACGGAACGATAGGGTGTTCACTTAGCAGTAGGATTTGTGGGCAAGGGTGACCACAAGAGAACAATGGAGTTAGCGTGCTTATTTAAAGCACCCAAGAGTGTAGACCCTTTGTGGGGGACTGGTTGAAAGGTGCAGAGGCCCCCGTGTCTGTGTATGAACAGGTGAGACTGAGACAACCCACTGTGGAAACAAAGAAGCATGGATGAAGGCAGACAGCCTCCCACTCCAACACACACACATATGCACATGCACACACACACACACACACACACATACCCTTGGTTGCTGATGTTTCATATGCACCAGTATCTCAGATAAAAGAGTCTAGAGCTGGGCTGGAAGATAGCAAGCTATCCAAGTCAGCCCCATCACCCTCATTTTATGTTTGTTATTGAACTTTTGTAGTCATTCGGTGCTGGACATGTCTACTACAAAAGAGGAAGAAGATGAGGAGGAAAAGGACAATATGGAGAAGGGAGAGAAGGCATGCTGGGTACTATCTGGTGGCTGGGATAGGGACAACAGGCAAATGTCCTGAGGTGTCATGTAAGTAATCCAGCCCTAGGCTTTCACCATTAGAGGGTGTCGGGGGAA
The DNA here is from genome assembly GCF_000001405.40 of Homo sapiens. Lineage (NCBI taxonomy): Eukaryota > Metazoa > Chordata > Mammalia > Primates > Hominidae > Homo > Homo sapiens. Next base: position 55,417,207 of record NC_000016.10, read on the forward strand.
AACTTGCAATTTCAGTCATGCTACTACTTAGACACACAAAGGAAACGTAGCTCTTGTATTTTCTGTAAGTGATCTTACCATCTACACATGCCTCTTGCCAGTGGCAGTGTGTGTTGGGTGATGGGTTCAGAAGTGGATATTTTAAGCTTGTTCATTAAAGATGACTCAGTTTCTTCAGTTGGAACCATCTCCTCCTAGTTAAAATTGTCCTTTGCAGTCCTTGTGTTTATGACAGTGAGAGAGGAGACCTCTCATCCACACTGTGCCTTCTAACTGCTCCCTGGAGCCTGCTGGAGAGTGGTTGCTCCACTTTGCTCCCAAGGTTTACCCTACCTGGATATTCCAGGTGATGCTCTTGCTCACATGGAGACTGTGGCCTTGGCATGTGTTCCCTAGGTGGGCAGTCAGAACACCTGTGGCACGTTGCCTGCTTCCCCTACAAATTTGTGTCTTTCATTTTCTTCTCCCCTGCTGCCAGGCCAGGAAGTGTCTTCCCACCTCCTCTTCTCATCTGGCTTGGGCTTCTCCTACCCCATATCATATTCCTTCTCAAGGTGGCATTCACCCTTCATTCACCCTTCATTGGAGCAATAATGGTGGAATGACTGTAGGGAACATGATTTATAGAATGAAAACCACAAGTATTTAATATCTTTAAAATATTTTCTCCATTACAAGAGGTGCATTCCTTTAGCCTAAGGTTTATTTTGTCTCATAAAATGCAGATATGCTTAGGAGATGTAAAGCAAAAGGTGTTCTTTCTAAAACACCGTTGGATGATTTAAGTTGGTTGGTGGCTGCATCAACCCTAAGACTGCACAACCCAGGCCCATTCATTCATTCCCTAACCATTCATAAACAATCATTCATTGCATTCACCTATATGCCAGCATGGTCCTAGGCACCAGAGATCATAAACTACTGAGAGGGAGAGAAAATGATAAGAATAAGTAATTAACGACTGCTGTGAAAAGTGCCGCACTGGAAAAGCCAGGATGCTCTGAGAATGAATGACACAACTAAAGGGATCAGGGAAGCTACCTGATCAGGTGACAAGTGGCAGGCAAAGACAAAAAGGAGTTAACTGAGAGAAGAGCTATGGAGGTGCAGTGTGCTGGAGAGAAGAGGTTTCACAGCCAACAGGGCAGCATGTGCACTGGCCTTGAAGTAGAAAGGAGCTCCGAGGGTCCTTTTCAAGGTGACCTCTAAAAGGGAATGGAGGGAGGATCCTGGAGGAGAGAGGAAGGGAAGGGCACAGGGAAAGAAGGAGTTGAACCAGGCCAGGGCGATGGCAATCAAAAGTCACCTTGAGAAATTGATGAGTAAAATCACGAGCCACTTTTGCAAAGCTCATTGTAGAAACCCCACAGATATTTAAGCCTCATGCTCACCATTTCCAAATAGAATTTTTATCTCATGCTGCTTCCACCAATTCCACTTGTTTTCCATGTTCTCTCCTGACTTTCTGGAGGAGGACTGGCTTGAAGGAACCCTCACCTCTGCAGGGATCTAGCGCCTGCTGTGTGAACCAGTTGCAGGGCGAGATGCAGGACAGGGAACTAGCCATGGTCCTTACCTTCCAGGAGCCCTGTTCTGGCAGATCACAGCAATGGGAACTGTCAAGGCTTCAACCCTCCTGCCAATATCCTGGTCACCCTTCTTCTGGGGACACAAATCCCAAACTTCAGAGGCTTTTTTGTGCTCCTTCTTCCTTAATCCCCATGGCTAATCTGCTACCAAGTTCTCCAAGCCTACCTGCAAAATATTCTAGGGTTTATCTACTTCTCTTCAGCCTCCTTGTTTCAACTCTTATCAAAGTAACTCTTCAACTTGTAATTCAAAGTAATTCTTCAACTTGGTAACTGTAATCACTTCTTCACTGGTGACCTCAAATTCACTCCGATTCCCCCTTCATGAGGGCAGCCAGAGTGATTTCTTCCAATAGCAAATGTGATTATGCCATTCTCTACTCACTTCTGAGATTTCCTTGCTCTTAGGAGAAGGAAAAGATGGTCTTGGCCCCAGCCCACAAGGCATTCGTTGTAAGATCCAGCCATTCATTGTGAGATCCAGCCATTCATTGCCCACCACTCCAGCCCTCATGCTCCCACCAGGCTTGGCCTCGCTCTCCACCTTCTCACCACACTGGCCTTTGCAGAGCTCCTTGAAGGGGCTGAGCTCCCACCTGCCTAACACCCAGACCTGCACTCCACCGTCCCTTCCTCAGGGCAAAGTCCCAGAATGCCAGACCACATCAGTTCTCCCTATCATCCCCCCATCATCCTTCCAAGGAGTGGTCTTATTTTTATGTGTTTATTTGATTAACGGCTAACTAATCCTACTTGATTTAGAGCTCTTTGAGAGCAAAGGTGATTCTCATCTCTGTGCATGTCTATGGCACAGGGATGAGAACACTGTCTGGCACAGAGTGGCTGCTGCAATGAATATAAGTTGAATAAAAGAACAAATGACTGCAATGGAAATGAGTGAAGAATCTGTCCACCTTCCCAGCTTTCTTGTACAGGAAGACTTTACAATGACCTGAAAGGCCCGACATGGTATACACCCCTTCCCCAAGTCCCCCTTTCTCTGGCGTCTGATCGACTTCTCTCTCTAGCACACTTGACTCTGGCTTCACTGGTGTTCTCGCTCTTCTGCAGCAGGCCAAATATGTTCCAGCCTCAGGGCCCTTGCACTTGCTGCTTCTGGTGCCAGGAATTCTCTTCTTCCAAATATCCATCCACATGACTGACTCTCTCCCCTCCTTCAGGACTCTGTTCATATCATTCTTCCCAGTGAGGTCTTCTCTGATCTCCCTACATAAATCCATCATTTTCAAAACCCCTACCCGATTTATTTTTCCTGATAGTCCTTATCACCTTGGGCATATTACCTTATTTATATGTGTATCATCTATCTCCCTCCACCACCATGAGAATATGAGCTCCTTAAATGCAAGAATTTTGCTTGTTTTATACTCTGCTGCATCCTCAATCCTCATTACAGTTCCTGGCATAGTAAACCCTCAATATATGTCAGTGGACAGGTGAATTAATAAATGAATCTTGAGCCTAGAAATGACCTGGGCCTTGTTCTTGGAGATCCCTTCCCTCTTGACCTTGTGGCACAAAACAAAACAAAACAAAACAAAACCCTTCTATTCCAACCAAGTCCTCATTTATGCAGCCCCCAAATTCCCAGCTACAAATTAATGACAACAGCAATAACCACTATTAAATGTTAACTATATGCCAAATATTCTGCTAAGTGTCATATACATGTATAATCCTTATAGTATCACTATGAGAAAGGAAGTTACAATCTCCATTTAACAGATAAAGAAAATTATCATCAGGGAGGTTAAGTGACTTGTCCAATGTCACACAGCTAGTAAGTGGCTAAGCTAGCCTTTGAACACAACCACTTTGTCTATAGAGCAGGAACGGGCAAACTGGCTTGCAGACCAGCTCCAGCTCACTACATGTTTTTGTATAGCCTGCAAACTATGAATGGTTTTTACATTTTTAAATGGTTGGAAAACAATATGCAACATGGACTATATATGGTCCACAAAGCCTAAAATGCTTACTATAATAAATATATCAAATGAAGAAATTCCTGGGCACCCCCTGTGTGTACACAAGAGGTACAGAAAAAGAGATGTATATTTAAATGCCATTTTGGGGGCTTCTCTTATACTCTCAGGAGCAGCTAAGCACCTTCATGGATGTTACTCATTAAGTCACCTTACAACCTCCACCACAGAGGCCCAGAGATTAAGTGATGTGGCCAAGGCTATATTTTAAGAGACAGAACTGGGAGTACAATCACAGACTTACAGGGTTGGAAAGGCTTCTAATGCTTATTTATCCCAAGCTCCCCATTTTATGGATTCGAAAAGGAAAGTATCTGAGTCAGGGGCATCTGGGGTTAATGCCACAGCACCTCTCCAATCCCTTGACCTGGGGTTTACCCTCCACTAGGTTGGCCCTTTGCTCCCATCATTTCCAATATCCTTCGGCATCTCTATGAGCCCCAGCATCCAGCCTGCTTCCTCTCCCCCTCCTGACCTTCCTCCGCACCCACCACTGCTGTGCCTGCGAGGACGACTCGAACTACAAATTAAGTGAAGGGGAAAACTGAATTGATATGATCTGAGCAAGAGAAGCACAAAGGCACCAATTTCCTCTCCACATTATACAGGAAGATCTGGGCCGCGTGGGGAGCCGGTGCAGTGCCTTTTGATGTTTGCCTTCCTGCAAGTAACAAGCAGGAGGACATGAGAAGGCTTCACCTCCTCCATGCAAACTCACAACAGCAGGTTTCCAATCACGGTAGAAACAAATCCAGAGATGAAAAACAAAGAAAAGAAACGAAGAAGGAAGAGAAAGAGATGATTGTTGTTTAGAGAGCTTTCAGGACAAGGAGACCCTTTAAAACTAACTACAGGACATGTTAAAGAGCTTACAAACACCCCCAACGCAGCCCTGGGCTGAGCTTCTAAAGGGTATAGCAAAGGGAGACTCTGAGCTTGAGTCAGGACACCCCCGTGGCTAAAGCTAGACCTATTCAGGAAGGGGACATCAAGGGTTTTCACAGATGCAAAGTCCTCCTCTCCGCATCTGAGCTGGCATTTCTGAAAGCCAGAGCCAGGATACTGCCACTGTGGGGTGGAGATTCCAGCTCAAAAGTCTTTTTCACCAGCAGGAGCAAGAGGTCTGGAAATATCCCCTACCCAACTCAGGTATTTGTGGTTCAATGTGTGGCACGTGCCAATGCTGTGTCAACAGCCCAGTAATGGGCATGCAAGAAGTTATGGTGGCATTTAGGCCCTAAGGGAAGAACTAGTTGATCAGTCTCTCTCTATATATCTCTCCCTCAATTCTCCCACATTTTTTTTTTTTGTAACAGGGTCTCACTCTGTTGCCCAGGCTGGAGTGCAGTGGCGTGATCACAACTCATGACTCACTGCAGCTTTGACCTCCTGGGCTCAAGCTGTCTGCTCACTTCAGCCTCCCGAATAGCTGGGACTACAGGTGCTCACCACCAGACCCGGTTAAATTTTGTTTTTGTTTTTGTTTTTGTTTTTGTTTAGAGATGGGGTTTCACCATGTTGCTCAGGCTGGCCTCAAACTCCTGAACTCAAGTGATCCACCTGCCTCAGTCTCCCAAAATGTTGGGATTACAGGTGTGCGCCACCACGTCTGGCCTCCACCTAAACTTTTTATTGCAGTGAACTAGGGGGCTAATATGTAGCATCCTGAGATTTCTGTCTAAATCACCTTGGGCTTATTCTGTTGTAGCAGTAGTTCTGGAACATTCAAAGGTAACAACTAAGATGAAAGCTCTTGTGTCTTTGGTGTCTTCGCAATGTCTTTCTGTCTTCACTCACTATATTAGCCATCAAAAAATATTTAAGAACCATCAAAGAAATATACGCAGACAAGAAATAGAAAAAAATAGCTTTTTTTCCTTCATGAGAGGGGAATTAAGTAAGATGCATTAGGTCCTTCTTTTTGTTGAATCCTGTATGACATGATTTTTAAAAATCTTACCATCCCAATAACTCTATCAGCATTATTTTACAGATGGAGGAACTAAGACTCAGAGAAGTTAGTGGACTTGTCAAAGGACGATGTGCTATGAAGTGACAGAACCAAACATCCAGCCCAGGGCTGACTGATTTTAAAGTCTGAGCTCTTCCAGATAATACCCAATGGTGTCCACCTTAAAACAGCCACCCGGCCCCCTCACCAGCAGTCTGTGCATTTGGGTAAGCAGGGTCCTGTTGAGCCTGGCCGTTCCTTGAAAATATCAAAGTAACTTGGACTTGGTGCCTGCCTGGACTTATACTTGTCGGTGTTGTCTTCTCTGCCATTAGTGACAGAAAGTCAGAAGGTGCAGGGCTCTACTGTAGACACAGAATAATATGAGCATGCTCTGTAATATGAGCATGCTCTGTGTTCAGGTTTATTCCCCCAGCCTGACAATTACTCTCAACTCTCCAGACCTGTATTTCCACGTGCCCACTCAACAGCTTGGCTTGAATGGCCAATAGACATCTCTGACCCAACGTGGCCAATCTGCAGTCTTGACACTTCTTCCTTCTTCCAATAAATGGCACTGCCCCTCTTCTAGCTGATCCAGCCAAAAGCTCTAGCACTAGCTCTTTGAGGTTGAGTTCTTCCAGAAGCAGACCCTGGGCCAGGCTTTGAGTGTGAATAGTCTGTTTGGAAAATGCTCTCAGGAAGTAGTGAGAGGAAGTGGGAAAGCGAGATGGAAAAGAAATGCACCCCATGAAGGGTGTGTTGTCAAGCAAGTTATCGATATGAACTACTGGAGCTTCATCCTGCTGGGGACTTTAGGAGCCAGGGCAGAGCACAAGCCTCAGAGTTACGTCCCTCCCCTGTGGGGTGACGGAACTGGGCTGCATATACACCATCTCCCATCAGTCATCGGTTGAGGCTGCCCCTGAGGGATCCTCTGGCCTGCTTTGGACACACGGGCAGAGTGGGCTCCAGTGGTCAGAGGAAGCCCTTAGGCAATAAAATTAATAAATAAAATAAATAAAATAAAATAAAATAAAAATGGACCTCAGGCTGGCCATTAGAAGCGGGGCCTCTAACATGGTGAAGAGAGGACCTATGGATGTGGCACAACAGTGGCTGCTGTAGAATCCCTGATTGCCACCACTCCCTCCCCTACCACACAGTCACTCCATTGGCAAAACCTGTGGGCTCTGCTTGCAAAATAGATTCCATATCTGACCACTTTTCACCACTAATTGCAGAAGAATCTGGTGTAAGTGCCCATCAGTTCTCGCCTGGACTATTGCTGGAGCACCCTAACTGGTCTCCCTGCCTTCCTCCGTTTTCCCCTATTATCCTTCTGTACTCAGAAGTCAAAAGGATCCTTTTATCCATGATTGTGTTATTGCCTGTTTGAAAGCTGCCCTTGCTCCCCTCTTGGTTGGCACCAACCCGCAGTCCTGGGCTTGGCCTGCAGGTCCTGCCAACTCAGCTCCTGCTTCATTCTCTGATGCCATCTTCTATCACACTCTTCCTTGTTTACCCTGCTCCACCTGCGCTGGCTAATCTTCAAAAGTGCCAAGCACACCCCCACCCTGAGGCCTGTGCAGGGGCTGCTCCCCTACCTGGCCTGAGCCTCCCTGACATCCCCATGGCCCCTTTCTCACTGCAGCTTTCTCAGTTCCCCCAAGGGGAAGACCACCAGCCACTCCCACTCTCTTGCCCACGTCATTATTTTTCAGAATGCTGGTTTCCTAAGGAATCCCCCAGTCACTGCCCTTCCTTCTGTACCCTAGGTCTTTAAGGAGACCAAAATAAGACAAGGAATGAGGACAGGACAGAGCTGCTCACATTCAGTTTATTCCTCCTAGAATCCTTATCAATCAGCCAAGTCACCTCCCTTGGGGCAGAGCAAGGTAAGGGGAATAGAGACATGGAGATCCTCCGGATGCCCCTGTGCATGGAGGAGGGGTCAGGAGTGGTGAAATCCTCAATGCTTCTCACACCTGTCATCATATTATGATAATCTATTGCATGGATGCATCCCTCAGGTCCCTTTTACTTATTCTGTGTGCTCACCCCCAGCCTCTACACACATTTTCCCCTACTCCTCCTTCTCTTTCTCCTTCTCCTTCTCCTTTTTTGGGACAGAGTTTCTCTCTTGTTGCCCAGGCTGGAGTGCAGTGGAATGATCTCAGTTCGCTACAACCTCTGCCTTCCGGGTTCAAGTTATTCTCCTGCCTCAGCCTCCCAAGTAGCTGGGATTATAGGCATGCACCACAACACCTGGTTAATTTTTATATTTTTAGTAGAGATGGAGTTTCACTATGTTGGCCAGGCTGGTCTTGAATTCCTGACCTCAGGTGATCCACCACCCTCGGCCTCCCAAAATGCTGGGTTACAGCCGTGAGCCACCACACCTGGCCCTACGTATTTTACTTCTAAAAGGTTCACACCTGGAACTTCCTTCCTGTGCTGGCCCATGAACCTCTGCAGCTGCTTTGTCCCCATGGCATGCAGAGAGGAGAAAAAGTACCCAAAATTTACTCCCCCTCACCCCTCCAGCCTGTAGCCAATGGATGTGGGAGTATAAAAGCCTGACACCCCTGCTTCAAAGACAGACAGACCCTGAGATGTAATTTATACCCCAGAGCTCTCCACAGGATCAGGCAGAGGTTGGGACTTTGGGAAGCTGCACCTTTGCTGGGCTTCTTCCCCCTCTCTTGCCCTGTTTCCCTATGCCCTTATGGATATCTCCTGGGAGCTCTTTCTTAATAAATTACCTGCACTTCAACCCTTGTCTCAGCATCTTCTTCTGGGAACATAAGACTGAAGGCACTCGCTGTTTGTTGTTTATTTCATTTCCTTACTAGAACATAAGCTCCCAAGGGCAGGAGCTTTTCTGTTTTGTTCAGTTTTGTATTTTCAGCAACAAGAACAGTGCCTCGTATACAGAAGGAGCTCAATAAATACGTATTAAGTGGATGCGTGAATTTGTGAATATATGTCAATTGACAGAAATATACCAGGACCACTTCTAAAGAAGGCTTCCCCTGTTCTGTTTTATGGTCTGCTATGTCCCTCATGACTGAAATCATTCGCAGCACAAAGTAGATGTTCAATGAATATCTATTGATCAACTCCCATAGCCCCTGTCTGCTCTATTTTAGCAACTGTTCTAGGAAAACTGCTAATATATCTGGCCTCTGCCTGGCTTCTCTCCACCTCCCTCTCAGGCCTTTGCACAGAGCAGGTCCTCAGCCTGAGAGGACTGCATTACAGTTTCAGGGCCTACTGGGTGGAGGGACTGCTAGGGCTTAAGGAACAGGAGCAATAGACCCTACTAAGATGGGTGAGGCCTCTGGAAGGCTGTGACAGCCTAAGCTGTTAGGGAGAAGCTTCTGGGCACAACTGGGTCATTGGAAGCCACTAGGAGAATTTGAGGTCGCCTGGGTGGGACAGGGAGGGGTAAACTTCTGGGACAACATTAGATCCAGAGAATGGGGAGCCTCTGGAGGAGGGCAGAACAGAGGGGGAAAGGCAATGCTACTAGTGAGTGTTAGGGCCCACTGGGCAGGGGGATGTTTGCAGGGGAATAGTTGGGCATCCTGGTAAGCAGAAGCCCATGGGGACTGATGGGCCAATGGGGAGGGGAAAATTATAGGGAAATCTTGGGGCTTTGTTTACAGTGGAGGCTTCTGAGGGAAGTGCTAAGTTTCAAAGGTATTAAGGTCAGAAAATGTCAGAAAGTAATAAGGGAAAAGAGGAAATTAAACCAAGTCTGCTCTCTCTCTCTCTCTCTCTCTCTCTCTCTCTCTCTCTCTCCCCCTCTGTCTCTGTCTCTCTTTCTCTCTCTATTGTTCTCCCTCTTACCTTTCTCTGATATTTTTTCCTCTTTGGTGTTGACAAATCACTGTCAGTAAGTGACATTCTCCCTTAAGAAACCTATCTGACACAGAGCACAAGGCGTGATGGTTGTTCATGGATCAGCCAGATTGAATTAAGGTTCAATTTCAGGTTAGAATCAGCTGGAAGAGATGAGACCCCCAAAATAGCAGTGGCTTCAGCAAAACAGAGCTTTATTTCTCCCTGGCGGGATCTTCAGGCTGGTGGCCCAGGTTTGGAGCAGCAATCCTCAGGTGCAGGGACCCTGTGCCTTCTGCCTTGCCACTCAGCATCATCACTGCATTTCTCAAGGTGGCTGCTGGGGTGCCAGCCTTTATGGGCAGTTCCAGCCTGCAGGAAGGAGGAAAGTGGAAAGAAAGGTGCATCCGCCTAGTAAGGGTGCTCTCCAGAAGTTGCACACACCACTTCCACATATGCCCATTGACTAGAATACGGTTAAGTCACATGATCACATTTAACTGCCAAAAAACCTGGGGCAATGTAGTGTTTATTCCAGGCAGCCAAGGATCCACTTAAAAGCTAAGGGTGTTTCTTATGAAGGAAGAACTGAAAATACATATTAAGGGACAACAAGCACATAGATTGAGGGAGCCAACCAGGAACATCAGGAGCCTCAGAGAGTCCCTCGAGAGACGAGCTCACATGGTGTGCTGGTATTTATTGCTACATAACAGCTTACCCCTAAATTTGGCAGCCTGAAACAGCAAACATGTTATCTCGTGCAATTTCTGAGGTCAGGGGTCTAGAAGCAGCAGAGCTGGGTGGTGCTTGCTCTCTAGAAAGGCTGCAGTCAAGCTGTCTGCTGAAGCTGAAGTCATCTTAAGCTCAATTGGGGCTAGAAAATCCACTTCCAAACTGACCTCACAGGGTTGTTGCTGGAGGCTTCAGTTCGTTGTCTTGTGGGCCTCTCCATTGGGCTGCTCACAACATAGTAGTTTGCTTTCCTCAGAGCAAGAGATCCAAGGAAGAGAAGAAGGAAAAGAGGAGAGAGAGAGAGAGAGAGAGAGAGAGAGAGAGAGAGAGAGAGAAAGTCATCTAAAATGGAAGCCACAGTCTTTTCTAACCCTTCTGAGAAGAGACACGTCCTCTCATCTGCTGTTTTCTTTTTGGCCACAGAGCCCAATCCTGGCACAATGTGGAGGAGGATATGAATCCCAGGAGGCAGGGATGACTGCAGGCATCTTGGAGGCTGACTACCAACCATGGATAGGTAAATGAGTGCCAGGAGTTAGGAGATCACACCTCGGTAGAGAGAGTTCCTTGAGCCAGGAAGACTATGCACAGGCTCAGGAAGGCTGGCTGGGCCTAAACAGAAGTGGGTCAAAGGTTAAGGAGTATGTCTCAGTCTATTTGGGCTGCCATAGCAAAATGCCATAGACTGGGTAACTCATAAATAGCAGAAACTGATTCCTCACAGTTCTGGAGGCTGGGAAGTCCAAGATCAAGTTACTGGCAGATTGGGTGTCTGGTGGGGGTCCATTCCTCATAGATGGCATCTTCTTGCTGAGTACTCAACATGACAGAAGGGGTGAACAAGCTCCCTGAGGTCTCTTTTATATGGGTACTAATCCCATCCATAAAGGCTCTGCCTTCAAGACCTCGTCACCTCCCAAAGGCCTCACCTCCTCATTTCATCACACTGGGGATGAGGTTTCAACCACTAATTTTTGGTGGGAGGAGACAAATATTTAGACCTTAGCAAAGTACAACAAAATGTTCCTGTGGTTGCTTTCTGATATTCACCCAATCACCCTGAAGGGACAAACCTTTCTACCACTTCAAAGAGGGAGACAATCTTACTAGCATGTAATAATCAGCACTGTTACCCACAGCTCAAGCCCTCACCCTAGAAACAAAGCCAAGACCACTAAGTGGGTAGGTGTCCTGGCTAAGTGTGGACACAGGGCACAATCAGAGATGTGAACACACAAAGAGCTTCACCAGCTTCTCACAGACCCTGCTTGCCTTTCGAAGTGATGAATACACATGGCCTGGTCATTCCAGAGACTAATAAGACCCCTCTGGCCCATTACCTGAAACTGGGGACCCAATACCATGCAGATGGACTGAGTCATTACAAAGGCAATTAAATGCCCAACTCCATAGCCAGGTGCCAACATGTAGGCTTTTGTGCATGGATAACTTAGTTCTTTCAGGAGGGGAAGAATCTTTAGTCTTATTTTCTCTCAAGCCTGGGGTTAATTGGGAAGCCAGCTTCGGTGACTAGTACACAGAGGCTAATTTGTACAACCATTGCTCACAAGTGGGTGGGGGGGATGACGGCAAAAAAAAATAAAAATACAACATTGCTGGAGACAGTCTGCCATTGAATTGGATCTTAATATTCTAGTCCATGAACCAGCGGTTGCACTAGAGCTTGGTTAAAAAAAAAAAAAAAGCAGGAAAAACCCACACACATTCTTTCAATTTCTAAAGGGAAATTTGACTCGGGCTGTAGAACAAAGGACGAAGAAATAGAAGTAAAAGAAAATCAAAGAAAAAGTTATTTGGATTCAAGGGGATCAGATGTTTCATTTATTGCAGGTTGGAGACCTTCAATCAGCCAAATGAAAGGAACATTTGTATTAAAATACCTATGAGGCAGAGAGAAAGCCTTGATCGGGTGCAGCAGAGTTAAGTTACAGCAATCGTGCTGAGAGATATGAACCCACCTTCGAGGTTATCTGTTCCCAATATTGAAGGTTTTCTGTGTTACAAACCTGAGATGAAAGGTAGTTGTTTTGACGTCTGGGTCTGGAAGGCAGACGCTGAAATTAGCAGCATTCTTGATGTGTGTGCAGCAGGAACATGGAGCCCGGGATGGGGTGAAAATGTAGCTGCTTTATTAAAAGGAAACGATGTTAATGCAACACTAAGTGCCCAAGTCACCCATGAGGGTAGGGTGTAGATGGGGATTACAAAAACACCTTCTGAGAAGGGGCAGAGAAGGAGCACTGCACTAGGGGTCTGGGACCAAAGGTATAGCCCCTCCTCTGACCCTGGGTTGGTAGCTCCAAAATAGCTGGGACTTAGCCTGTCTAGTTCACAGTGCCAGGCATATAGGAGGTGTTTGATATATGTCAAACAAATGCATGAATGAATAAATGAATATGAACTTGGGCCTCTTTGGACCTAAGTCTTACAAAATAAGGAGCTGGGACTAACTATGGATTTCTCCAGTGGGATGAATACCACTGATGGTTGGGCAGCACATGGATGGGTTTGGGTGACATGCAAAGACATGGTATTAAACAGTACTAACTCAGAGAGAGAAAGGTATCACTTCTGGACTCTTTCTAGCCTCTGACTCCCTCTAAGAGAAAGTCTCAATCCAATGCTAACATCTCTTTAACACCTCTGCAATGTTTTCAACCCTCTCTTCATAATGATAAGAGGGGAAGGCCCAGGCTCACATCCTCAGCAGGCATCAGCATCCAACTCCATTTCATAACTTGATTTATTTCCTTTGTACTTAATTTCACAGTTGCCTTTCTATGTATGGCAAGTGATAGTTTTTCCTTGGCAGAACTGATCTTTTTAGGGTTTCTTTGTCAGACAGATGTTTCTAAGTAAGCACGAATTGATGTAAAGCCACCATTAAGGAAATAACAGCTCAAGTGGGATGCAGACAAGGAAAATATCATGATGATGAGAGATGGTTTGGAAAAAAAAAAAAAGAAATTGTCCCAGCTGACCTTGAAGGTCTCTTCTGGAAACACTGAGCATCTGAAGTCTAGGACTCCACTCTTCTGGTTTATGTAGAGCAAATCCAGCAGTCTCTAGCAAAGAGGTGACTGCAATCCGAACCTTTGGAAGATGGGCCTATTCATGTATCCATTTATTCATTCTCTCAATAAGTATTTATCAAGAGCATATTATATGTGCACTGCTGTTCCAGGCACTGGGATAGTAGTGAAAGAAAAATAGGGAAAAAGTCTCTGCCCTCATGGAGTTTCTGTTTTAGTGGTTTGAGGCAAGACAGGGACCAGGGCAGGTAAATGAGGCACTGAGGGTGTGTAATGTAAGGAGGCACCTGGTCTCAGGACTGCGCATGACCTTGACCTGACTTGAGACGAGTTTCCCATCCTGACCGTAACCTGGCATAGTTGTCATCATTCTGGGGGCCACAAATCCTGTCCCTGGAGGGTCTGGTGTAATTGCTCTTTGGTGGGTCCCCAGACTAGTATCTGGGGAGAGCAACAAAGATTATTCCCATCCACTTCCAGGATTGAGAACCACTGACATGGACCAAGAAACCTTCAAATTTTTTGATTTGGCACTTTTCAAAGGCATCAACCTTCTTAGTCACTAAGTCGATCTTCACTTACCAAATAAATTAACTAATGAGTGAGTTGGTATGTTGTCACTCACCATAATGACAAAAATACTCCTGTCCTCTGCCTCCTTACCAGGTGTCAGGTAATATCATTCACTTTTTTTTTTTTAAATGAAGTCTCGTTCTGTCTCCCATGCTGGAGAACAGTGGCCAGATCTCGGCTCAATGCAACCTCCGCCTCCCAGGTTCAAGTGATGCTCATGTCTCAGCCTTCCAATAGCTGGGATTACAGGTGCGCACCACCACGCCTGGCTAATTTTTGTATTTTTAATAGAGATGGGGTTTCGCCATGTTGGCCAGGCTGGTCTCAAACTCCTGACCTCAAGTGATCCACCTGCCTCAGCCTCCCAAAGTGCTGGGATTATAGGCATGAGCCACTGTGCCCGGCTTCATTCACTCTTTACATTTCTTGTTTCATTCCATCTTCACAATCACCTACAAGATAGGTGTTATTATCATCATCACCCCCTTTTGAAGATGAGGACACTGAAGGAAAGAGAAGTTAAGGAGCTTAACCCCAGCCCAACAAAACTTGCTAACTTTACCCAAGCTAACTTAGCCAAAGAAAACCCAGAAGGGCCATGCTCCTAACCCCTGTGCCCTACTGCTTCTCTATGGGATGAGTCTCAATGCCTGGGGACTTGGTCACAGGAGTTACAGCAAAGAGAGTGCATGTGAAAATGAGTGAAGTAAGGAGTCCTTTGTACCTTAAAGATAGCACATAGGAATAATTGTCACTTCCACCAAAAAATGTGTTCCTTCTCATTCTTCTCCAAACATGAGTCTAATTCTAGGTTCATTTTGCTTCCATGTCTGTTAAAGCCACAGCCATACAACTGTGGTCCTCTATATAAGAAAAAAGCAACAGTGCAAGCATGGTATTACATAACAACACATCCCCTGGTATTGGGGAAGTCTTGGGGCATGGTGGGGAGTGTGGCTAATTGGGAAGAGGAGCCTGTCCAATGTCTCCAGATTTCCTGACTTATCAAAAGAAATAAGAAATTTAGATTTAGTTGAGCCAGGCGCTGTGGCTCACGTCTGTAATCCCAGCACTTTGGGAGGCCAAGGCGGGCAGATCACGAGGTCAGGAGATCAAGACCATCCTGGTTAACATGGTGAAACCCCATCTCCACAAAAATACAAAAAATTAGCCAGGTGTGGTGGCGGGCGCCTATAGTCCCAGCTACTCAGGAGGCTGAGGTAGGAGAATGGCATGAACCCGGGAGGCAGAGCTTGCAGTGAGCCGAGATTGCACCACTGCACTTCAGCCTGGGCGACAGAGCAAGACTCCATCTCAAAAAAAAAAAAAAAAAAGAAATGAAATTTAGATTTAGTTGTGAAATCATTGAATTTCCAAGGGGGCTCTAATTTATAAGTAACTGCATGGGATAAATACATGCTTTGGAAAACCTGAGTGTGAAGTCTTCTGGAAATGACCAAGCTAGAGAAGAAGTCTTAGGAATCTACTCTAAGATCACTGAGTGATCTAGGACAAGCTCTGGGGTTTCTCTGTGCCATGAATCTAAAGCTGTAAAAAGGATATGAAAAATATTATTTATTCATTCTTCAACTTTTAGCAACAACTTCTATATATTAAACACTGTGCCAGATGGGGGGTTTAAAGATTAAATCAATATGCTTATCATTGAGTGAGGGAGATGCTGGACTGTGAACTCTAGGTCCACAGGGTAAGAACAGCTGTGAAATAAGAACAGGGAGCACACGGGGAAGGCTGGTAGTTCTGCCTGGAAGAGATGACATTTCAACCAGGGCTTGAAGGCTGAATGTGAATCTCCAAGGCAGCAAAGGAAGAAAGAAAATGACTTTTCCTTGATTCCAAAGTGCTCTGTAGACCAATACAACATGAATCTTTTATAAGTTTGAAAAACATGCATATAGTCCCATAAATTGAAGAGTGAGCAAACTGATCCTACAACCCCCCAAACCATCTTTGTCTCACATATTAATTACAGGGTGAGCATCCCAAATCCGAACATCCAAAATCAGAAGTTTTTTGAGCACTGACCTGATGCTCAATGGAAATGCTCATCGGAGTATTTCAGATTTCAAATTTTTGGATTTAGGATGCTCAACTGGTAAGCCTAATGCAAATATTCCAAAATCCAAAAAAGACTGAAATTCAAAGCATTTCTGGTCTCAAGCATTTTAGATAAGGGATACTCAACCTGTACTTATCTAAGTGTAAAACCAGACTCGTTGGACTTTGGACTTTTCCCAGAGCTGTTTTTCCCTCCTCTGTCTTACTGGAGTCACCGTCGTCCAGGAGCCCAGGTTACACATTTTGGTGCTGTCTCTAGCTCTACCCTTTTCCTCTCCCTGCATATGTGACCCAGGGAAGGGTCTCTCTCATGGTGCTGACTTGCTGGCCCCCCGAGCCATGCCTCTGCCAATGCAGACTTTTGTCTCCTGCATGGACTCTTGCTGTTGTTTTCTCTCTGCTCCTCCTGTCTCTTGTCTCTCCTCCAGTCAATCCATTGCTCTTTCCAAAACTCAGATCTGACTATGTTGCTCTCTGGCTTAAATTTACAATGGCTCCCACTGACCTCAGATCAAAGCCAGCAGTGTAGCATGGCATTCGGACTCTGGGCCCCGCCTATCCTTCCTCACCATCACCATCCTTTTGCCAACACTCCCCTGAAAACTACACTCACGGGCACACTATATTTCTACTCACCACATGCTCCCTTCACATGCCTGGCAACTTCCTAGCTCTGTGGCCTGCTACAGGCTCTTTTCTCATCTTCGCATGACTTTCCTGCCATTTTTAGCCATAGAACCACAGCCATGCCAAGTATTCCCTTCTCTGGAAACCTTCCCTTTCTGTTGTCCCCTGCTGTCCCCCGCCTCCCCCATGCTGACACACAGCAGGCTAGAGATAGGAGAGGAGAAGGAAAATGAGGCAGGTAGGTAGGGTCTTGAAAGTCAGAGAGGGAAAAGCCTTTTGAAAAAATCACTTTTGCAAAAGCCTCCACCCCAACTCAGCAGAACCCTTTCACCAAACATGGAGATCCACCCGCAGAAAGAAAGAGAAAGCAATTTCACACATTGGTAAAAGGCCTGTGGCAGAAGAAAAGGAAAAGCCACCAGTTGGCAGTAGGTGGTACAGAGATCCAGCAGGAAAGCCCAATCAAATGGGAGATTGGGACATTTCTGGGAAGCATATGGGCCCCAGCCCTCGCTGGCTGACACTCCTGTCTGAGAAGGAGGGCAGCCAGTTGTCCAAAAAGTTCGGGCAGCCACGTGTCAGGCCTTGTTCATGGCCAAGAAGAGCAGGAAGGTTGACTGTTCTAGGGCAGAGCAGGCACATGGGTGTTTCTGCATCATTCACCTGGAAGGGCAACATTTCCAACAGGGGCATCTTCTTTTCTGCCTTCAGCAACCATTTTCTGTTAATGCATAGTCTCAAACTCAAACACCTGGGCAGGCAGGTGACGAGAGAGAATAATGTCATCTAGTGGGACTGGGAAGAGAAGACTGTGCCCATGACAAACAGGCACACCCTCTCCTCGGCTCCAGCTGACTGTCATGAGATCCGCAGGCTTTTCTAGAAATGTTGGATATTGAAACTTTCATAGGAAGTCTTCTGTTATTAAAATGTTTGCTCATTCCGCCCCTGCCCCCCAACCCCGGCCACCCAGGCTGGAGTGTAGTGGCTCACTGCACTCACTGCACCTCAGCTCACTGCAACCTCTCCCTCCCAGGTTCAAGCGATTCTCCTGCCTCAGCCTCCCAAGTAGCTGGGATTACAGGCGTCCACCACCATGTCTGGCTAATTTTTGTATTTTTAGTAGAGATGGGGTTTCACCATGTTGACCAGGATTGTCTCAAACTCCTAACCTCAGGTGATTTACCTACCTTGGCCTCCCAAAGCACTGAGATTATAGGCATGAGCCACCATGTCTGGCCTGTTTGCTCAATTTCTAATTTCTAAAAACATGGTACAGTGCAAAAGAAACAAGGCCACCAGTGCCTGAACACTAATGTATAGGTTCAGATTAAGCACATTAACTCTGAGCAAATAAATATGGCCCTTAAGTCGGCAAGACTCCATCTCTTAGGCTGATAATGGATAATCTGCCATTTAGTTGGATTTTTCTGAATACGTAGGTATTTGGCTCTGCAGAAACTGGGTTTCAGTATGCAAGAATATCCGCAAATATTTCTCTGTGCATTCCCTGGTTATCACCCCTGGAGGTGAAAGCAGTGCCTCTATTATTATTAATGTTTTAATTTCAAGACAAGAAGAGTTCTTAGACATCAGCTAGCCTTGTCTCCCTGCCACAATTTTGCAGTTCAGGAAACCGAGGCCCAGGGAGGGGACGAGCTTGTTTGGGGACACAGAACAAGTTGGAACTTCCATCAGCACGTTGGGAGTATTTACGGATCATACACACCCACACAAGTCTGGGTTTGTGTTTTCCCTGGTCCTCAAGAAAAAGCCCACCGGGTTGCCAGATGTGCCGAGCTCAAAGGAGTCCAAGGAAGTGGTTTAACAGCGATGAGAAGCAGGCCCAGTCAGGGGTATAATCTGGCCTTCCCATCAGCCTCGCCTTTCTGCCTACAGGAGATAAGAGGCTGGTGTGGAGGAAACTGATATACAGCCACACGCCACAGAAATCATGTCCTTCTGCAGGCTTGGGCCACCTCCTCTCCCAGTCTTAGGCTTATGTGAAGCCTCAGAACCCTGGAGCCCATGTGTGAATGAGAAGCATCTACCTTGGCTGAGTCCTGTCCTTTCCCCTTTTCCTTCCATTTCTCATGGTCCCCTCTTTTCCCAAGGCTTCTGTTGAAAGAAAGTGCTTGAAATGTGCATTTCTGCTTTGTGTGCCAGCTCTTGCATTTCTTTACAGAAACTGCAGAAGAGAGAGCAATGCTTACCTCAAAGGCGTGAGGTTCCAATGGTGGAACTACCATTAGAGCCTGTTTGGCCTTGAGGGACCTCCCGGTCAATGTCAGATGATAGCTCTTGAGGGACCCCTTTCTCCAGCTCCTGGGAAGCTTTCCCTGAAGCTCAAGGGGACTCTGTCTCTCCGGGCTCTCTTGCCTCCCTCATCCCATTTATTGTCATGTCAGAGCAGACCTTGGCTACAAATTCCCTATTTTCACTTTTAAAACTACGTCAATACATATGTGTGTCTGTGAGTTTGTATGATGGGGGTGAGGGAAGGGGAGAAGAGGGGATGAGAGAAGGGAAGAGGGGAAGGGAGGGGAGGAGAAGAGAGGGGAGGTGAGGAGAGGAAAGAAGAGGAGCGGAGAGGAGGGGAGGGGGACAGACATGGGCCAGAGGAGAGAGGAGGGAGGGGAGAGGGAGAGTGAATCACCTGCTATGTGTTCAAATCCTCCCAACAATCAACCATCCTGTGAAGCAGGTCTTCTTGCCCCATTTTCCAAATGAGGACCCTGAGGCTCCCCTTGTCCTCTCCACCACTTGCTTTCACTTCCTTCCTCTCCTGTGCACTCCTCCTTTCCTACCTGAACATTATCTTCATTCCCAAATTTGGAGTTGGTCCTGTGTTCCCCTGAACATTATCTTCATTCCCAAATTTGGAGTTGGTCCTGTGTTCCTGGGGGCACGTTGCCGGTGCATAGGTGTGGGGCTGCAAGCCTGCAGTCCGTCTCACCATGGGGCTCCATGCAGTGGAGTTTATTCCTGGATGGACATCTGGACCTGCAAGATTTATGGGGACCCACAAGATGCTGCCAAAGGCTCTTTTTATGGGTAGTTGCAACACAGAACAGAATATCACTGTGGTCAGGCACCCTGGAGACAGAGAGAGCAGGGGTGCCTGACTGGCTGTGCATCCAACAAATGGGGCAGTACTAACTAGTCCTAGTGCTAGTACTTACCTCATAGGATTATTGCGAGGATGAGCTAAGATAATGGGGTGTTTCCAGAGGTGCAGAGACCACGGGTGGTATTGAAAATGATTTGAAATAATGCACAGACAAGGCATTAAATAGCACTGACTCAAACAGTAAGTGTATTAGGTCCTTTTTAGCTCTCTTTGAATTCTTCTAATTACGTCAAGAAAGTCTCCAGTTGATGCTATTGTGTCTTTAATGCCTAACAAGTACTAATTATTTTTGTTGTTTTGTTCTCTGTGTTTTAACAAAGGGAGTGAAGACTTCAGGCTCAGAGTCCCACTGCAGGCAACAGTGTCTAGGTAGAACTTAATACATATTTTCTTTTTTATTGGAATAATTTTTATGGTTAGTGGTTTTCTATTCACAGAAATAGTATAAAATTTTCTGTGTGAGTAAATGGATTTAGGTTTTAAAAGCAGATCCATTTAAAGGGGAGAACAGCATTAAGTAGATCATAGTATCAATAACATTCAAATATGTCCAAAATTATAAAAGGAGCCCACAGTGATGAAATTTTCAGAATCATTGAGATAATCCACGTCAAGAGCACAGTGGTGGTTATTACTCTTCTGGTGTTGACCCAAGAGTTTCCACATCTAAAACAGGTGGGACAAACTAGGTAGTTTGGGCCCTTCCAACTCTGAGGATCCAAAGTCCTTACTTATTTAGTACCTTGTTTTCCTCTGTCAGGTTCAAAGACAGATTCTCCAATGAGTGATCTTCATCAAATGAAGCTTGGGCTACTCCCAAGGAATCCTGCCACTCTGGAAGATGTTTGATGCAAAATATCTCTGGGGTCAGACAAGTCGACTTATGCTTTCTGAGTCTCAGTTCTTCATCTGCAAAATGCTGTGCCTGATAGCACTAACCTCCGGGTTCTGTAGATTTCATAAGATTATGTAATGTAGCACAAAATGTGAAAAAGTGACCACGAGATATGTATCAATGCCCAGACAAGGCATTGAGTAATACTGACTCACACAGCAAGTTTCCCTATTGCATCAATGAGAAAGTCTCAGTCTGGTAATAATATTGCCTAAGTGCTTTTCTTACACCTGCCAAATAACCCTTTAATTAAGTAGAGGGAAAGGCCTCAAGGCCTTAGGCTTTTGGCAGGCAATAAGATCCAACTGGGATATTAGAGATAGGCTTAGAGGAATATGAAGACTATATCCCCACATTAGCCCTGGGAACAGAACAGGAGCCAAGGGACAGTGGTATTTGAGCTGACCCCTGAAGAGACAGAAAGATTCCTCCAGGCAAAACATACTGGAAAGATGTACAAGGCATCAGGAAAAGCAATCCCTTAAAATCAGGAGGCCTTAGCCAGGTTTGTGCTACAGACCCTCCAGGGGAGGTCTATGGACCTCCTTATGGAATAATGTGGGTTTTAAAATGTGAGATGAAAATATTGGCATTGTTCTTGTGGATTTTTAAATAGTGATAAAATATACATGACATAAAATGTATTATTTTAACTATTTTTAAGTGTACAAGTCAGTGACATTAAGTATTCACATTATTGTATAGCCACCACCATATCCATCTACAGAACTGTATCTTCCCAACCTGGAAGTCTACACCCATTAACAATACCACTCATTATTTCCTCCTTTCCCATCTTGGGGCAATCATCACTCTACTTCCTGTGAATGAACTTGACTGCTCTACATATCCCATGTGAGTGGAATCATATAGTATTTGTCCTTTTTTAATTATCCTATTTATCCCAAGTCAGGCTTACTTCACTTAGCATAGTCTTCAAGGCTCATTCCAGAATAATGTCATTGCATGCATAAAATTTACAAAACAGCATTACAAAGAAAAGTTATATTAAATAACAGTTATCTAAATAATTATTTAAATTAATATAGTAATATGTGGGCTTTTATTAACCAAGATATAATAAGATATAGAGGTGGGTCTACTCATCACTATAATTTCCAGAGAGTAGTGAGTCTGTTTCAAGATACTCTGTAGCAACTATAATGTGATATGAAAATATCTGTGATATCTATTAATGACGAAGTCACAAAAGTCCCATGTAGTGCTGATACAATTTTAGTTGTTGCCTACATTCAGAATTGAAGGAAATGCTAACTGTCAGTTAGAAGTTAGCAAAAATTTAAAAATACATTTTTTTTTCCCATTCAAGCTAAGAATTCCATGGAATTCTTAGAAGTCTTCCATTTCATGGAACCCAGGTTAAGAATCTTCACCCCATGAAAGGAATATTTTTATTCTTCATAAGTTTATTTCATTCTTGGTCCAGAGGTGAGGCAAAGATCAGCTCCTCTCAGCTTCTACTTGGCCCCAGAAACCAACTCTTTGGCATAGACAGTAAGGCTGGGTTTTGGACACGAAACATTTTTCATTAACCCCCACCCACCCCGCCCAGGTATTATGTTTGAAAAGCAGTCTGTGACAGGGAGTGGTTAAAACAGAAGACAAGTTTGTTTCACTCCAAAATCTCTTCCATTTGGTCTCATGGTTCATTAGTATTTGTTGTGCAACACCAAAAAAAAAAAAAAATGCACTCAGATGTAAATGCAGGGACGGCCCAAAACACAGGAGACACTCCACGTGTCTAGACAGCAATGTTCTAACCAACAGAGGAGACACACTGCGCTGTTCATAGTAGTTGCTTAATTTTTCTCATCTGCAAACAGGCTATGGATTGCCAACCTTTAATTAAGAAACAGTTTTCTTTTCAAAAAGAATGTGTTCTAATAAATACCAGCTGAGCTGGGATGGAGGCGCTATAGAAATTACAACTGCAGCTGAAAAACCATGAGACTTGCAGCAGGCTAACCATGAAGACCTTCAGGAAAGGAATAGTTTCCATGTGCTTTGGAGATGAGGACATGCCTCGTGGGCTATGCTCCTTGGCTTCAAAGCCAAGCCACAGCGCCGGTGCTGTGGGTTCTGCCTTCTTGGGCAGAGAGAGGACAGAAAGAGGCAGAAAGACAGTGAGGCAGGGTATTGGCTTAAATGACCTCTGCCTTGACATTCTATGACTTTAAAATCAAAGAGGTACTCAGGGTAAGGTTAGAAGTGTTCTTACTACAGCTGATATCATTGACTTTGCAAAAGGGAGTTCCTAGCAAAGAAAATGTTTCTTCAGATTGAAGTGTCTTGGTATTTGAAATGTCTTAGCATCCCTGTGACCCTCCCTCCACACGTAGTGTTGCCAGATAAAATGCAAGATGTCCAGTTAAATTTGAACATCAGATTAAAAATGAATAATTTTCAGTGTACATATATCCCGTGCAATAAGCTAAAAATATACAAAAGCATTATTTGTTGTTTATCTGAAATTCAAACTTAACTGTGTGTCCTGTATTTTTACTTACTAAATCGGCCAACTCTACTCCCACTCAAACCAGATCTTTCCTCCGATCCACTTTCCTCCAGTTCTTTGTAGAGAAATGCCAGGCCAGCCTGGCACAGACTGAGGTCAACTTAGAGACATGTGTACAGTCAGCATAATGGTTAAGAACACCAACTTTGGAGTCTCAAAGACTTAAAGTAGCCTTCAACTCAAGCCTGTCGCTTTTTGATGGGTTTATCTTGAGAAGCTTTCATGACCTCCCAGGGCCTCAGCTTTGTCCTTTGCAGAATGGGGAGATTGAAAGTCACGGCTGATGTTCAGCCATATCCAATAGTACAAAATCCATACCAGCAGTTTAAAAATTAGAGCATTTCCCAGGCCAGTTGTCAAATAGCTTCCCAATCTCCCCTTCATTGTGCCAGGCACCCTGGCTCCTCCCCACCTCTTTCCTCATCTAGCAACAAATACCTGGCACAGTCAGGGGTCTCCAGGACCCTGTTCTAGTGTTTAACTCAGTGTTCTTTCTGATTGGCAAGTATCTGTGGCTTATTGATAGTTAAATAAATTGACAACCACTCCTGTTAGGAATACCCACCTCAAAGGTTGTTGTAAGGGGTAGGTGAAATGATGTGAAAGAACTGTGATATAGGGTTTGGCCCAGAGATCTCTCTCTCACACACACACACACACAGAATGAATGAATGAATGAATGAATCCCTGTGCTACTTATAAGGAAGAGCCTTGCCTTTTTTTGCACATGGCAAACCATTCTCTCTCTCTCTCTCTCTCTCTTTAATAAACCTTAAAGATCATTCTACTTCTAGTTTAATTTCTTCCTCTTTACATGGAGGAAAACTGAGATTAGGCATAATTTACTGACTTATCTAAACAAGTCCACTTTTATGCATTGTAGGTTTGAGGGATCGTTGGAAAGATCTTTTGCTCAAAAACATTCCTTTCATCCAACTGCCACAAAGCCTGAAATTTCACCATTAGCATTTTAGCCATCTTTAAAAATTGCACTAACACTTATCAAGATATTTCTCAAAGCCCACTCTCTTTAAGCTAGAAATGACCCAGGGTCATCCTGAGAACCTCAAGCGCTGGGCTGGAGGGTGGTAAAAAAGAGATTCTGAAAGAAGTTGAAAGGAGACCTGGGACGTGCCAAAGACACATGCGTCCAACTTTAAAACTGTGTGACTGGCTGGCTATGCATTAGATTGTCCCACTGGGGCAGTTGTGCATTTGTGCTGTTGCATAATACAGAAGGACAAAAAGCATAAATACTAACTGATCACTTCATTCAAAAGAACTTCCCAAAAGGAAGCCAGACCCCTTTGATGCTGCCTTATGCTTAGGCAAAGCTAAAAGTCGTTTTTATACTGTTGGTCAAGGGTTTTTCAACTGGATGCCTGGAAATGTTTTTCACAGATCTACAAAGCATGGATCATACAACAAAGCCTCAAAATATACAGGGGCAAAAATCTAGCTGGGATTGTATCCATTCATATATACAAGTTGGTTCCACCACTGGGTTAATGCTAACTGCTGGAGTCCAGCATCTCTTGTATTAGATATATCTTTATCCGCTGACAGTTGAATTCGATCCACCTGCACATTATTTTGAGGACAGGTGTTGAGAGCTAACCAGTTGCTGGTATAGGCTAGTCTGTTTCCCCCAGAACACAATATTGTCCTGTGCTGTGTAATGGTGTTTCGGTCAATGACAGGCTGCATATATGACAGTGGTCCCATAAGATTATAACGGAGATGAAAAATTCATATCACCTAGTGACACGGTAGCCATTGTAATACTGTAGTGCAATTACTTTATTTTTTATAAATTTAGCATGGCCTAAGTCTACAGTGTTTATAAAGTCTCTAGTGGTATACAGTAATGTCCTGGGCCTTCACCTTCACTCACCACTCACTCACTGACTCACACAGAACAAATTCCAGTGCTGCAAGCTCCATTCACAGTAAGTGCCCTATACAGGTGTACCATTCTCTACTTTTTATACCATAATTTTACTGGACCTTTTCTATATTTACATATGTAAATGCTTACCACGGTGTTACAATTACCTACAGTATTCAGTGTGATACATGCTATACCGGTTTGTAGCCTAGGAGCAAAAGGCTATTCCATATAGCTTATACCATCTAGGTGTGTGTAAGTACACTGTATGAGGTTGGCACAATGATGAAATAGCCTCTCAGAACACATCCCCATCCGTCACCAACACATGACTGTAAAATTCAACATCCAATCATTTGACTGATTTAGTTTAGAAGATCAGAATCTAAAGAAATTTTTTTTAAACTTCTGGAAAAACAGGGGTTAAAATTCTGGCACTTTTCTTCAAACATCAATATTTGTGACTTATTAATTACCAATGGATGATCACCAAACGAGGAAGGATCTTCCCATCAGAGTCTAATTAGTTTCATTGTCTTTTTTTTTTTCTGGATTCCATTGTATTTCACTCTACCCTTCGGCTGCCTGTTTTAATTAATGTTGCACTACATTCAAAGGTTTTGCTTTTGTGCCTCTCTGTTTGATTTAAATTCCTTTTTGCAAATAAATAAATAAATAAATAACTATCAAAGCTAATGAGGCTCTGAAGATTTGAGATGTAAATATCATATGCAGATTCTTTTTTGGTCCCAGCTCAGCGGAAGACCAAAAATAACACTTGAAAGTTTGATTAAGAAATCTCAGGCTCCCCATCTCATGCCTCCCTCCAGACAATCTTTCTGCTGGCATTTTCAGTTATTTGACAAAAAAAAAAAATCAAGCCCCCCAAACCCAAAACCTCAAGAGCAAGCTCCTTTCAAGACTGGCTCAGATGGGCATGGTATTGTGCTGAGCTGCTATTTAAGATCCAGCCCGGACTGACTGATTCCTGTCTGTCCTGAGAGATCTGTGCATGTCAATGCATCCACTCACCACACACACACACACACACACACCTTCATATGCATCCACAGACACACAAAATTATTTTCACACACAAACTCATCCATATTCATACACGCATACCCTCATGCCCACTCACCAATGAAAACTCGAAACACACATATTTCCACACATGCAAACTCATCCATGTTCATACACACATACCTTCATATACACTCACCAACACAAACTCACAACACACATTTTCACACATGCAAACTCATCCATATTCATACACACATACCCTCATACACACTCACCAATAAAAACTTGCAACACAGACATTTTCACACATGCAAACTCACCCATATTCATACACACATACCCTCATACACAGTCACCAACACAAACTCACAACACACACATTTTCACACTCATACGTGCGCGAACTCACACACTGATATACACATACTCACCCACATGTAAGTAGACTCATACACATTCCTGCATGCATTCACACACAGTTTCCATATGCACACACATTCTCCCACACACCTGACACATACATCATGCTTTCGCAGATCAAGTTTCCAGTTTCACATCTGTGTCACCTCCAGTACATTTTCGTACACACCCTCAAAAGACATCTCTGCAAGAAATTCCAAGACTCCCCACCCCCTTCCTGGCCCACCATCGTCCTTTTGGGTGTATTCAGGGGCAGCCTGGGGCACAGTTATTAAACTGTATCCCAAAGAGCTCTTCCACTATGCAATCTGCTTTTGCCTGAGATCTCTGTATCCTTTACTGAGAAAGTCTGATTCATTTCCCAGAAATTTTTATCTGCTATTAATCTTTCAGGATATAGTTAGTGTTGTGATATATTCAGATATTGTTTTTGGGTGGCAGGGGGAGGGGAGGGCAGATTTCAAGTGGCCGTCCCCTGGCAGTTTCAGAGATTACTCAGTGCTTATAAGCAGCTCAGAACTGTGTGACAGCATTTCCAAGCAAGGGACTTACAATCATGTTTCATTAATTCGACGTGAATGAAGCCTCATTTCTGGCCTTGAGGAGCTTAAGATGTATGTGAAATTAATAACAGAACAGATGTCTTCACAATTTGGTTCCTCTGGAAAAAAAAAAAAAAAAGGAACCTGATTACTTTGAAAATTTCAATGCTTTAAAATGCAGACCCAGGGAGTTTTTACTCCAGGGTAAAGAGTTATGCCTTGATATCGTCCACGTCTCATAACTAAGTGGAATTTAAATGTCAGGTTTATATTAAATAGTCATATTCCCCATCATGACATATAATAAACAACAGCTTATTACTTTCATTAATAAGATGTGTTGGACATTTAAACTAAAGCTTTGGAGATAAAGCCTGTACCTCCTGAGCAGGAGGTGCTGGGGAGACACAGGGGACACGTCGGGGAATATTCAGGCAGCCTGGTTTTTAGCTTTCTGATAATTTAATCATTGATTCCTCATAGGAAAACAAAATGCATCTGTGCTCACACAGAACTCACCACTTTATAAAGAAGTTGAGCCGTCTCCCACGGATGTGTGTGCCGGAGGCCGAATGTTGTGTTTCACAGGACACTTGAAGTCCTGCCTCTTTATTATTTCTTCCTGCCTGAAATCTTGTTTCTTTATCTAGGCTTCTGTGACACTAAGTGCCCCTCAAGCTGAATTTTAACTACTCCTCAGGGCGCAAGTGTGACTGCACACCAGGGGGGCTGGGTTTTTATTTCTGAAAGTCCAAAGGGGAACAGTGTAATGGAAAAATTACCCAAAGGGAAGTTATTCTGGAGGAGCAGGAAGAGAGAGCAAAGGCCCCCAGGCACATGGCCAGGAGTTCCCCTTGCCCTGGGTAGACAAGTGAATGAAGCTTTCAGGGGAAAGCAGTGCTAAATGGGGAAGCCCAGGGTTCACGTTAGGTCTCAGAATCTGGTCTACTGTAATGACCATAACAACCACTGTAATGACCCTTCTCTCTTTCCAGGGCCACTACGTGTCCTTGAAACTGTCAACTTCCCCACTTTCCCCCATGGAGAAAACAAGAGCATTAGACCAAATGACCTGCCAGCTTCTCACTTTGACATTCTCCATATCCTCTAAATTTGGCTTCCATGACATTTATTTTACTATGTCTACCTACTCCTCTCCACCTCCTTCCTCTCACAACTGGACTGGGTGTGGGGTGCCATGGTACAGTCACCTCTGCTGATTGCCCCAGATACAAAGGTCAAAAGAAGCTCGCAGGGCAGGAGGTCTTCTCTGGTCCCAGCTCTCCCTAGGGATGTGGCCTGGGGTAAGATGCATGCTGTGGGTGCCAGGCGTGGTGGCTCAAGATGCATGGTGTGGGCACCGGGCGTGGTGGCTCGTGACTATAGTCCCAGCACTTTGAGAGGCCAAGGTGGGAAGATTGCATGGAGTTTGAGACCAGCCTGGGCAACATAGTGAGACTCTGTCTCCACAAACAAAAAGAAGGCAGGCATAGTGGCACATAGCTGTAGTCCCAGCTACCTGGGAGGCTGAGCTGGGAGAATCGCTTGATCCCAAGAGGTCGAGGTTGCAGTGAGCTGTGATTGTGCCACTGCACTCTAGTCTAGGTGACAAAGCAAGAGCCTATTTCAAAAAAAGAAAAAAAAAAGATACACGGTGTGTTTGACCCTCGGATTTTTTATGTGAAAAGGGGTGGAATGACCCTCACCCAGGACTGTCATGAGAATGATATGAGCTGGTGCACATGCGTTTGGTACAGAGCATAGAAGCATAAAAGCTCCTGTTAGTGTTCACAGCTAGGGATCTCAAGCAATGTGCAGGAGAGAGGTATCCCGGGGTGACTGCACTTTTAGAAACTCCCTGGGCACTGGTGTTGAAGGAGCATTGTCTAAGTCTTCCTTATTCTTGACTGATATGGGGGCTGTGTGTGCACAGCAGTAGAGACCCGGGTCAGGATGCGGAAGGCGGGCCCCATCCAAGGGAGTGGGGGCAGCTCAGTGTCAGGCACTTATCACCCTGGGTGTGTATCCCAGTGGCGCTACGTAGCAATGCCAGGCCTTCTCCCTCTTCAGGGAAACCAGGAATGTGGAATTTTATGTGAAAGCTTCTAAGTTTTGAGTAGAGATCACTACAAGTCTGCACGCCATTCCTTGAAACCACTGGGGTCAGTGGTATTTCAGTATTTAAATTTTCAGATTTAAAAATATTATACAATGAGATCACCATTTATAACGTGACATCTCCAAGGGGGGTCTGGGAAAACATGTCACAGCCAAGCCCATTAATAATTTGGCATCAAAATAATTATACTCATGAAGAGTGGTGAGACATGGGACTCAACACTTTCTCTCCTTGTGGGGACCAGGCCAAGCCCCCACCACACTGGCAGAGTCAAGGCGACTGTGGCTGAGGCCTTGTGACCCAGTTTCCTGCAGCCAGCCCCACTCACTCCCAGGAGAATCATAGAAGCCATAAAGCTTTGGGATTCCTGAACTGAAAAGGCCATGACAACCACTGTGTAAACCCCATAAACACTGCATAAGGTCACCACACAGCTCCAAGTGACAGAATCCCAAGCCAAATAGGCTTAAATGAAGAACAGCAATAGCAATCAAGTTTATTAGGTTATAGGAGAGAAAAGTACAGAGGTGTCTGTTCAGGATCACCTGGATCCAGGTGCTCCAACAATGGCCCCTGGAGTCAGTTTTTATCTCTCTGCTCCACGTTTGGCTGTGTTGCTTCCTTACTCACACAGATACTTACCTCATGGTAGCAAAAAGGCTGCCAGAAGCTCCAGCTCCACATATTTCTGGGATTGGTCCCCTGGGAAACAGCATCTGTTCTGTCCCTAGAACAAAAGCCATGGGTTATCGCTAGGGCTCTGAAGGGGTCCTTTGCCCATCCTGGAGCCAATCACAGCAGTCTAGGTTCCCCGCCGGCCTGGAACTAAGGATAGGTTCCTTCTGGCCCATTCTACCCAGAGTTCAGAGCCAGAGAAACTGAATGGAGGCCTGGGTGGGGGCAAAACCGTAGGTGTCTATTACCAGGGTGACTCAGGAAACCCTTTCATTTCAGCAGAGCAGACAATGAAACTAAGAGAGGAGGTGAGATTTGGCCAGAGTCACACAGCAGGGTCACTGGCAAAGTCAAGGTTGTGACCCCGACATCTCACGGTTTGGAAATCCCTGCATTGTACCACATGTGATTAGTGGAGCCTGCTTGGAAGCCTTCCCCCATTTCCTATGTCTCCTCTCCCCCCGAGGGGGAAGAGATGAGGAAAACCAATATGCTAACAAGCACACGCCCCCATGAGCGTGCACGCGCGCGCATGCGCACACGCACACACAAGCACATAAGCCTTATGAGCAAAAAGATCACAGCACTCTATTAGCAAGCTTGTGCCAGAGTAACCACAATTTATCTTTTCTTCTCTTATACATCCCTCATCTCTGGAGAGGTCTCTACTGAGTCCAGCACAGAGTTAGCACCCAATAAATGTCGCCATTATTATTGTTGTAATTATTATTTCTCATACTATGAATTACTCTCTTCCACACTCTCCTTGGCCTAATCTGTTAATTTACCTTGAGGTGCAAATGATTAAGCAGAGTGAGTATGAATGGCCAAGCAGAAGGACCAAGGGAGTTGGCATTTTTAATAAGAGCCAGAGCCTGAATTCAGCAAAAGGCATAAAACCCTCATAATTATTAACGTGCATAGCTCTTTCCAGTTTGCAGACTGGTTTCTCATTCACCTCATTTGATTTTTAAAAAACAAAAAACAAAACCGGAAAACAACCCTGTGAGTGAGATTAGAAGGGAATCATCTCCAACCACAGATAAGAAAGCCAAGCACTCCCGAAAAAACATTTAGCTAAGGTTTTCCAGGTTTTCCTGGGAGATCTGGGATAGAACTGGAGTCCTAGTTTAGAAGCATTTTACTAAATGTACATGTGTATGCATGCATGCACATAAGCATCCACACACACTCATACTGTTAGAAATACAGGCCTGGAGTGGTGACTCATGCCTGTAATCCCAGCACTTTGGGAGGCCAAGGTAGGAGGATCACTTGAGGCTAGGAGTTCAAAACCAGCCTGGGAAGAATAGCAAGACCTTGTCTCTACTAAAAATAAAAATAATTAGCTGGGCGTGGTGGCGCACATCTAGAGTTCCAGCTACTTGGGAGGCTGAGGTGGGAGGATCACTTGAGTCCAGGAGCTGGAAGCTGCAATGAGCCGTGATTGCACCATTGCACTCCAACCTGGGCAACAGGGCATCCATGTCTCAAAAAGAAAAGAAGAAAAGAAGGGAAAAGAAAAAAGAAAAGAAGAAAAGAAGGGAAAAGAAAAAAGAAAAGAAAGAAAGAAAGGAAAAAGAAAGAGAGAAAGAAATGAAAGAAAGAAAGGAAGGAAGGAAGGAAAGAGAAAAAAAGAAAGAAAGAAAATAAAAGAAGGAAGGAAAGAAAGAAAGAAAGAAAAAAAGAAGGAAAGAAAAGAAAGAAGGAAGGAAGGACAGAAAGAAAGAAAGAAAGAAAGAAAGAAAGAAAGAAAGAAAGAAAGAAAGAAAGAAAGAAAGGAGGGAGGGAGGGAGGGAAGGAAGGAAAAGAAAGAAAGAAAAAAAGGAAGGAAGGAGGGAGGGAGGGAGGGAGGAAGGAAGGAAGGAAGGAAAGAAGGAAGGAAGGAAGGAAGGAGAGATATTGCAATACAAATAAACAATGTATTTAAAAGCTCACCAAGTCATGAACACTCATAGGGCCTTACTTACATTACCCATGCCCTGATTTAACTTTGCATAACAGTATTAAAAGCTCCTTGGGCCACAGCAAGGCCACCACATTGACCTCTTTTCCTACCTCCCACTTTTATTTATCTCAATTATGATGAAGACTCTTTTCCCTTTGCTAACAAGAACTCTATTCAATTCAATGAACATTTACTGATCTCCTAGAAGGTAATTAGTATCTCCATTTTACTGACAAGGAAACAGAGATTCAGAAAGAGTTTAAGTAACATGTCTAAAGTTGTACAGCTAGACCTAACCATTTCCTCCTGTCGTCGTCTGGCCCAGGTGACCTGTCATTTGATTCTACCCAATTTCTCTCTTTCTGAAACCAGGAAGCATGGGTGTTCAGGTCCTAATCATGAAAAAAGTGGGAAGAAAGTGGTTTTTCCTGGCCTCCACTTCAGGCCAAGTCAGGTGCATTCATTCACTTGACAATATTTACTGAGTTCCTACTATGTGTTAGTTCTCTTAGCCTTGAGGTTTTGAAGGGTTTGCAGGGTAGAAGAGAAAAGAGAGAGAACAGTCCTTTTTAATTAAAGTATAATTGATTCCATAAATGTTTGTTCTTGGGCTAAAGCCTATATTGGCAAACACCAATGGAAAAATAAGTTCAAGAATCAAACCAGCAGTATTGTATACATATCTCATCTACATCTATATCTATATATATTTATGCATAATATTCTATTTTAGTAGGTAATACATACATGTGGTGGAAAATTTTAAGTTGCAAAGTCTCTTTCACATACCAGCCACCCAGTTTCACCCCTTAGAGACAATGACTTGTTTCTCATGAGTCTATCTAGAGAAAGTGAAGCATGTACTATTGAGTCTGCTTATTTCTCCAGAACCTTTTCAAAAAATATACTGTCAAACTTTGTGATATTTGCCAATCTGGCCAATGAAAAATAGTACAATTGACCCATGAACAACATGGGGGTTGGATTGCCAACTCCCATCACGGTCCAAAATCTATGTGTAACTTTGGTCTCCCCCAAAACTTAACTACAAATAACCTACTGTGGACCTTACCAATAACATTAACAGCTGACACATATTTTGTATGTTATATGTATCATATAGTACAATCTTACTATAATGTAAGCTAGAGAAAAGAAAATCATTAAGAAAAGAAAATGTATTTACTATTCATTAAGTGGAAGTGTCTGCCTTTTAGGCAAGCACAGTTCATGTAACATTTTTTTTTTTAATTTTGAGATGGAGTCTTGCTCTGTCACCCAGGCTGAAGTGCAGTGGTGTGATCTCAGTTCACTGCAACTTCTGCCTCCAGGGTTCAAGCGATTCTCCTACCTCAGCCTCCCAAGTAGCTGGAATTACAGGCACCCGCCATCATGCCTGGCTAATTTTTGTATTTTTAGTAGATAAGGGGTTTCATCATGTTGGCCAGGCTGGTCTCGAACTCCTAACCTCAGGTGATCTGCCCACGTCGGCCTCTGAAAGTGCTGGGATTACAGGCATGAGCCACCCGCTCCTGGCCTTTATGTAAATTTTTCAAAAAAAATCTTCGTGTAAGTGGACCCGTGCAGTTCAAATCCGTGTTGTTCAAGGGTCAACTGAATTTCATTTTCCTTGAGTGGCTTGCTCATATTCTCAGCACATTTTTCTGTTCAGTCATTTAACTTTTTCTTATTGATTTATAGAAATTCTTTATGCATTCAGAAAATTTGTTATTGTAAGATGGGAGCTGCAAATATTTTTCCACATTTATTTTGCTTTACTTTAATGTTTGCTTTTTTGTTATGCAGCCTTATAAAGATTTTCTTGTAGGCAAATTGATCAATGTTTTCTTTTATGGTTTCTGATGATTCAGTCATATTTTGAAAAATCTTACCAATTCTGAGATTATTTTAAAGTTTCTCTATATTTTCTTCAATTCTTTTATGTTTTAGTGTATGTATAAAAACATTGATTCATCTGGAATTTATTTTTGTATAAGTTGTGAGGTAGGGATCCAACTTTATATTTTTTCCAGATGAGTACCCACTTATTCCAAATATTTATTAAAAGATGTATTAAATGAGCCTTCTTTACCCTAGTTTTTGAAGTTCCCAAACTTTAATAGCAGCTGTTATTTCAGTATTCTTCACTTATTTCATCGCTGGAAGGTTATATAATGATCTCGAACTGATAATACCACTCACAATGCTTGTGGAAGCCATTTTGC
The DNA here is from genome assembly GCF_000001405.40 of Homo sapiens. Classification (NCBI taxonomy): domain Eukaryota; kingdom Metazoa; phylum Chordata; class Mammalia; order Primates; family Hominidae; genus Homo; species Homo sapiens. Next base: position 55,451,070 of record NC_000016.10, read on the forward strand.
ACAAAGTTTAGATGATATAGATAAAACTACTTTGATGAAGAACAAGGGCAGTAAGTACACACCAACCAAAGAGCTACATCCAATTGATGTTATAAATAAAAAACATGGTGGGAATACTTCACATTATGCAACTCTGATTGTGTTTAGGTTTCAGCCACCAAGAGAAAAAAATATTTAAATACCAAAACGGGGTATGAAAGTGCATTGCTCTGTAAGCAAAAATTTGTCACACGAAAGTTGAGGAGGGTCTTATGTGAAATGCAATTCCTAGTACACGTCAACTCATCCCTAGCTAGGACAGCTTCCAGAACGTGCTGCTAAACTTGAGGTTGTGACCCTGCAGCCATGACACTCAACCGCCCCTCAACCAGAGCTCACCTCATTGCTCTACAGCAACAGTTTTAACTACTGGAGCCTGCCTGGAGCTTGAGGTGATCCTCGGACCTGCCTCCCACCAGGGAAGGCCTAAGTGCTCTTTAATCTTCTTAGAGCAAAATCCACTGAGCAAAATTATAATTTGATATGGCTGCACTTAACCAATAGAAACTCATAAACCATCTTAACATCATAATGCATTGTGAAAAAGAATTGCTAAGTACCATGAAACATATGAGAACCCCAGGCTTCCATTCATCTCTAGCTTTATGCTAGGGCAGCATATTAAAGTGATTTCAACTTCAGAGCAGAGCTCCCCAAAGAGTGCTCCAGTCTTAATTAAAATGTCAATGAAATACAAAAGTGCATAAGGGACACTTTCCGAAATCATTCCTTTTTAGCTTCTGGATGGCCGGCTCATCCTTTCCTCAAGTCTGCCTGCATGCCTACTCAACACAAGCACCCAAACTACCTTTCTTTACTGCCATGAGGGAGCCCTTACTTAGACTTTGCGGCTTTTTGTTGTTGTTGTTGTTGTTGTTTTTGAGACGGAGTCCCACTCTATTGCCCAGGCTGGGGCGCAGTGGTGTAGTCTTGGCTCACTGCAACCTCTGACTCCCAGGTTCAAGCAATTCTCTTGCCTCAGCCTCCCGAGAAGCTGGGATTACAGATGCCTGCCACCACGCCCAGCTAATTTTTTTTATTATTTATTTATTTATTTTGTATATTTAGTAGAGATGGGGTTTCGCCATGTTGGCCAGGCTGGTCTCAAACTCCTGACCTCAGGTGATCCACCCACCTTGGCCTCCTAAAGTGCTGGGATTATAGGCGTGAGCCACCGCACCCAGCTGCCTAGACCTTTTACCATTCCCATGGGAGACTGGAGCGAGGTGGGCTGCAGAGTCTTCTCTGCATCTTAAGTTAAGGCATTGGTTAACGTCGCCTGGGTGCGCAACCCAGAACTGCAGAATGCCGGATGAAGGGGAAGATTAGGGCAAAGTAAGAAAACACCAGCCTCAGACTGGCTGGTGCAGCATCAGCAAACTGAAGGGAACGAGAGTGACAAAAGATTTTCTTTAAGTTAAGAGTTGATAATGCAGATACCTATGGGGCTGACCAAGTGATGTAGCTGAGGATATTGGGGAGGTGTGGGGACAGTAGGGAATGGTAGGGACTGTGGTGAACCAGAAATCATTCTCCCTTCAAAAGGAGCAGCTGCTATTCAGCTTCAAGATCGTTTTCATGTGGAGTGCAAACCTGGTGTTACTATGTCTTTTGATTTTTTTTTTTTTCAAGAAAAGCCAGAGCCAGCTGTGGTAGCACTTACCTGTAATTCTAGCTACTTGGGAAGTTGAGGCAGGAAGATTGAGCCCAGGAGGTTGTGGTCAGTCTAAGCAACGTAGCATAACCCTGTCTCTTAAAAAAAAAAAAAAAAGAATAAAAGCCATAAATCTGCACTTTTAAGATGTGAAATCTCCTGATTTTGTACTGGCTACTAATTATTTGAAACCTTTGTGAGGGTCAACTGTATTATACACACACAAAATATATGTGGACAAACTCCGGCCTTCAATCCTGGGAGGGGGCTGTTAGGCCTCAGCTTTGTACCTTTTCTTAATTTTAGTATCCATTCATCCATCCCTCCATCCATCCCTTTATCCATCCATCCATCCATTCATATATCCATCCATTCATCCATCCATTTATGTATTCATCCATCCATTCATTTATCCATCCATCCATTCACTCATCTATCCATCCATCCATTCATTCATCCATCCATGCATTCATCCATCCATCTATTCATTTGTTCATTCACCTATTCATCTATTTATACGTCCATCTCTGCATCTATTTATCTACTGAATATTTATTAGTGCCTTCAGGTGTAAGATAATGAGATAGAAATGGGAATGAGTCCAACCCCAAATCCAATCTCATCTCCAGCCTTATCCTGGTCCTATTCTTGACTTTGGAGAGGGAGACAGCCAGGTATACGTTTTAAATAATATTGTGTGCATACTTTTACAGGCCAGAGATTAAAAGTCAATGCTGGCTGGGCCCCAAGGCTCATGCCTGTAATCCCAGCACTTTGGGAGGCTGAGGTGGGAAGATTGCTTGAGGCCAGGAGTTTGAGACCAACCTGAGCAACATAGCAAGACCCTGTCTCAACAAAAAAAATAAAAATAAAAAAGTCAGTTGTGTATAGTGGTGCATGTCTGTAGCCCCACCTACATGGGAGGCTGAGGAGGGAGGATTGCTTGAACCCAGGAGGTCAAGGCTGCAGTGAGCTATGATGGCGCCACTGCACTCCAGCCTAGGTGGCAGATGAGATGTCTCTAAAAATAATAGAAAACTAAAAATTTTAAAAGTCAATGTCCTTAGACCTGTCTTGGCCTCTCAGTTGTGTGTGACCTTGAGCGAATGCCTTTCCATCTTTAGGCTTCTCCTTTTCCATAGCACAAACCAGAGAAACATTTATGAGACTTTAAGTTGGCACAGTGGTGATTTCTGCTCAGTCCTTGATCTCATCTCAGGCCCAAGGCCAATGCTGATCTTTGTGCTGACATCACCTCTGTTTAGAGAGCTTGTCTTAATAGGCTTCTCCTGCTTGAATCTGCCCATGACTTCCTCCTTGTGCCCTGCCTGGACCATAGCCACAAGAAATGCTTCCATAATTGCTGAGATTGCAGCATTTCGAGTCTTTAACAATGGAGAGCCTAGGAAAGTGGCATCCATCACCACCTCAGAGAGTAGTGACTGCCTGGGCTACAGCCAGAGAGCTATTGCCAAGTGAGGGACTTCCTCCTCTGTCCCCTGGCAGTCCTAACCCTGTCCTTATGCATGGTGGGGGCACGTACTTTTCTTTCTTTCTTTTTTTTTTTTTTTTGAGACAGAGTCTCGCTCTGTCGCCCAGGCTGGAGTGCAGTGGTGCGATCTCGGCTCACAGCAAGCTCTGCCTCCCGGATTCACGCCATTCTCCTGCCTCAGCCTCCCAAGTAGCTGGGACTACAGGGGCCCGCCACAATGCCTGGCTAATTTTTTGTATTTTTTTAGTAGAGACAAGGTTTCACCATGTTAGCCAGGATGGTCTTGATCTCCTGAACTTGTGATCCGCCCGCCTTGGCCCCCCAAAGTGCTGGGATTACAGGGGAGGCACGTACTTTTAATAACGCGGGGAAGGCAGGCCCTGCCTCACAGGTGGTGGCCCTTCTTGCTGTTGATGTGAGGTCCCTGGGAAGATGCCAGCCATAATCATCCACCACCTGATGCCACAGACAGCTTGTGAGGGCAGTGCCCCTTGACTCCCACTTCTGCATCCCTGGTACCTTTCACAGAGATGGCACATAGCAGGGCAACGTTGGTAGATTAACTGACTCACTGGGGAAAGAATCGTTTCACTGATGGAGAATTCAGGAGCCAGAAAGGAGAAGAAACTTGCCTAAGGCCTGTTCCTCTCTTCTCCCTCTCACTGTCTTCATACACACCACGTGCGCGCACACACACACACATACACGCACACATCCAGATACCAGACAGGCACATACAGTCACACAGACGCTCACACAGAGATACTCAGTTCCCAGACAGACACAGTCACATGCAGACACTCACACTTACACATAAACACTCAGATACCAGACAGACACACACACTCACACTCAGACACTCACATTCACACATAAACACTCAGATACCAGACAGACACACACACTCACACAGGGACACTCACACACTCACACACTCAGAATGGAAACATACACACATGCACGGACTGCTATAGTCTAAATGTCAGTATTCCCCAAAATTCCCATGTTGAAATCTTAACTCCCAAGGTGATGGTGTTAGGAGGCAAGGCCTTTGGGTGGTGACTGGGTCATGAGGTAGGAGCTCTTGTGAATGGAATCAGTGCCCTCATAAAAGAGGCCAGAGAGAGACCTCTTGTCTCTTCAACTACATAAGGACATAGCTGGAAGTCACTGTCTGTTAACCAGAAAGGGATCCCCCACCAGACACTGAATCTGCTGGTGCCATGATCTTGGACTTCCCAGCCTCCAGAACTGTGAGCAATAAATTCTGTTATTTTAAGTAACCCAGTATATGAAATGTTGTTATGGCAGCCCAAATGGACTAAGACACAGGCACACATACACAGACAGACATACACAGACAGACACATAGACACACCCCTAGAGATACATGCTTACACACTCAGACACACATATGTACAGACCACATACACATAGATACATGTATACATAAACACATGCACACAAACGTGTATATACACAGGCACATAAAGACACACATATAGACACACACTGTCACACACACATACACATATAGACCTTCTCTAATCTTTTCCCTGCCTTTTGCTCCTGGAAGCCACTCCTGTATCAACAGCAATTCACCCAGTCCTCTTGCTCAAACTCATTGTCCCAAGTGCAGAGGTGCCCTCTCTCTTACACCTCTGTCAAAGTTACACACGTTGTCAGGTTCATGCTAAATATTTGACTTCTCATTCAAGTTGCCCCTCTCAGGAAAACCTTACCCTTGAAACAGAGGTCTTCCTCCTGGGCCTTAGGAAAAAGAATCAACCTGGAAGGACATTTCCACTGGTGGGGAGAGATTTCCTCATCATTCTTCAAATCCAGTCTTCAGGAAGCATTTAATTCTCTTGAGACATGAGTAGGGAACACACCAATTCATGGCTTTGGCCAGCCTTGACCTTGAGCTGGATAAAACATTTTTGTCCAGAGTTGTAAAAATGCAATGTAGCTTTTTTGATGAAAAGCTTAAGATGGGCCAGGCACGGTGGCTCACGCCTGTTATCCCAGCACTTTGGGAGGCCGAGGTGGGTGGATCACCTGAGGTCAGGGGTTCAAACCAGCCTGGACAACATTGTGAAACCCTGTCTCTACCAAAAATTAGCCAGGCATGGTGGCGCCCGCCTGTAATCCAGCTACTTGGGAGGCTGAGTCAGGAGAATCACTTGAACCCAGGAGGCAGAGGTTGCAGTGAGCCAAGATCGCACCACTGCACTCCAGCCTGGATGACAGTACTAGACTCTGCCTCAAAAAAAAAAAAAAAAAACAAAAAAAAACGCTGAAGATGGTGCTGTTAGACCATGAATGCCCACTTTCTCTGTGCCTATTTCTCAGGGTTTTCATTTTTCCTTATCTGCTTATCTTTTCCTTTGTGTCTTAGCTCATGAATCCGTATATGTCTCCTGCACACGGTTGCTGGTTTGGAGCCTTTTGGGGTCTGTTTTCTGATCATCCATCCAGCAAGAGACCTTTACTCAACTGCTGTTCAAAATTTATGACACTGTGTCATCTCCAGCAGACAATTTGGCCATAATTTAACATTTGTGTCCTTTCAAATAACTCAAATGCTTTTTTTTCATTGTCCTAGATGCCCTATTTGGGAGGCAGGGATGGGAAAGACATGCCTGGGTTTGCTTTGGCTTTGTTTGAGCCAGTTGCTGAGAAGTAGTATATATTTTGTTCAGCTCATCTGTCTTTCCAGCTTTTGATCAATAGCAGAGTATGTGTTTTTTATCCAAAAACTAACCAAATGTATTCAACAGATTATACATTAATTTTACCATCATGACATCGTATGAACAGATAATCCACAAAAAAGCTCCATATTTCCTAAAAGTGAATTTAATTATAAGTAGTAATGTGTGCTGGAGAATTATAATTATGAAAAGTCATGTTCTGTAAGTCTGAAATGACAGATTATATTTCAAAGGCTTATTGCAGAGGAATTAAAGGACCCAATTTATTAGTTGTAAATGTATGATTATTGCAGCTTTGCTTTACACACACACACACATGCAATCACAGTATATTCTAGCTGGATTTAATACTTATAATCCTTTCGACAAGAACTGTATTTTGCACCAAAAGCTGCCACTCCATTAATTTGTTTGTGAGACAGAGACAGGCAACTAATCTTTGCCTTTTGATTCCTGAATAGCAATAATTTCAAGTACTTTGTGGGCATGTTTTGTGCCCCTTACTCCCATCCCCACAAAGTGATTAAGAAGTTGACATGGATTGAAGAACAGAAATATTATTGCCCAAAAAGAAACAGAGAGGGTCTCATGAAGGCTGGGAGGTGCTGAGGCTGCAAAGGACTTGGGCCTGGGCTATTTGTTCATACAACGAATATTTATTGAACGTCTGCTATGTTCTAGGCACCATACTAAGTATATTCTACCTGCTACCTCAATTGAGCCTCTCAGAACAACACTCGAAGGTAGATATATTGTAAACTTATTTCACAGATGGGGAAACTGAGGCTCAAAGAAATCATCAACTAACCTGCCCAGGGTAACCGAGTTCAAGAGTGGTGGAGGCAAGACGTGAATGCAGGTGTGTTGGTGAAAACACACACTTCAGGGCAGTCTGGCACATCTACAGCCGCATCAGGTGGAGTAAGAGGGCTGTGTTTATAACACTCTCAAAGACAGAGCTGGGGAAGGAGGAGTCAATTGTGCTGGGTCAAGATGTGAAGGATGGCATCAAGGGAAGCCCAAAAGGATAGAGTGAGACATTGTAGACACAACATTGAGCCACACCCTGAAGGAGAAGAAAGTTTCTCCAGGCACAGAAAGAGTATTCCTGGCAGAAGGAACAGGTTGCAAAGTAGACAGGTTCAGAAGAACATAAAGAAAAAGGGCCTTGTGTTTGCAAAGGTGTGACAAGGACTAAGGGTGTAAGGGAGAGCTGAGGAGAGGGACAAAAGGCAGAGGCAGGAGGTAAGCCTGGAATAGTCCATGGCAAAAAGCCTTTACTGCCAAGCTAAGGAGTTTAGTTTTCTCCTGTAGACAATGGGGAGCCAGTTCATGAGCATGAGTTGGTTGTATTGGAGGACGAGATGGTCAACTCACTTGCCTACAGGGCCAAGTAGGTAAGAGATATGAAAGACAGACCTAGTGAGATTGGGTTCAGGCCTGTAATCCCAGTACTTTGGGAGGCCGAGGCAGGTAGATCACCTGAGGTCGGGAGTTCAAGAGCAGCCTGAGCAACATGGAGAAACCCCGCCTCTACTAAAAATATAAAATTAGCCAGTTGTGGTGGCACATGCCTATAATCTCAGCTACTCAGGGGGCTGAGGCAGGAGAATCGCTTGAACCCGGGAGGCAGAAGTTGTGGTGAGCCAAGATCGCGACATTATACTCCAGCCTAGGCAAAAAAAGTGAAACTCCATCTCAAAAAAAAAAAAAAAAAAAACAGAAACAGCACATCCTAACAGTAACCATCCTGAAAGGGTGGTTCCTATTTTGTTTCAGTTTACTGTGGATACTGGGAATTTGCTAAGAAAGGCTAGAAATACTAGTGACTTGGTAGACTGATGGCAAAAATAGCCCCAATCTTCCACGTCTTCAAACTTTTTATAAGTGACTTTGTACCCTCTCCCATTGCAAGCTAGAGTCTATTTCCCCACCCGTTGAATCTGCTGTGACTCACTGAGTGTGTCAGAAGCAAAGTTGTGTCTGTTCTGAGCCTAGGCTTCAAGTGGCCTTGCACATTTCCATCCTCTGCCTTGGAAGCCGCCTCCACCGTGAAGACAAGCCCAGGCTGCACTGCTGGGGACCAGAGCCCACACAGAGCAGAGCCACGCCATCCCATGGGCTGCATAGACCCGCCCAGCTCGGCTGACCCATCAGCTCTGCAGATGAAAGAGAGCCCAGCCTAGATCAGCTAAGCCTGGATCAGCAGAACCACCCAGCCAGCCTGTAGACTAATTTTAAAAAAATGTATGAAACCATTATGCTTTGGAGTGGTTTGTTAGGCAGCAACAGCTAACGGATATAGCAACTAATTCATGTTTTAAAAAGCAGCTCAGGCCGGGCACCGTGGCTCACACCTGCAATCCCAGCACTTTGGGAGGCCAAGGCAGATGGATCACTTGAGGCCAGGAGTTTGAGATCAGTCTGGCCAACATGGTGAACCTCTGTCTCTACTAAAACATCAAAAATTAGCTGGGTGTGGTGGCACACACCTGCAATCCCAGATACTCAAGAGTCTGAGGCAGGAGAATCACTTGAACCCGGGAAGCAGAGGTTGCAGTGAGCCGAGATTACACCACTGCACTCCAGCCTGGCAATACAGCGAGACTCAGTCTCAAAAAAAAAAAAAAAAAAAAAAAGCAGCTCTATGTGACTCCCTCCCTCCCCCTACAAAAAAATAGAGGGTTCAGAGACTCAGTCAACAGCATTTCTGGTTCAACAAGCATCAAAACTAGCTGAGTTCTAGGTCACTGGGGTGGGGCAGAGGAGAGGTCTAAGGACATTTCACACCCTGACACCAGTCTGTCCTTTTCTTGGGGGTTATTTCCAACCACAGACTCCTTTGCAGCCTCAGAATCCCCGAAAGCAGCTCTCCCAGGCCCCACCCAGCTTCCCTCCTGCAGTGCTTATGCCCAGTTCATGCACCAGTCTCCAATCCAGCCATCTCCTCTCACCCCTGGCCCTCAGCTTCATTTGCCTGGGCCTGTGACACCCAAGGTCTTGGAACCCTATTAGGTTGGTGCAAAGGTAATTGTGGTTTTACCATTGAGTAAAACCACATTTACTTTTGCACCAATGTAATAGATGCTGAAAAAACGGCCTTGTTTGGGAGCTCAGGAAAGCAGCTGGCTGAATTCAGAGAGACAGGACTGACTGGGATCCCCACAATCCTCACTCTCCTGGGGAATGGCCCCTCCGAAAAGCACCCTGCAGCCCCCGGGCTGATTTCATTGGGATATGCAGGAAGCCAACCGCTCCTGCTCACAACAACTACTCAGCACTGACTGTGTTTCAGACACCATCCTCAGCATCAGATGAGCAAAATCTAACACTCTCAGATGCCATCTGAGGTGGGCTTACTGAATATCACCCTTGGAAAGATGTGGAATTGTAAAAGAAGAAAAAAGGACCTCCCTTTGCTAGAGTGGGATCTTATTTCCGGCAGCCAAAGAGGCCAGGGCTGAAAAACGCCCAAATGGCCTCTGAAGCAAAATCTCACGATGAAACAAGCCTCAAAAAGCATTTACTAGCATTTCTGGTCATGGCTGTTACGGATGAAATGGTGCCTCACCTTCTGCACCCCCTCTGGCCCCCACACCTTCTATGTTCCTATCTCAGGGATTCTCCACAGGGACCTGGAAGGACAGCTGAGTGGACCGAGAGATCACACGGAGCCACTGTGAGGGGTCAGGGGATAGGGAGAGTGAGCTGCCCAGGGTGGCTGCAGAGAGGGGAGCTTGGGGAACAGAGACCGCAGGGAGAAAGAGCTGAGTGCAGCCTGAGCCCGTGATTTTCAAGCCCCGCCGCTGGCCTCCTAGGGTTCTTGTAATCATACTCCGACTCCCTTCTCCTTAGTTAGTCTAAGGGGGCTTCTGTTTCTTGCTCCCAACTGCTGCCTCACTAAGATAGACTCATTTTCAGATCTCTCTACGGATTGTAGCCTTTCCTGCAATTCCTGCCTGGATGGCTGCTCCTCCAGGCCTGGACTGGATGGAAGGTTCCAAGCGAGAACCTGCAGCATTTCTGCTTCTGCGGCATCATCCACCTCTGAGAACCACTCCAGAGGACAAGCTGAGGAGCCTTCCAAGAGCTCCATGTGTCTGTAAATGCCTTCAAAACCTGGTCTCAGTGCATCCTTTTTGCACCCACAGCCAGATAGCTGACCACACAACATCAGGATAGAGTGGTCACCACCCATTTTCTGTCATGGGAAAGGAAATTGCCCGGGAAAGGCCTTGCCCAGTGCAGACATGGCAGGCAATGCTGAGAGCTACAAAATCCTTCTAGAAGCTGTTGTCTTTCAGTTATTAAGACTATAAGGGCTGGGCATGGTGGCTCACACCTGTAATCCCAGCACTTTGGGAGGCTGAGGTGGGTGGATCACAAGGTCAGGAGTTTGAGACCAGCCTGGCCAACATGGCAAAACCCTGTCTCTGCTAAAAATACAAAAAAAAAAAAAATGCGCATGCCTGTAATCCCAGTTACTTGGGAGACTGAGGCAGGAGAATCGCTTGAACCTGGGAGGTGGAGGTTGCAGTGAGCCGAGATCACGCCACTGCACTCCAGACTGGATGACAAAGCAAGACTCCATCACGGAAAAAAAAAAAAAAAAAAAGAAGGCAGGCTGCCTAGCTTAGCTTTGCCATGACTAATCTACTTACCAGCTAAGCAACATTTGTGCAAGCTATTTCACCTCTGTGTGCCTCAGTTTCTTCATCTATAAAATAGAGATAATCATTTTACACCCCTCAATAAATGTCTTTTGAATCAATTAATGAATACTTGTAAAACACCTGGCATATTGTAAGCCCTTGTTAAATGTAAACTTTAAATGTTAAATGGTTTCTTTCTTTCTTTCTTTCTTTCTTTCTTTCTTTCTTTCTTTCTTTCTTTCTTTTCCTGTTTCTGTTCTCTCTCTCTCTCTTTCCCTCTTTCTCTCTTTCTCTCTTGGAAGGTCTCACTCTGTTGCCCAGGCTGGAGAGCAGTAGTGCAATCATGGCTCACTGCCTACAACCCCACCGTAAGTCCCTCTGGGATTCCATGATAGAGGTACTTATTCCAATTAGGGTCAAGCTGGAGGAAGAGGCGGCTGTGGCCTAGCTGTCAATTCCTCAGGGCTGGTCATTGGGGAGGAAGGGCAGGAACCAGCTGAGTTCACTGAGAGTTGGAACAGGAGACGCAGAAAGGTACAGATTTGGAAACTGACCTGGGTATCACAGTTAGGGCTCCAGGGCACTCCAGCCTGCGGTGGGAGTTTGTAGGTGTCTAAGCTGTGGCTGGGAGGGCAGTGGAAGAAAGTCAAGCTGTGCCAATTTTCCTATTTGAAGAGAAAGGGAGCAGGGGAACCAGAGTTCTAGGTGACACCATCGGGAAGACAAGCTGTGTCCTCAGCCCGGCCTGGGGGGAGGACTGGGTTGCAACTTACAGGAAAGAGGATTGACTGGATTCTTAGAAAAACAAGAGCCAAGGCTTGTTGCTGTGCAGAGGGATTGGGGTCACCAGCTGGCTGTTGTTACCGTGACTGATTCCTGATGCTTCGGAATTCAAGGGCAGGAGGCACTTGGGGCACTGGCTGAACCTTGGCTCCCTGACCCCTCCTCAGTCCCCTTCCTGGGCTCCACAACATATAAGATGAACGTTCTGATTGTCTATTTCTCCTCCCTTCTCGTTTTACTCTTCATTTGGTGGAGTGTATGGTAGGGATAAAATCTTAGAGATGTTTATCTGAGCCATAGAGAGACCTTATTGGGGGTGCATGGGAAATACACAAGTAATCCCAAGCTCACCTTGCCTGGGTGCCTGCGGAGGGCAATTGTGCATTAGCGGTAGAGTGTGGTGGGGACCTGGGCCTGGGTGGGCAGGGGAGAGCTTCTGGACAGGGGCTGGTGGATTAAGGTCATGCCCATAGGTGGGAAGCCACCCACACAGAATCACAGCATCTCAGAAGGGCAGTGCCAGAAAAATCCCCAGGGACCTCATTTTCCTTGGAACACAACCCAATTCCTTGGCTTGGCCAACCAGGCCTAGCGCATCTGGGCCCAACTTCATCTGCCTTCATTCCTCCACTGCATCAGTAGGGTCATTTGGGTGTAGGCCACAGAAGTAAACTCTGGCAACATAAGCGAAGGGGGATTTGTTAGAATAGGATAAGGGAGCCAGGCAACTGGAGCAGACATCAAGGTGGGAACACCAGGCCTCAGGGTCCCGCAGTTGCTGTGCCTGGGCTGCCATTGTTCCATCTGTATCTATGTCACGCGAGGTCATATGAGTGGGCCGGGCACGGTGGCTCACGTCTGTCATCCCAGCACTTTCAGGTGGATCACCTGAGGTCAGGAGTTCGAGACCAGCCTGGCCAACATGGTGAAACCCTGTCTCTACCAAAAATATAAAAATTTGCCAAGCCTGGTGGTGGGCATCTGTAATCCCAGCTACTCAGGAGGCTGAGGCAAGCTAATTGCTTCAACCCAGGAGGCAGAGGTTGCAGTGAGTCGAGGTCATGCCATTGCACTCCAGCCTGGGTGACAAGAGTGAAACTCTGTCTCAAAAAAAAAAAAAAAAAAAAAAAACCATATGAGTGTCCCATTGGCTCAGCCTAGATTACAGCCCCACCCTGGCAGGGTAGTAGGAGGAAGGCTTAGAACTGTCTTGGCTTCTGAAGAGGGCAGGACAGTAACCCAATCCACCTTCCCAGAAACACTGTCCTCAGTGGGGAGGAGGGACAACTCCCAAGGAGATGGGGACACATGCTCGCCAACCAAACCCACAAAAGCTCATTGTGCCTGTCGCTCTGCTCCAGCCACAGTGGCCTTCTTCTGTTCTTCAAATACAAAAAAGCTTGTTCCCACCCCAGGGCCTTTGCACTTGCCATCTGCTCTACCTGGAACACTCTTCCCCTTGTTCTGCATGTGACTGCTTCATTTTCCTCCTTCAGGACTCACACCTAACAAGGGCCTCCAAGAGGCCCTCCCTGACGACCCATTCTCAAGTTGCCCTCATCAGATAATCTTGACCTCATCCCTCCCAGGTCTCCTAGCCATCTAAAATTACCTTGTGTATGAGTCTGTTTGCTCTGTATTGCCTGTCTCCCCACTGGAATGCAAACGCCACAAGAGCAATGACTGCGGTTAATTGCTGCTATATATCCAGCACTCAGCACAGGGCTTAATAAGCATTTACCAGGCAAATAAACATATAGAGACAGAGAGCCCCAGAGGGACGGTGCTTTGGCCGAGGATGCCCAGAGAAAATACTGATGTCATTGAGGGTGCAGAAGCCAAATCTTGCTTGCTCCGGGGGCACTGGATGGCACCAGCCTAAGAGTGTGGGCACCAGAGCAGATTGCCTGGGTCAACACTCACTCTCTGTGTAACCTTGAGTGAGTTTCTTAACTTCTCTGTGCCTTGGTATCCTCATGCATAAAGAGATGACCATAATAATAATGCATTCTCAGGGGCTGTGGCAAGGATCACATGAACTAATACATGTAAAGTACTTAGAACAGGGCCTAACAATATTGTAACACTGTCAACAAGTGCAAGCTATTATGATTGGAAGACTTCCATGTCCTTATTTCTGATTGACAGGTCACTGCCCAGCCCCACCCTCGACCCAACCAGGATGAAGAATGGGCAAGCCAGATAGCTACAGTAATCGACAGACAGACAAACAAGAGCATCGTATGACCCAGGGGCCAACAAGTCCCACCCCAGTGACACCATCTCACTTTTGCAGAGCTCTTGCTCGCAAAGTGCAGCTAGGAGAACCCAGGCCTCCTGATGACAAATGCTCCTTCTTTCTGCCCCCCACGTGCCAAGAGCGAGGAGGGAAGATAGCTGCTGGCTCACTGTGTGGTCGTGGGTGAGTACATGTTACTCTCTGGGTCCCCATTTCCTCAACTTTAAATTGCAAACAAGAACCTCAGCCTGTCCCGTCTCCCTCTTAAGAGGATAAGTAGTGCCAATAAATAGTAAATGAGCTTTCTGAGACGTAAAGTGGATGCTGATTTTATTACCAAACAGGTGAGGAGCAGGTGCAAATAATTCAGCAGAAGTATTTGTACGGTCATGATTCTCAAAATTTTCCAGAGTTAAGAATCGCACGGGAATCTTGTTTAAAATATAAATTCTGTGGATGCATTCCCCCAAATTCTGATTATGTAGCTCTAAGATGGAGTCCCAGAATTTTTTAAAAAACCTCATCCTCAGGCGATGCTGAGGCTGAAGCTAATGGACCGTGATTGTGCATTAAAGCCACTAGATGGTGCCATGAGCCCAGAGAATGGGCTGATCTAGGCCGCTCTGAGCCCTGAGGCTGCTTCTCCAAAAGTGGCCACCAGATGGCGCAGCCTATCTGCAGAAGGAAGCGCGCCTTAGAAATGTGGGATCGGGGCTGGAGTCACCCCGCCTTAGCGAACCTGTGGTCTGAGAGAACAGATCCTTCCCTGCCCAGGTAATTCTAAGCCCAAGGAGGAGCTCGGCGGCCAAGGAGGCCCAGTTCTATTGTAGGGTAATGAGCATCCAACCCCATCCTCATCAGAGCGTCATTGGCCAATGGTCTGGGCGCCTCCTCCCAGCACAAAAACCTTGCACTCAGTAAGTACTCACCAAAGACTTTTGATCTTTTGATTTGGACAGATACACACACACACACACACGCATATATAAACATACATACACACACACGTATACACATACACACATATATATCCACACGCACACATACACACACATATAAACATACACACAAACACACACGTGCATATATACACACATATCTACATACACACATATATACACACGTGTACACATACACATACACACACATCCATGCACACATATATACACATACATACTCATACAACACACACATATACACATATATACACACACACACACCTGTACACGCACACATACACATACACACAGGCCTGCTTGGTGAACACTGTAGGGAACACATTATTATAAAGATAATGATCAATTACTAGATATCTACTGCATGCATTCCAGGCACTGTAAACACCAACAAATTCTTGCCACAGCCCTGAGAGAGAGTTGCTACAATTATTGGACAAATAAAGGGAGTGAGGCTCTATGAGGTTGTCACCTGGGGTCACATGATCTGGAAGCCATATTCAGTACCCAAACATGGCTGCAGATGAAGGGCTCGGAATCAAGGAGGACTTCCTGGAGGCAAGGAGTTTTGAGCTGCCTTTGAAAGTAGGGTAGAGTTGCAGATGGGTCAAAGGGAGGGCATTTGGAGAACATCCCTAAACTAGGGGGAACCAGTGAGCTGAGGGCAGTGGAGGGTCAGAGGGATGTTGGCTGCAGGGATGCCACAAAGAGGCACGAGACAGCAGAGTGGGGAGCTGGGCAGAGAGAGAACCCAGCCGTGGAAAAGGTAGCAGCAGCTGCAGAAGAAAGAATCAACGATTCGGGTTCCAGTACTGTGCTTACTTGCTGTGTGTCCTTGGTCAAATTCCTTAACTTCTCTGGGCTCACTTTTCCCATCATAGTCATAGCCTAGTCACCCCTGGATTTACTGGGAGGACTGAGTACAACAACCTGTGTGAAAATGCCTGGCACAGTTCCTGGCTCAAAGTGAGCCCAGGGGATTTCTGTTTGTCCTCCCTTTGTTGTGTGGCCCAGGCAAATACTTTCCTGTGCCTCAGTTTCCCCATCTCTCCGGGAAGTCTATGTAATGTGGTGGTTAGGTGGAAAGGCTATGGCATTAGAGAACCCCAAGGCATATCCTGATGCTGATATTAAGTGTGCGGCCACGAGTAAGTCATCCTCTCTGTGCCTCAGCTTCCTCAACTATTAAACAGGTTGCTAACCATGCCACCCGTTTCAAAGAAATACCCTGGAAATTAACATCCATAAAAGACCTACCACAGTGCCTGACATGCAGTCAGTGCTCAGTCTCTCTCCCAGCATTGGCTGTCATTAAACAGGGAAATTGAATTGGATCATCTCTGGGAATTGTGCAGATCTGATATGCTGGTCTTCAGTTTGCAGCCCCTAACTGCCCAAGGACCCCACTTCTGGCTATGCCCCGATCTGGGCCTCTCCTTTCTCCGACCATTTGTGGTCTTCGATTCTACAGGAAGGCAGGCCTGGAAAGGCTACCAGTAACAAATGTGTGGCTACCATGTTCCCTTTCCTCTGGAAAAGTATTGTCCCCAACCCCACCCCACCTAAGGGACAGTGCCTTAACCCAAAGGAACAAGTGTCCATGAGGAACCCATGGTGCTATGGGGGATTTTCACAGGATGGACTGCCTAGGAGGCCCAGACTTTGAGACAAAGAGTAAGCAGAAGATTTATCAGGAAGTGTTCTCGGGGTCACCACCCTCAGAAGGGGAAGGAAGGAAGTGGAATGGGGCAGGTAGAGAAGGTGGGCTGCTGTGCAGTCTCCACAAAGGCCTCATCCCACCTCACAGGGAAGCTCTAGAACTGAACGGCACTTCAGAAGTGTTCTAAATTGGGCTGGGCGCGGTGGCTCACACCTGTAATCCCAGCATTTTGAGAGACCAACGCGGGTGGATCGCTTGAGGTCAGGAGTTCGAGACTCCCCAGGCCAACATGGTGAAACCCTCTCTCTACTAAAAATACAAAAATTAGCCAGGCATGTTAGCAAACACCTGTAATCCCAGCTACTCAGGAGCCTGAGACAGGAGAATCACTTAAACCTGGGAGGCAGAGGTTGTAGTGAGCTGAGATCACGACTGCACTCCAGCCTGGGTGACAGAGTGAGACTCTGTCTTAAAAAAAAAAAAAAAAGAAAAAAGAAAAAAAGGAAGTGTTCCAAATTGGGAAAAGGAGGGAGTGGAGCCTTTCTAATTGGGCACCAACCAACCTTGGATGCCTTGCTCCAGGAAAAGACGTGACCTTCAGGGAGGCTGGTCCCTTCTGCCAGGGCAGCATCATACTAGCAGCTGGACATAGGTCCTCCAATCAGAGGCAGATCTGGGTGGGTAGCGTCCTCTCTGCAGCCTCCCCCAGTAGAGGAGCCCAAGCTGGTCTGAGCACATTCCCGTACAGCACAGGGAGTTCGCTGCTTGGTTTCCAACTAGCTCCCCATAACCTGGGCTTCCCAGGGTTGCTCAAACAGCAGCAGGAATGTGGCCCCTTCCTCACTGATGTCCTGGTGCTCCATGGGGGCCAGATCTCTACTCTGATCTCTTCCACCCCATGGTGCCCAGGGAAAACCCAACCCCCAGAAGCACAGGAAATGGCAAGGTCACTGCCTGGCTTAGTGACCTGCAGACAGACAGACTCACACCAGGACCTATGGCAATTCACTAGCCTTATCCACTGAAGACTCCTTCCCTGGGGGATGAGTCCTGCTGGGGAGAAGCTTAGTGGTGGCCTTTCCAAGGTTACACTTCTATTGCCCAGGAGCTTTTAGGTACAAATAATAGAAACGTTACTGAAATTGGACTAAGTATAAAAAGGGCTCACTAGACTGAAAAATCCAAGACTAGATTGGTTTCAGGTATAGCTGGATCCAGGATCTCAAACAGCATCACAAGGCCATGTCTTCTGTTCCCCTGCTCCTCTCTGAGGAGCCCCTTGCCCCAGACAGACACGTTCAACAGTCTCCTATGCCCATTCCTGAAGTTAGCATCATGTCCCTGAGGGATCAAGTCTCCCACCGACCTGGGGCACATGGCTGGTAGGGACACCTGCTTTCTTGAGGACAGCCTAGTCTGCTGTGAGCAGAACAGAGAGTGGGGGTGAGCAGGCACAAGCAACAGCTGCCCCAGCGCCACATCCTAACCAGTCCTGACCATCCCAGCCAGAGGCCACACATTTGGACAAAACCAAAGTAAGAGGCTGTGGCTAAGAACACAGCAGGGAGAGATGGGGAAGTGGGCCGGGGCAGAGTCTTGGAGGACACAGTGACTCAGGGATTCAGAGACCCCACGTTGGGTGGTGGAGAGAAAATTGGATGGGGGAAGCAATGAGCAAGGTGGGGGTGGCAAGGAAGGAAGCCAACTGCCCGCTTATCCTTCCCATCCCAGCCAGAATCTTCAAGCTGTCTTAAGATCCTGGAGTCCACCCATGAGTCCACGCTAGGCCAAAGAGGGTCTCACCAGTCCTCTGTCTTGCTAAGGTCCCTCAGGGAAGTGGGCCTACCTTATGAACCCTTTAAATCCTCATTCTTTTTATTTGCTGTTGGGAAGTCCCACCTAGAGCCTACCCTAAATTTCTCCTGCTGTTGGTTACAAATAAACAATTCTACCTTCAGACTGCCAAGTCTAAAGTGGTCTATCCTTACCTTACCTCCACATGGCAGAAAGGGAAGCTCTAGGATGGAACCTGTGCCTTTATAAGACAAGAAAATCCCTAGAGTTTTGAGTCAGCAAAATGACTCCTGAGCAGCCCAGGGCAGAGCCCCCAGTGCTCTGTTTAGCCTTTCCTTCTACCCTGGGGACCACCCCACCATACCCAACTCCAGTTACCGGGCCTGCCTTTCCATCTCCCCATATCTAGGGAAGTATCATTCATTTCTTCAACCATGTATTTATTGAACAGATGTATATTGAGCACCCACTATGTGCAAAACCCTGTTCTAAGTACTGGAGATGCAGCTGACATTCAAGGGCAGGAGTCAATTTTAAAAAGTCAGAAATTAAAGTAACAAGATTGTTTCAAGACAGCAGTAGCTGCCAGAAATGAAATAACACAGGAGTGACTGGTTTTAGGGGATGGTCAGTCAAGGAAGGCTTTGCTGAGGAGGTGGCACTGGAGCTGAGACCTTAAAGATGAGAAGCTTTGCAGTTCAAGGGAACATTGAATGCAAAATCCAGTGGGGACAGATGTGTTAGTTGCGTCCTCCAGGAATCAGAGTCTGAGATGAAGCTATAAGTTTGGGGGACTAAGAAAAAAAAGGGGGAATGAAGCATATTTGAAAAGAGAGAATCTCAGACCTCCACACAGCTCTGAAAAGTATCAACCCACCCAATGGGGAGCTCTGGAGAAAGGATAGAGTCCCACATTTAGGCAGATACACCAGGCTCTAGCCCCCTGCCGTGCTTAACCATTAGCTGGGGCTTGACTGAAAGGAGGATGGCTTAGGCTTAAAGGCTGAGGCTGTCATTTCACTGCATTCTGCTGCTGAATGGCAAGTTCTTTCTTTTTCTTTTCTTTTCTTTTTTTTTTTTTGAGACAGGATCTTGTTCTGTCTCCCAGGGTGGAGTTCAGTGGCGCAATCTTGGCTCACTGCAACCTCCACCTCCGGGGTTCAAGCAATCCTCCCACCTCAGCCTCCTGAGTAGCTGGGACTACAGGCATGCACCACCACTCCTGGCTAATTTTTAATGGAGATAGGGTTTCACCATGTTGGTTAGGCTGGTCTCGAACTCCTCACCTCAAGTGATCCACATGCCTCGGCCTCTCAAAGTGTTGGGATTACAGGCGAGAGCGACTGAGCCCGGTCTGCAAGTTCTTTCTTAAAAGAAGACCCGAGCAGCCACCTTTATGGCCCTCACCACAGGGTTGCTATCTTTCAGGAATAGAGAGAAGGCTAGTGTGGCCCAAGCTGAAAGATCAAGGGAAAGAATGCAAAGATAGAAGCCAGAGCTGGGCCCTCCTCTTTGCCTCCCCAGGTGGCTCTGCACCTCCCACCCTCAGACTGCATTGCCCAGCTCCTGTGCTCCCTGGGATGGACTGGGTTCTGCCAATGGGAAGCCTGGCAAAAGATCAGAAGGAGAGAGGAGAATAAAGTCAGTGTGTTTATTTCCGGATTCCTCCTGGGAGGTTGCCTGGGGCTGGCTGCTTCATTCATGGCCTCTGCTGTGTGCAATTTTCCCTCCTTTTGGGTTCCAGGAACTGCTCCCTCTGGTCAGCCCTCTGGGCCTGGTGCTTCTGGCCCAGGTCCCTGCGTGCCACCCCTTGGCTTCCCTTATACCCTACCCCTGTGCTTTGGAATTAATCCATCATCAGTAAGCTCTCCTCGAATTATCCTTATCCGGGAGGGCCATCTGCTCCCTCCTGGGATCCCGATTGCTGCAGAGAGGTCACAGCAGGGTGTGGAGGGTTCTGCAGGCTGTGGCAAGGAGTTGTGGTTTTATTTAAGAGTAAGTCAAAGTTGGCAAAGGGTTTTAAGAACAGTAACCAGGACTTCTGAGCCTCTGGAGCTTGGAATCCATGAGCCTGGTGTTGAGGAGCCCAGCAGAGAACCTAAATCTTCTGGGATGTCTTGGCCCTGGGGAACGCCCTGCCTCTGCTCCTTAAGGGCTGTGTGTTCCAGCCCACTTTTGGGCCCTTGAATGCTTCTCAGATGTACCTGGGACCTGTGACAAAACCAAGGAGGGCAGGGACCTCGGGTAGAGGGTCTCTGTAGCCTTCATGCTCTTTCTGGCCTTTCCTTCTACCCTGGGGACCACCCCACCAGCCCTAACTCTGTTTACTGAGCCTGCCCTTCCATCTGCTCATATGTATGGAAGAATCATTCATTTCTTCAACCATTTATTTGTTCAACAGATATTTATTGAGTACCTACTATGTGCAAAACCCCGTTCTAAGTACTGGAAACACAACTGACATTCTAGTTCAGAAGTCAATAAAGAAGTCAGAAATAAAAGTTACAAGATTGTTTCAAGACAGCAGTAGCTTCCAGAA